>NC_000011.10:108687576-108990606 GCF_000001405.40 Homo sapiens
AGAGGTGTCTGTTAAGATTTTTGGCCTCCTTCCCCCTTTTAAAATTGGGTGTTTCTGTTCTTATTGTTGAATTTTAAGAGTTGTTTGTATATTTTGGAGAACAGTCCTTTATCAGATGTTTTTTGCAAATATTTTTCTCCATTCCGTGGCTTATCTTCTAATTCTTTTGATAGTGTGTTTCACAGATCAGAAACATTTAATTTTAATGAAGTCCAGCTTATCAATTCTTCCCTTTGTGGATCATAACTTAGTCATATCTAAAACCAGTTGACTTGTAGTTTTTGGTTTGTCTGTCCCTCCTCCTTTTTTCTTTCACTGTAAACACAGACACACATGGGTGGGCATGTATATGGATATATAATGTATAGCCCCCTGATAAATAGTACCAAACTATCTGTACTATTCTGCCCCTTACCTCTTTCCTTAACAGTGTGTCCTAGACATCACTCCTCAGCAATATATGGATAGAATCTTCATTCCTTTTTTACAGTTGCATAATAATTAATGTATGTGGCTGTGTAATTGTTCATACTGCAAGTCCCTACTGATGGACATTTGGGTTGATTTTCATCATTTTTTGCTTCATAAATAATGCCATATATTTGTGTGTGTGTATATGTGTGTGTTTAAAACCAGAGTAATGTTGGAATAAAGTAGGTTTATTAATTCAAAGAGTAAATGCATGTATATTTTTCTCCAACATTTTATAATGAAATTTCAAACATATGGTACATTGAAAGACTTCTACCATAAATACCTTATACCAAACACCTAGATACTATCTAATGGTAGCATCCATTTACTTGCTTTCATCCATCCCTTCTATATTAACCCATTTTATTTTTGATGGATTTCAGGGTAAATTGCAGATATCTGTATTCTCTCCAAATACTTCAGCACACGTATTACTGAGAGTTTAATATTTGAACAGATTTTTTTTCTTTTGGCATAAAATTTGTGTACCATGAAATATGAAAATTGTAAGTATACAGTTGAATTTGATGAATGTGTATATCTCAGTAATCTAAAGCCCTAATGAGATGTGGAATACTAATCAGCCCAGCAAGTTCTCTTACACCTCTTCTTAGTTAATCCTTGACCCTGCATTTTTAGAGGTAATCACTGTTCTTGTCATGCTTTGTTTGACATTGATTTACAAGGGATTTTGAATGTGTTTTAAAGTAATGTGTTGAATTTGTTTCCTAAGGGACAATAGAGAAAAATTCTTTTTTTGGTGTATGTGTGTAGGAAATTTGCTTGAGAGATGTGCCACTATTAAAACTTGTTTCCTTTTTTGGTCTGGATTTCAGTTACTTACATGACATATTCTAATGTTTTTCTTTTCCGTAATTCCACAAGCACCCCTGCCACTTTGGAACAGAACTACATAGTCTGTGAGCTGCAGCAAAAAATAAGTGTGCTGTATTCCTTTTTGAGAAGCCATCTGAAGAAGAAGAGCATTGTATTTTTTTCCAGTTGCAAAGAGGTATTGGCTGTTTATTTTGCTTTCTGAACGTATGTTGAATGTCCCTTTTGAAATGGCAAATCAATTAGACAAATTATTATATTGTACGAGAAGTACAGTGCTAGGTGTGGTGAGGGATCTTTCGTGTCCTTGTTGCAAAGGAATCCGTGGCTGAGACTTTCAACTCCACAAGGACAGAAACTGTGTCTTTTCTTAGGTATTATGTTAAGTGCTAACAATACTGGAAATGTAGTCCTCAATAAATATTAGTAGAATGAATAATTGTTATCCAAGCTAAGCAGAGGTCTTTATAATCTGATACCTCCCTTACCCTCCAAGAATATGGGAATGAATATACCATTTATTTCCATGCCGTATATCTTTGTTTATGCTGATCTGTCTGGAATGCCCTCCCTGCATCTCTTCATCTAAATCTGGGGAAATACTTACTTTGAGGCTAAGTTCAAATGTTATGCCTGAAAGTCCCTTTCTGACACTCCCTTTTTAAAGAATCAGTTGTTCCCTCCCCTAACCTTCTGAAGTGTTTTGTTTATATCTTAGTTAATAAACACTTCTTGAACACTAGCCCTGTGCTAGGAATAAAGAATAAGGATTTCAGAGATGTCTAAGAGAACTTTGTCTCCTCTCTTAAGGAGAAGGGACTACGGTCTTTGTGCATGTGTGCGTGCGTGTGCCTCTTCTCCTGTACTATATTTCAGATTCCCAATGACTTAATAGGGAATGTAGTAGATCAATTCTAGATTTACAGCTTTTGCAATAACTTTCCATGATAAATATGTAGATGGGTTTCTCTCTAGCTTATGGGAAGTTAAGTGGTGATCTGATGCTGTTGTCTACTGAACCTTATTTTACCATGTAAAGAATGACTTCAGCCTTGGTGCGGTGGCTCACGCCTGTAATCCCAGCACTTTAAGAGGCTGAGGTAGGAGGATTGCTTGAGTCTAGAAGTTTAAGACCAGCTTGGGCAAGATGGCGACACCCTGTCTTTAAAAAAAAAAAAAAGACTTCAGTTTTTCAAGGACCGATTTTAGATTTTCAAAGCTTCCAGTCTCCTGGGAGCATTCCTCAAGGCAACTTGGAAGTGTATCCTGAGCAGTAGCCAACAACAAAACAATAAACTTCACATCTCCTAAAGAAGAGTTAGTTGGTTTTGGCATCTAGGTGCTAGGAAATGATTCTGAAAGTTCTATTTAAAGTTCTGTTTAAAGTTTCTACTCTTTAGAGTAGGAGATGGCATCAAAGGTGGCCTTGGCATAGTTGCCCAGGGTGGCAATGCAGCCTCTTGGTCGAGGTATAGCAATTGTCAATACCCACCATCAGCAGCAGCTTCTTGGGCATGGGGCTGAGATGATACCAGTGCCTCCTGAGGTGGGGATAAGTCTCACCAGCACAGAGAGGGTCTGTCACCCTGCAAGGGCTGGTGAGCTTGCCGATCTTGTTCCCCAAGTAGCCTCTTGGCACAAGGACAATGGAGAGCTTGGCCAGGATAATGGCTCCTCAAATGGCAGTGGCTACCTCCTTGGAGCACCTGATACCCGTATCAGTGTGGCCATTGTAGTCCCCAGTGGCAACATGCCTTGAATCCAGTGCGTTGGCCAGTGTGGGCCACTTTTGCGCCATGTAATCTTTGAAACCTCATTCTTGAGAGATGCCCCCAGGAAAATGTCAAGGACCTCAGACTCCTTGATGGGCAGGAGAAGAGATAGATCTCCTCCAGGGACTTGGTCTTCATGTCCTTCACCAAGCAGCACAGCTTTGTGACTGGCATCCACCCCTTGGCTTTGCCTCAGTGGCCTTGGTTGCAGGTGCTATTGCTGAAGCCTCCATCGAAGCCTCTGTGGTTTCCAATTCCTTGTCCCGTGGACCCTTCCGCTGCACCAGCATCATCTGCCATTTGATGTTTTCTTGGAGAAGCTGTTTTTACATCTTTACGAAAGAAAGGCCTAAGTCCAGCTATCTCTGATACTTGCCTGATATATTGTCCCAGAATCAGAACCTCCCTGGCAGTAGCAAATTGCATTTGAGAAAGTGAATGGCTAGTGATTGGGTAACAAGCAATTCACTTGGTTTCCCATTCTTTACTGTCAGCAAAATTGAAGAGAGACTTTAATGGGGTCTTTCTCTTTAATTGAGCGACTGGATCACCAAAAATTATTTGGAATAATCCATTATGACTTTTGGCCTATTTTATAGGAGCTCAGAATTAAACTTCCTTTGAGTTTGTTTTATTTATGTGAACAGATTTTAACCCCCATATTAGAGAAAATAAAATAATGCTGAACTCTTTTCAGTCTAGTAATCCATAGTATCCATTTATGGGTACAAAAAGAGAACCAGAACAATTAGCTCTATATAGTCCCACACATTGAGATATATTTACAATGTTTTTATTTATGTCTAACAGTTTTTTAAATCAAATCCCAACATATTTCTTGGTTTGATCAGTTCTGTATTACTAATTATTTTAATAATTGCTGAGTCTGAGAGGAAAGTTCAGTCAGCCTATGGCCACAGGAAATTAAAATAAGTTTTTTCTTTTGTAGAAAATGAGTTATGATAACATCAATAAAAGGCTTTCAAGCTTCAAACTTAAGATGCAATTCTGTGACGTTAGGAAATAGAAATGTGAATTAAAGGAGGGAAGGAAATTAAATTGCTTGTGATTAAATAAGAGTTTCTTTACTTTTTTTACTTGGTTGGAATTGGGTATCACATTGCTCTGCTGTTGAGACTCTGTGGGATACGTTGATAAGAGAAAAGCTTTATTGCTGCCATCTGCCATAAGCAAACTTATTCTTCTGTTGATGCCCCAGGTCCAGTATCTGTACCGAGTGTTTTGCCGGCTACGTCCTGGTGTTTCTATCCTTGCACTCCATGGTCGACAGCAGCAAATGAGAAGAATGGAAGTCTATAATGAGTTTGTCCGTAAGAGAGCTGCAGTACTCTTTGCTACTGATATTGCAGCCAGGGGTCTGGGTAAGAAAACTTCCTATCATGAAATTTCTGTGATTGTGTGAAATGTAATTTGCTTATAAAGTATATTTTGGGAAATCTGATAGACTCAAACACTTGGGTTTCTTTTCTTATTTTGTAAGAGAAAAGTAAGTAGTAAATTGGTAGCAGTTGACTAACATTAAGGATGTATCAGTGAAAATTTCCACAGTATTTGCATCTTTTTTACTATTTCATGATAATCACACCATAGAATCCTGAGGAACCTACAAAATCAAAGGGGGTTAAAAGTTTAAAGATATGAAAACAATTCCCATTTCTTTGAAAATTGGAAACTTGTTTATAGATACTGAACTCATTTAACAAGAAAAATCAGTGAAGTCCATGTTTTCATCATTCTAATTTTTATCTGATAAATAACTACATTTAGCGTAGTTAAATTTATTTTCAAAACCTGCTTTGTTGATTATACAACTCCTGGCTTTGTGGGAATGGGACGGGGATGGACGTAACTAGAGAGGAAAACTAGACTTAGGAACAAAGGGTGAGAATAAATAGGTGATAATTTGAATCCTTCAGTCACTTAATTTTATTGTATTGTTAATTACAGCAAATTTGAAGCATAAACAAAAGCTGAATATGTTTAATCTACCCTCATATACCCAGCTTTAACAATTATCTTTTTCATAATCCTCCCCCTGTCCCTCTTGGAGTACTCTAAAGCATATCTCAGATGCCATATTTATTAGTATAGGCTGGAGTACAGTAGCATGATCATAGCTCACTACAGCCTCGATCTACCAGGCTCAAGTGATACTCCCACCTCAGCTTCCCCAGCAGCTGGGACTACAGGCATGCGCCATGCCTGACTAGTTTTTATTTTACTTAATTTTTTATTATGCTTTAAGTTCTGGGGTACATGTACAGATTGTGCAGGTTTGTTACATAGGTATACATGTGCCATGGTGGTTTGCTGCATCCATCAACCCGTCATCTACATTAGGTATTTCTCCTAATGCTATCCCTCCCCTAGTCCCCCACCTCCAGACAGGCCCCAGTGTGTGATGTTCCTCTCCCTGTGTCCACTCTTCAACTCCCACTTATGAGTGAGAACATGCAGTGTTTGGGTTTCTGTTCCCGTTGGTTTGCTGAGAATGATGGTTTCCAGCTTTGTCCATGTCCCCATTAGAAGTGGTGCTTTCGGGTTATTAAATATTAGGGTATTTCACTGTTTGTCCGACACAAAGCAATCTGTCTCTTCCGTGTCAGATACGAAGTAATCTTCATATTCAAACAGTCATTAATTTTAGTTCATTTTGTCAAGAGAAATGTTTACTATCTCTTGGTTCATGCAATTAATTTTATTTTTAATAGAGTTCATAGATGATATCCATCAGTTTGATGTGATGAAAAGTCCTGGCAAGCAATATTTTAAGATAAAAATAGTGCAGCAGGGCAGATCTTGCAACCAGTTTCTTAACTTCACATCCCTTCTCTGTAGATTTCCCGGCCGTGAATTGGGTTCTTCAGTTTGATTGTCCTGAGGATGCCAACACATATATTCACAGAGCAGGTAGAACTGCCAGGTAGGTGTACTGACTAATTTCTTTTCTTTTGCTACTATCTAAATAACAAAGCATGCTTTTCCAACTGCAGATAAACGAAGAAAGGAATCAGGTAAGTGAGTGCTGGTTTGGCATTTTGTGGTGTGAGTTGACAGCTACTGTAAATCATTATGGCTAAGACTTGATTAGTGCTGCAAAAAATCCATAAAAATCTTATTTTAGTTTGTTTAAACTTTCTTGTACTTTACTTTTCAGCAAAACTGCTCATTGAAAGTCATCTCATTGAATCCTAATGACCTGTCAGTTAGGTCTAGGACTGCAGTAGTCCTCACTTATCCTCAGGGGTTATGTTCCAAGGTCCCAGTGGATGCCTGAAATCTCAGTACCAAACCCAATATATGCTATGTTTTTTCAGTCTAGTAACTGAGACAGCTAAGTAACAAGTGGGTGGGGTCTTAAGCGTGCATATGCTGGACAAAGGGATGATTCACATTGTGGGCAGGACACAGTGGGATGGTGTGACATTTTATCAGGCTACTCAGAAGGGTGAGCAATTTAAAACTTATGAATTGTTTATTTCTGGAATTTTCCATTTAATATATTTAATATTTTTTGGGCCTTGGTTGACTGGGGGTAACTGAAACCACAGAAAGCGAAACCACAGATAGAGGGGGGACTACTTACTGTATTATTAAATCCCTATTTTCAGGTGAGGAAACTGAATCTTTGAGCAGTTAAACAATTTGTTCAAAGATCCACAGAGCCAGGATTTGAACCCAGGCAGTCTGGCTTATCTAGTCTAGATCTTGTGCTCTTACCTTCTAAAGTATAGGCTAATAAGAGGCTAAGTGATTTGGAATCATAGATATCTCTTTTTCCTTTCTTCCTAGTTCAGGAAACAGAGACATTGCTGAAGACCACTCCCTATCTCTCCTTCTTCCTATACTCCCCACTTCCTCCCAAAAGTATCCTATGTTTGCTCAAGAGGTATGAGGAACTGTCTAGAAAAGAATGTAGTAGGCTGGGCATGGTGGCTCATGCCTGTAATCCCAGCCCTTTGGGAGGCCGAGGTGGGCGGATCACGAGGTCAGGAGTTCAAGACCAGCCTGAGCAACATGGTGAAACCCTGTCTCTACTACAAATACAAAAAAATCAGCCAGGAGTGGTGGTGTGCGCCTGTAGTCTCAGCTCCTTGGGAGGCTGAGGCAGGAGAATCACGTGAACCCGGGAGGCGGAGGTTGCAGTGAGCCGAGATCGCACCACTGCATTCCAGCCTGGGCGACAGAGTGATGCTCTGTCTCAAAAACAACAAAACAAAACAAATAAAAAAAAACCATAGTAAAGTCAGTCATTTGGAATTAAGTGGCATAGAAAGGTATATGAATGAATCAAAAAGGATTACACAATCTGTCATTGCTGTTAAGCTGTAGCAGCAAAGCTGGGAGGTATACATTCTTGGTGGAATTGTAAATGGTTAACATTTTTCTGGATAGCATATGGTAATACTTATTAACAACCTTACAGTTCTTGTTTTTGTCTTAGTAATTCCACATCCAGAAATGGATCTTAAGAAAATAGAGAGCTGAATAAAGTTTCAATGTACATTTGTCTTGCTGATGTTTGTAGTGTTTAAGAATTGGAATTTATTATGATCTTTAGATTATGATTATGGTTAGCCACAGATGGACTATTTATTCAGTTTTACATTTTTGCTCTGTTTTCTTTCTCATCAAAACTGGATGATTGGGTATTTATCATATGGATTCCAGGATTGGTCTAACTGGACCAATGGTTGCTTCCAATTTCATGCCACAAACTCTTCTCAAAACTTTCCCAGGGATGTGAGGATCTTTAGGCCCGAGCACAGACTGTCCTGTTTGGCAGGCTTGCTTTACCACCTGCCCTGTGTCCACTTCAGCAAGTGGCCCCAAGTATGAAAGTGTACGCTATCCCTTGCTTACCTAGGAAGTCCCCTTGGCGTTTAGTTCTTTTAGATTTCTATACATTTATATTTTTTGGGTAGCTTTGAAGAAAATTTTTTTGTTTTTGTTTTTATGTGGTCACTTTTTGTTTCAGCTGAAGTGAAGGTTTTTATGTCTTTTTATAGCCTAGCAAGAAATAGATCTTCTTAAAATTCTATTTAATTTTCATAAGATGTTTGAATGTATGAGTGTTTAAGTGTTTTTTTTTTTTGTTTTTTTTGATTGATTCATGTTTATCCTGTGGGCCATCTTTAAACGTGGTTTATAATAAAAATGCACTCAAATTAAATGTGCTTCTTTTGACCAGCATGAAAGAAGGGAGAGAACAGTATAATAATGAAAGACTATTTAAAAATAGGATTTATGAATTAGTGGGTTCAAAAATAAGTCTTTTAATTGCAATTAATGATGTAGTTTTAAACAAGCAATGCAGTTAGGATTAGGTTTTGTATATGATACTGTACATTTAGACAAACTTGTTTTTAGAACTTTCTTTCTTCTTGGAACTAACTAAAATGGGACATGGGTAGAATAGTTGCCTGTTCTCCATTTTTATGAGGGGGTAGATGGTGCCTCATTGGTCTTTAATGTATTGAGTACATGGTTTTTGTTTTGTTCTGTTTTGTTTTTTTTGAGACAGAGTGTCGCTCTGTCACCCAGGCTGGAGTGCAGTGGCACAATCTCAGCTCACTGCAACCTCCGCCTCCCGGGTTCAAGTGATTCTCCTGCCTCAGCCTCCCAAGTAGCTGGGACTATAGGCGCGTGCCACCACACCTGCCTAATTTTTGTATTTTTAGTAGAGATGGCGTTTCACCATGTTGGCCAGGTTGGTTTTGAACTCCTGACCTCAAGTGATCCGCCCGCCTCAGCCTCCCAAAGTGTTGGGATTACAGGTGTGAGCCACAGTGCCCGGCGAGTACCTGTTTTGATTGTCATTCATAGTGAGTATTTTGGAAAGTCATCAGTGGTGGTTGGTGGAATGACCTTCTCCACTGTTATTCTCCTCAGTAAATGTGTAGTTGTGTAAATTTTTACATGTACCTGTGCACATATCTGCATTCTGTGCTCCTGTGGGCCTCTGGATAGGCAGGGTTGGATATGGTATCTCACAAGTGCATTGGGCCAGGGGTGTAGGCGCTTTTTATTTTTATTTTTTCTTTTCCTTTTCGATATCTTTAATATAGTGTATTCTTTAATGTGATTATTTTCATATGTATTACATTCTTTTTAGATGTGCCAGTGGTATTGATGGGGACAGGGCAGACTGATTCATAAATAGAATACATTTAGCAGTAAAATTCTCCCTATATGAAGATTATTGGACATGTCAATATAAATCAGGAAAAGATTCTAGAGGGGGGAATATTTCAAGGTTCTTGGTTCCTAGAGAAGTTGTTGAAAATTTTATGTAGTTGAACATGCCGTGGTGAACATTAAATTGGGTCTTAATGACTGAGGAGATGAAGAGGAGTTAGAACAACATCACATTATTGTGTCTGAAGAGAGAGAATACTAATCTGAAAAAAATGTTTTAATGTAATTTTTAGTATGGTCGTTAACTTTTAAAGCACAAGCCTGTTTGACCTTTTGTAACCAATTAAAAGTATTTTTACTTGACTATTTTAGATGTATAGTATGTGGAAAGGTTTAGCATATATAATGCTTTTTTTTTTTTTTTTTTCTGGCAGTTTAAAACTTGCCAATAATGGGCTTAAAGATAATTAGAAAGTTTTGTGGGCCATGAGACTGAATAATTGAATTGAATAAAGGCTAAATTAAAATTAGAATCTAATTAAAATCCTGTGTATTTGGCTGTAATTAAGACCAAGTTGCCAGATAGTGTTTGCTTTTGCAATTGAACTATAATATATCGATATAGGAAAACAAATTCATTAGCAAAATAGCTAAGATTTGGGGAATCTTTTTTTCTTTCCATATTTTAGCTAAAAAAGTGATTTGGGTACTTTTGTCTTGAAGTACCTAATTCTGTATTAATTAATTTTACCTTTCTAAATTCCTTTTGATCTATAGCAGTTGAGAAATTTCCCTGTATTTTCCTTAACCAGCACACCCCTTTTAACAAAATGATCTCCTTTAGAGATAAGTGAGGCCAGGTATATGAATATAGTTTTATAATGCTCTATCCTGTGATACATTCTGTCACTTTAAAAAGCAATTCTCTTTAGGGCTTATAGTTCTTTTGGTACAAAACCAAGCTCTTCCAGTTTTTATAAAAATGTCCAGTTGAAAGTAGAAAATATTTGGGAATGGAAAATAGACATCAGATATTCTCAACTTTAAAAAATGTTTTTATTTGGGGAGGGTAGGGGAGGGTTGTGGGTAGAAGATGGGCATTTATATATAACTATTTTTTTCCCCCAGAATAGTAGAAGATAAAATAATTTCAGCAATATTCTAATTTAGCCTTATGTGCCTGGCTACATTTTGTGGCGCTCAGAAATTCTGTAACATAAGGAGCAGAATGTGATTCCACTAGGGGACAGCAGAGGCCAAACCTTAGCATTGCACACTCACTGGCAGCAGCTTAGATCTTAGAAAAGAGGAAGATGGCCACTAGTTAAAATCTGTAATAACTTCTGAAGAGTTCATGGCTGGTTGTGGGAGAATACTGGTACTTTATGGAATAGCTAATGAGAATTTTTTAATAGTGTCTTTAATTGGTTTGTGAATTGAAATAATAAAAGTAAAAAGACAGTTTTCATGAGCATTAACTTTCCAAGGCTTACCATGTGTACCTTAGATATAAGATAGGAGCAATCTTTGTTAGTGAAAATGATTTCTTTAATTCCTTTAGCTTACATTTGTGAAGGTCTGCAGTCTGCTCCTCGTAGATAGTGGCTGATGCTTCTTTACGTGACCTGCTTTTGTTGGTATCTATGATTTAAAGGTTGCATAAAAGGTCACAGCAAATTTATTTTGCATCTTGAAGCAATGAGGAGCTGGGGGAGAGTATAGCCAGTATGGCTGTAGGAGTAGATAAGGAGGGCTGATATTTCTTAGGAGTCTATTTCCCAGGTACCCTTGGGAGTATTTCTTAGGAGTCTGTTTCCCAGGCACCCCTTAGGAATAGGGGTGCCCCCACTTTATTCTCCTGTCTAGTCAATACAGCAGGCACAGTGTTCCTTCTAAAACATAAGTCGGATTATATCACTCCTCTGATGGCATACCATTTCACTCAGAGTGAAAGCCAATGACCCCCTGGGCCTAAACTATTCATCCGTTTCCCCCCAGTTTGCTAGTATTCTCCCCTTGTTCTCTATGCTCCGTACTGGTCTTGCTGTTTCTTTTATGTGCCAGGCGTGCTTTTGCCCGTAGGGCCTTTATACTGGTGCTGTCTCTTTTCTGCTGGAATGCATTTTCCTCAAGTATCCACATGGCTGTCTTCCTCACCCTCCCCAACCACTCCTTTTAACCCTGCTTGACATTCCTTTCTCCAAAGTCCTTTATCACCTTCAAATATACTGGAGTATTTACTTAGTATATTTTTACATTGCTTTCACCTTGATTGTAAGTTCCATAAAGGCAGCAATGTTTGTCTAGTATATTGATGTACCCTAAGTGCTTAGAACAGGACCTGACATGTAGTAGACTACATTTGAGATAGTGATTCAGACTCATGAATCAGATCTTACCTAATATGTTAATTATTTATTGTTGTATAACAAATTGACCCATGGCTTGGTGGTTTAAAGCAATAACCATTTATTATCGCAGCAACCATTTATCTTGTAGCTTCTGTGGGTCAGGTACCCAGTGTGGTTCATCTGGGTCCTCTGGCTCTCAGTCTATCACAAGGCTGTAATGAAGGTGTCAGATGGTACTTTAAGGTTCAGCTAGGGTTGCATTCATTCTCAGATTTATTCACATGGTTGTTTCCAGATTCATTTCCTCCTCTGCTGTTGGTCAGAGGCATCTCTCAGTTCCTTTTCATCTGGTCTTCTTCACAGGATAGCCACAACATGGTAACTGACCTCATCAGAGAGGGCAAATGACAGCTGAGGGAGAGAAAGATGAAGCAGTAATGTCTTTCATGACCTAGACTTGGAAGTCACAGTCCATCTTTCCTGTAACATCCTGGGGTTGCATGTCAGTTCTGTTCCTTGTAGGGGGACTACACAAGGGTGTCAATACCAGGAGGTGCAGATTATTGGGAGTTGTTTTATAAGCTGCCTACCACACCCAACGTCAAATTTTACCTCTGATTTCAAGGATAAAAACAATCCTGAGGTAGAAGTGAAACAAGAAGAGGTGTGGGATCTCCACTATAGCTCCCTGGTTATTTTCTTGCCAAATTAGGGCATGCTCTGGCCCAGGTTAACATAGGAGACTCTAAATAGTGTGTGGCTTAGATGGACACTTGCATAGATGGACTATTTGTATACTCGGTTACAAAGCCCACCAGAGAAACATACTTTCAAATCCATAAATTGTGAACAACCATGGTGCATCCTATTAAAAGCCTCTCATAGGTGAGGACTCTCACCTAGCAAATACCATGTTTGTTTCCCTGGAGATCTGTCATTAATATGTTTTCTAGGAGATTTGACCATATCACTTTTATTGGGGTGGAGGGAGCGCAGGGCATCCTCTTCCCTACCTCCCACCCCTGTACCACACAAAGAACGAATGGACTGTGGTTTAGCCTTTTGCTTCCCAAACTCAATAAATATTTGTATGAATAAACTCATTTAGCCCATAGAACAACTCATGAAAGAGGTTCTCATATTAGGAAACTCTTTCTCAGAGACTTTGAGGTAGATTATGTCGATGATTTCTCAGTTTAGTAAGTACCAGGCCTGGGATTTATGCTTAGATCTTTCTGACTCTAGAACTCATTCTTGCCAGTGTGCCCTGATCCAGCTGTTTACATCTAATGGATTACATCTAATAGCGCAGACCTGCAGCTCCCATGCAGGGCTTCTAGAATGCATGAGAGCCAGTTACTGGGAGAAGAAAGGTAGATGTCTTCAAATTTGTTGACATTTGTGGTCATGAAGACGAACTAGTATATGCATTTTCTTTCTTTGGACTAGGAGAGATAGACATCCTGTAGTTGTTCCATCACTGCTTTTAGAAAGTCAGGAATCTTAGGTTTGAATTGGACTTTGTCACTAATGACCGTGTACCCTTGGACAAGTCTTTAACTTCTCTAAGCCTCAGTTTCTTCTCTGGTAAAATGGGGTTAATTGTATCTAACTCTTATTTCCTGGAAGTATAATTTTAGGTAGCAGTACCACTTTGATTTGCGGTTTCTTTTTATTCTTAATGTGTTACAATTTACCTTTTTTTTTTTTAATTCTTTTCAGGGGACAAAGTTGATAGAATTTAATGATTTCTACCCTTTCTCTGTGAACCCCATAAATCCTTGTTCTTAGTCAGTGCTAGAAGCTTTCCATGCAATACGTATTAGCCAGCTTGGTTTCTCTCTAATTACTTACAGTGAACTTCATTTGTCACTGTTGGGCCTGACATGGTATACCTGTTTGTTATTTGAGATCTTAAGGTGCAGATGACTTTCTTTTCCCCAGAATATTTCCAAACCTGTTCTTTTTTCCTTTTTTAAATCTAGTATAGAATCGTCAGACATTCCATAAGTCAGAGATACCCTTTTTCTTGGAATAAGCTCTCCTTTGTACCATGTTGTGCAGGAGGAACAGAACAGTTGGACTCAGATCCCTTATGGCTGTCTTTCTGCACCTGCATAACAGACTGCACTGTTCTCCCCCAGTGACATGAAATCTTGGGGATGGTTGTCATAGGTAAGGCTGAGGTATAGGGAGAATAGAAGGAGATACAGGGCGGGAAAAAGAGAGGACTGTGCGATAGTAGAGCGTAACCAACAAATGTCTCCCTTTCTCCACTTCTTGATTATTGTATTGTGAGCAGTGACTAGCATATCAGTAGTCAGAGTTGTAGAGTTTTAGATCCTAAAGGGACATAAATCAGTCAATTGTATAATGTAGAAATAAGAAAATGTAGTAAATAGTGATTTATTTTATCTAAAGTTATACAGCTAATAGCTAATAGTACAACAGGACTAGAACCCAGTTCTTTTGACTCTAAATCTGGTGTTTTTTCTTTCTTCTTCTTCTCTTTTTTTTTTTTTTTTTTTTTTTTTGTGACTGAGTGTCTGTGACTCTGTCGCCCAGAGTGGAGTGCAGTGGCGCGATCTTGGCTCACTGCAACCTCTGCCTCCCGGGTTCAAGTGATTCTCTTGTCTCAGCCTCCTGAGTAGTTGGAACTACAGGGTGCGCCACCATACCTGGCTAATTTTTGTACTTTTAGCAGAGACGGGGTTTTGCCATGTTGGCCAGACTGGTCTCAAACTCCTGACCTCAGGTGATCCACCCGCCTGGATCCCAAAGTGCTGGGGTTACAGGCGTGAACCACTGCGCCTGGCCAAGTTTGGAGTTTTATCTGCTGAAACAGCTTCTAGTGTTCACTCACCAAATATTTGTTGTGCATGTTTTAGGGACACATGACACATGACACATGCCCTCAAATTTAATAAGATAAGGACATATACTGATATTGGTAGTATTAGGATGTATGTTAAATAAGGTAAGAGTGAAACAAAAGATATAGGTCTTAAAAACATAGTTTTTTTAAAAAACTTATTTTTAATAACTTGTAGTACAAAAATAATGCTTACTAACTGTACAGATTCTAGACAATAATGACAAAACAATTAAAATCACCTAAAATCCACCACTTAGAAATGTTTTTTTCGTGTATGTCTGCATATATTTTTTCTAGTTACAAAAATGGGATTGTTCTAAATAAACTTTTTGTAACCTAACTTGTAACATGGAGAACCAGGCTAAGAGAACTGAGGGTGGCTAGGCAGTTGTGAATAGCGTATCACAGACCATGGTAGGACAATAGTGGGAAGGATGAATGAGCAAAGTTTAAGGGACAATTAAAGACCCAACTAGAATGGAGTTGATGGGTTGGAGAATCTGAATTTGAGTGGTAGAAGGCAAATTATTGCTAGAATGGCAGGGCTTTTTTCCTGCCTCTGGCTCTAGTTTGTTTGAAGGTTATTTCAGTGGAAGAATTAACTGGTACACCCAAGCCAATGGACTGGATTCCTATTTTAACTAGAAATACTAGTGAGCTGCAGGATGTGGAGATAAGCTTTCTGATATCAGCTAGACAATCATGACCAATCTGTTGAGTATTCTTGTTTCTGGAGGGAATTCTGGTATAACTGAAAAAGTGGTGGATTTAGAGGTTTAAAGTCTCTGATATTAGTAACCAGCTGATTTTAGGCCAACCTCTTGGGCTCTCAGAAATACTATTTTGTATTGCTACTTCCTACTGGTTGCTTGCTTTTAAGATCTGCAAGTTTATATATTAATACAAAAAATGTTTTTCATAAATTTGGAAGAGCTGCATAAATTAAATATAGTATTGATATTGATGGCAAAAATGAAATTTTGTTTCAGATGCTTGTTATCGGGCGGCTAGACTCTGTTAAAATAGTTCATCATGGTGACTAGTTAATAATACTGTATTGTATTCTTGAAAAATGCTGAGAGTGGATGTTAAATGTTCTCACCACAAAAATGATAACTCTGTGAGGTAATGCATATTTTAATTAGCTAGACTTAACTATTCCACAATGTGTGTATACTAAGACACAATGTGTATACTCTAAGATATCATGTTGTACATGATAAATATAATTTATCGATTTGAAATAAATATGTTTTGAAAACAAATCTGTCTAAATATAGAATTTTAAAGTGTAGATCTTTTTTTTTGAGGTGGAGTCTCACTCTGTCTCCAGGCTGGAGTGCAGTGGCGCGATCTCTGCTCACTGCAACCTCTGCCTCCCAGGTGCAAACAATTCTCCTGCCTTGGCCTCTCGAGTAGCTGGGACTACAGCCGTGTGCCACCACTCCCAGCTAAGTTTTGTATTTTTAGTAGAGACAGGGTTTCACCATGTTGGCCAGGATGGTCTCGATCTCTTGACCTCATGATCCACCTGCCTCGGCCTCCCAAAGTGCTGGGATTACAGGCCTGAGCCACCGCGCTTGGCCTAAAGTGTAGATCTTTTGAAGAACACTTATTTCTTATATGTTTAGCCTTGGGCCTTGAATATTGCTTTTGAAATCTAAAAGCTTGCTCATGGGTAAATAGACTTTGTTCTTGCAAGCATTTTTTAAAAAAGTGAAATGTTCTTATGCCTTCTTTTAAAAAGTGCTTTTATTCTAGAATAAAAGCTTACTGGGGAACTTTTGGTATTAGCGTGTGGGAGATAACTTGTGGTTTATGTTTTAGGGAAAAGATGTGTGTAATGTAAAATAGGTAAAATGGCCAGTAATCTTTTTAATGGGTGCTTGCCTTATGGATTTGACTTTGGGCATTTTCCATTTTCCATTGGGAGTCTTTTTCTTCTAAAATTCCACTGTTACTATTTGTCTTAACCTTGTGTAGCCTTCTATATATATTCTGTTAGCTGTGGCTTTAAAAGGTTTGATCATGGGCCCTTTGTGACTTTAGTCCTGACTCATCCTCCCAGGTGCTCCCTGGGAATGAGTAGATGAGATGGACAGAGGTGTGACTAGCCTTATTATTCCTTTCTAGGAGTCAGTTGGAACATGAGAGAACATTGAGTGAATGCCTTTTTGGTCTCCTAGGTTCTCTTACTCTTTGCCAAAGTTCTTGCCCTATGTAGATTTGTGGGCCTATTTATTTCATCTTGCCATCTATGAACTTGAATATAGAGTATTAAAAGGATTGACTGTTGCCTAGCCCTCAGCTCACTGTTCTCTGTCCTTATGGTTCCAAACAGAATAAGCCTTTCTACTTCTGAAGGTAATTCGCTTAACCTCAAGAGTCTGGCTGCCTCAAGGGCGTTTTGGAAGTGTACTGCTTAGGAGTCAGCATTAACTGATTCCTGTCCTCTTTGGACCTGCAATCTTTCCTTGGTGGAGTGTGAGAGCTTCAGAAGTTACGACATCTCTCCATTATCTTGTCTGCTCAGTGTGTCACCTCACTGCTTCATGTGCTAGTGAATGCTGCCTTCATACATGGTTTGGTCCCATACTGCTTAGGGGTCTGCTTTAAATTCATAATTTTGTTAGTGAACGAAGATGAAGATCTTTGAGTCATATTATTTTGTGTTAAAATACTATGAGGAAGGTATTTGGTATTAGTCTTTCAGTTCTAAAACAGATAATTGGTGAAAGTAGTAAATTGTATGTTCAGCCTCCCTCTGTCCCCTGTCTGTTGACTAGAAAAAGCAAGTAGGTGTGAAGAAGATGAAAGTATCCACTGGACTCTCAAATGGTGCCTTATCCCATGGAAAACTCGACTACCCCATCTATATCCCTTCCCCTAATGTCGGACAAATTCCTAATTATTCTTTAGGTCTTAGTTTAGATGTTGGTTTCTCCAGGCAGTGCCACCTCTCAGTATGTCAAAGCCAGTTTTTCCTTCCAGCATTTGATGATAAAATTCTACTTACATATTGGTGGTATTCAATCTCTGTATGCAGAGACATTCTGGGGCCTCTAAAAGCAGGCTCTAATGTACCTTTCTAGCAATCTTTCCTGCTGTTTGTGTACGCTGGCTTCAGTGGAATTTCTCTTTTTCTTATTCACTCTTTAATACATTTTCCTTGTATTTTCTGGCTTCCACTCCCTTGTTCATGCCATTCTCCTCCTTTGTAGTACCTTATTCTCTTCACTACTTTAGATGCTAATGACTTCCGGCTGCATGGATGGTTTAGTCCAATACTGCCTAGGGGGACAGCTTTAAACTTGTATTTCTTTTCCATCTTCAAGGCCCACCTGAAATTTCATTTCATATTCTATGACATGTTTTTGTTTTTCTCTGGCTAACCCTGAGTGGCCTCTTTTCCTTTCTGAGTTGGTGTTTATTGCCCATGGTTGTCCTTTAGCACCTACTTATTTACTGTTTTGTGACTGTTCTCTTGACTGTTTTACTTGTGTGTTTGTTTTTTCTAGTTAACAGGAACATTAGATCACTGGAGACAGGGATTTTCATCTTCTGTTTCTTTATGTTCTTTACAGTTCATGCCCACCCACCACAAAGTTTCTCAGTAAAAAGTTTATTTGCTTCTCACATTTTATAGTATGAATCCTGGTGAGAGTGCTTTGAGATTTTTTCTTCTTTTTATTTAAAAAATTTCTCCAAGTATCCGTTGTGTTCTCTGTTTTACTGCTTGTATGTAATGGCTGACATTAAGGTATTGGGAAAATCTGTATGCAAGTAGCACAAGAAGCTTAGTAACTACAGGATGTCTTGTGGCCCATGTCAGTACAAATTTCTGAAGATGCAGCAGGAAATAAGATTTTACTAGGTGAGGGAAGAGAAGTAACATGGATTGGAGGCAAGCATTTTACTTGAACAGTTCTATTTCTTTCTTTTTTTTTTGAGACGGAATCTTGCTCTGTTGCCCAGGCTGGAGTGCAGTGGCATGATCTCAGCTCACTGCAACCTCCATCTCCTGGGTTGAAGCAATTCTCCTACCTCAGCCTCCCTAGTAGCTGAGATTACAGGCACCTGCCACCATGCCCAGCTAATTTTTGCATTTTTAGTAGAGACAGGGTTTCACCACGTTGGCCACACTGATCTCAAACTCCTGACCTCGGGTTATTCACCCGCCTCGGCCTCCCAAAGTGCTGGAATTACATGCATGAGCCACCGCACCCGGCCGAACAGATCTATTTCTTATAACTAATGCTTCAGAACAATTTTACTTCCAAGGTGTAAATAAAATCCCCAGGAAGAGGAATTGATTTTTTTTTAAAAAAAGTATATATTGGGTGCTGTATTTATTCAAAGATTAACTTTATTATGATCCTCTAGTGGCTTGAGTGAGAAATTGTCTCCTTGTTATATGGGTAGAGAGCTATTTAAGAAAATCTCTTTAATTGATTTCTTTCTTAGAATTTAGATCATCATCTGTGGAACAGCCTAAAAGTCACTGGGAATGATAACTAGTGATGAAAATGATATGAGGTGTTCAGAGCCCTAGTTTTCTGTTATCAGAGATTAAAAGCCAGTCTCTGACATTTATGGTTAGACAAAAATGGTTTCCATGTTTACCTATGCATCACTCTGTTAAAATGTAAAATGCAGATTGCATTGATGTGTTAAAGATTTTGTTTCTTTTTGTTTAGGTACAAAGAGGATGGTGAAGCTTTGCTAATTTTGCTACCCTCAGAAAAAGCTATGGTGCAGCAGCTTCTTCAGAAGAAAGTACCTGTGAAGGAAATCAAGTAAGAGCTACTTGTTGTCTTTATGTTTTTAGGAAAATGAGGGCATGAAATTGTTTGCTTAATTATGTGCACCTAATTTGCCCCTTCCCCTAATTTATTCAACTGCCTGGTTTGACTTTTATAAAAAGGCTCTTTTTAGAACAGTTTTAGGTTCACAGGAAAATTGAGAGGAAGATAGATTTCTCATATACCCCATTCCCCAAACATGCACAGCCTCTGCCATTATCAACGTCCCCCACCAGAATACATCTGCTACAATTGATGAACCTATGTTGATGTTATTCACCAAGGTCCATAGTTTACACTAGGGTTCATTCTTGGTGGTGTCCATTCTGTGTGCTTGCACAAATGTGTAATGATGCATACCTACCATTTTAATATCATATGGCAGTTTTCACTGCTCTAAAAATCCTGTGCTCTGCCTATTTATTCCCCTCCCCTCCCCCTGAACCTCTGACAACTACTGATCTTTTTACTGTCTCTATAGTTTTATTTCCAGAATGTCATATATTATAGTTGGAATTATACGGTACCTAGCCTTTTCATATTGGCTTCTTTCACTTAGTAGTATGCATTTAAGTTTCCTCCATGTCTTTTCATGGCTTCATAGTACATTTCCTTTTAGTACTGAATAACATTTCATTGTCTGGACGCAACAGTTTTTATTCACCTACTGAAGGAGATTTTTTTGTTAGTTTTGTTTTGACCTTGTTTATATAACCAGCTATAGCCTGGTTATAAAAAGGACAGATTTGTATTGATTTTATGCAAATAACCACATTGCCATAAAGGCTAGTAAGTTGTCTGAATTCTGAGGGGTCAGGGAGAATAAGGTGCTATATAAAGAATGTCATTTATAGGTTACTAAATAGAGGGTTAAAGATAGATCAAGAAGAGAAAAGATCTTTTCATTCCCTTAATAAAAATATGTTAAACCACATCAGTAATATTAAAACCAAAAAGCTACAATTAGATTCTTCTCAGCAGTTCCCTTAATCCTACTTAAGTCTTATAACTAGTGGATGTTGGATTAACGTTCAGCTTTCAAAGGTCTGAAGGACATCTTAATTGCTTCCAAGCTTTGGCAGTTATTAGTAAACCTGCTATAAACATCCATGTGAAGGTTTTTGTGTAGACCTAAGTTTTCAACTCCTTTGGATAAATATTACCAAGGAGCTTGATTGCTGGGTCAGAAGGTAAGAATATGTTTCATTTTGTAAGAAGCTGCCAAACTGTCTTCCAAAGTGGCTACACCATTTTGAATTCCTGCCAGCAATTAATGAGAGTTCCTGTTGCTCCACATTCTTGCCAGCATTTGTAGATATTCTTTATCAAGGTGAGGAAATTGTCCTCTATTCCTAGTTTACTGAGTTAAAAAAAAAAAAAAAAAAGATCATGAGTGGATATTGGATTTTGTTAAAAAAAATTTTTTTTTTAAAATCTGATGAGATCATGTGATTTTTTTTTTTTCTTTTTTAGCCTGGTGATGTGATGGAGTACATTAAGGTCTTTTTTTTTTTTTTTTGGAATGTTAAACCAGCCTTGCATTCCTGGGATAATTCTCACTTGGTTATGATGTATAATGATTTTTATATCTTGTTGGATTCAATGTGCTAATATTTTGTTAGATTTATACCTAAATGTTTCATTTTTGGGAGTGCTAATAATGTAAATGGTATTGTTTTTAGTTTCAAATTCCATTTATTTATTGCTGGTAAATTGGTGTTCATAGTATTTTTTTTTTTTTTGAGACAGAGTCTTGCTCTGTCGTTCAGGCTAGAGTGCAGTCTTGCAATCTTGGCTCACTGGAACCTCTACCTCCTGGGTTCAGGCAATTCTCATGCCTCAGCCTCCCAAGAAGCTAGAATTACAGGCATGTGCCACCATGCCTGGCTAAATTTTGTATTTTTAGTAGAGATGGGGTCTTGCCATGTTGGCCAGGCTGGTCTCGAACTCCTGGCCTCAAACAATCTGCCTGCCTTGGCCTCCCAAATTTGTTCATAGTAGTCTTTTTATCCTTTTGATGTCTGTGGGTTTTGTGGTGATGTTCCCTTTTTCATTTGTGATAAAAACAGGAAAGTGATTAGCTTTTGTATATTAATCTTCAATCTTGTAGTCTTGCTATGATTGCTTATTAGTCTAGAAGTTTCTTTGTCCATTCTTTTCGATTTCCTATATAGATGATCATGGATCTGTGAACAAAGCCAGTTTTATTTCTTTCCCAATCGGTATGCCTTTTATTTCCTTTTCTTGTCTTATTGCATTAATTAGGACTTCTAGAATGATGTTGGACAGCAGTGGTGAGAGGGGACATCATTGCTTTTTTCCTGATCTTAGCGGGAGAGCTTCCAGTTTCTCACCATGAAGTATGATATTAGCAGTAGGTTTTTTGTATTTGTTGAGGACTTGCATCTATCATTATGAGTGATATTGGTCTGTAGTTTTTTCTCCCCTGTAGTGGCCTCATAGAATGAGTTAGGAAGTATTCCCTCTGACTCTGTCTTCTGAAAGAGATTATAGGAAATTGGCATTTCTTTCTTAAATGTTTGGTAGAATTTATGGGCGAGCCCATCCGGGCTTGGTGATTTCTGTTTTGGAAGGTTATGAATTATTGATTCAATTTTTTTAATAGATAGTAGCCTATTGAGAGTGTTTATTTCTTGTAAGAGTTTGGCAGATTTTGTCATTCAAGGAATTGGTCCATTTCATCTAGGTTATCAAATATGTGGGCATAGAGGTGTTCATAATCTTTTTATCCTTTTTATGTCCATGGGATTTGTAATGATATTCCTTCTTTCATTTCTAATAATAACTTGTATCCTTTTGTTTTCTTAGTATGGTTATAGGCTTATGACTTTTTTTAGTTGTTTATTTTTTTCAAAGAACCAGCTCTTGGTTTAATTTTTTCCCCCCTATTGATTTCCTGTTTTCAATTTCAGTCATTTCTACTCTAGTTCTTATTTATTCTGCTTGCTTTTGATTTAATTTACCCCTTTTCTGTTTCCCAAGTTGGAACTGTAGATGATTGATTTTTAGGTACTTTCTTTCTAATACAGTCATATGTTGCTTAATGATGGGAATAAGTGTGAGCAATGGATCATTAATTTTAGGCTATATGGTATAGCCTATTGCATTTAGGCTGCAAACCTTTATAGCATGAATACTGTACATGCTGTACACTGAATACTGTGGGCAATTGAACACAATGGTAGGTATTTGTGTATCTAAGCATGTCTAAACATAGAAAAGGCACAGTAAAAATACAGTATAAAAGATAAAAAGCATACCTGCATAGGGCACTTACCACAGTGCTTGCAGGACTGGAAGTTGCTCTGGGTGTCAGTGAGTGGTGCATGAATGTGAAGAGTTAGCACATTACTGTATACAAGTGTAGACTTGGTAAACACTGTACACGTAGGCTACACTAAACTTTTTTTCTTCAGTAACCTTAGCTTGCTGTAACTTTTTTTGTTTTATAAACTTTCAGCTTCTTGATTCTTTTGTAATTACACTTAGCTTAAAACCCACATTATACAGCTACACAAAAATATTTTCTTTATATCTTTACTCTACAAGCTTTTTTTGGTTAAAAATATTTGTTTTCCCTTAAAACTTTTTTTTTTTTAAATGGAGCCTAGGCCTACACAGGGTCAGGATCATTAATATCACTGTCTTTCATTTTCACATCGTCCCACTAGAAGGCCTTCAGGGGCAGTAACATGCATGGAGCTGTCATCATTTATGATAACAATGCCTCCTTCTTTAGTACTTCCTGAGGGACCTGCCTGAGGGTGTTTTTATAAGTAGAAGGAAAATACTGTAAAATAAAAAGTATGGTGAATAAATCAGTAATAGTTGTTTATCATTTTCAAGTATTATGTACCATACCTAACTGTAAGTGCCTGTCAGTGCAGTGTGTTTGCCTACACCAGCATCACCATAAACACATGAGTAATGTATTGCCCTATAGTGTTATGATGGCTGCGACATCACTAGGTGATAGAAATTTTTCAGCTTCACTAGCACACTGCAGCCTCAGTCTCCTAGGCCTAAGTGATCCTCCCGAGTAGCCTGCGCCACCATGCCTGGTTAATTTGTTTTATTGTTAGTAGAGACAAGGTCTCACTATGTTGCTGAGGCAGATCTTGAACTCCTGAGCTCAAGCAGTCCTCCTGCCTTGGCCTCCCAAAGTGCTAGAATTACAGGTGTGAGCCATTGCTCCTGGCTGTCATTACAGTCTTATGAGACCACTGTTGTATATGCAGTCCATCACTGACTGACACATCATTATGTGGCCCATGACTGTATATGCATTCAGTGCTATAAATTTCCCTCTAAGTACTGCTTTTGTTGCATTCCACAAAGTTTGCTAAGTTATTTTCATTTTTATTTAATTCAAGAGAAATTTTAAAGTATTTTGATTTTGTTTTGACTTGTGTTATTCAGAGGTGTGTTTAATCTCCATGTATTTTAGAATTTTCCAGTTACCTTTCTGCTATTTCTATGTTATGTTATGACAGAGTTTTGATCTGTCGCCCAGGCTGGAGTGCAGTGGCACGATCTCGGCTCACTACAACCTCCACCTCCTGGGTTCAAGCAATTCTCCTGCCTCAGCCTCCTGAGTAGCTGGGATTACAGACACGTGCCGCCATGCCTGGCTAATTTTTGTATTTTTAGTAGACGTGGGGTTTCGCCATGTTGGCCAGGCTGGTTTTGAACTCCCGACCCCAGGTGATCTGCCCTCCTCGGCCTCCCAAAGTACTGAGATTACAGGTGTGAGCCATTGTGCCTGGCCTCTGTTATTTCTAGTTTAATTCCATTGTGGTCTGAAAGCAGATATTGTATGATTTATATTATTTTAATTTTGTTAAGATGTGTTTTATGGCCCAGAATGTGTTTTATTTTGGTGAATGTTCCATGTGAGCTTGAGAAGATGTGTATTATGTTGTTGGATAAAGTAGTCTCTAGATGGCTGTTGTGTCCAGTTGATTGATGGTATTGTTGAGTTCAACTATGTTCTTACTGACTTTCTGCCTGCTGGATTTGTCTATTCCTGATAGTAGGGTGTTGAAGTCTCTAATTATAACAGTGGATTCATCTTTCTGGTTGCAATTCTATCAGTATTTGCCTCACATAGTTTGATGCTGTATTGTTAGGAGCCTATACGTTAAGGATTGTTGCCTTTTTGGAGAATTGACTTCTTTATCATTATGTCATGCCATTTATCCCTGATAAGTTTATTGCTTGGAAGTCTGCTCTGTCTGACATTAGTATAGCTATTTTTGCTTTCTTTTGATTAGTGTTAGCATGATATATTTTTTATCAAACCACTTTCATTAATTTATGTGTCTTTATATTGAAAGTTGGTTTATTGTAGACAACATACAGTTGGGTCTTGTTTTTTGATCCACTCTGACAACATCTCTTTTAATTGATGCATTTAGGCTATTGATGTTGAAAGTGATTTTTGATATAGTTGGATGAATATCTAATGTATTCGTTACTGTTTTTTGTTAGTTGCCCCTGTTATTCTTACTTTTGTCTCCTCTCTTTCAGCCTCTTGTGATTCTGAGCATTTTATGACTGTTTTCTCTCCTTAGCATACCAGTTTTTTTTTTCTTTTTCACTTTTTTTAGTGATTGCTCTAATGTTTTTGCAAGTAATCCAAAGCCCATTTTGAAATAATGACATAATGCTACAGCACTTCACAGGTAGTGTGAGTACCTTATAACGTAATTCTGATTTCTCCCTCGTGTCCCTTATATCATTGATGTCATTCATTTCACTTATGTAAAGCATACATAAGCGTATATACATAAGATATATACATAAACATACATAATTAAACACGCTGGGGCTATTAATTTGAAAAAACTTAGATTAAGAATAAGAAAAATTTTATTTTACCATCATTTATTCCTTTGATGTGCTCTTCCTTTGTTATGAAGATCTGAGTTTCTCACTTACGTTTTTTTTTTTCTCTCTAAAGAACTTTTAAACATATTTTGCAAGGCAATTCTACTGGCAATAAGTTTTGTCAATTTTTGTTTGTCTGAAAAAGTGTTTCTCTTTCACTTTTGAAGGATAATTTTGTGGGATACAGAGTTCCAGGCTGGTGGTTTTTCTCTCTCCACACTTTAAATATTTCATTTCACTCTCTCCTTGCTTGCATGGTGTCTGAGAAATCAGGTGTAATTCCTGTCTTTGTTCCTCTATAGATGAGGTGCCCCCCGTCCACTTCTTTCAGGATTAAAAAAATATTTAATTTTCTGTAGTTTGACAGTGATATGCCTAGGTATAGTCTCAGTCTGTCTTTTTCTGTCTCTCCCTCTCGCTTGGGCATTTGTCCTGCTTGGAGCTTTCTGAGCTCTTGGATCTGTGGTTTGGTGTCTGACATGAGTTTGGGGGAAATTCTGAGTCATTACTGTTTGAAGCATTGCTTCTGTTTCTGTTCTCTTTCTGATATTCAGAAAGAACATCATGTGTATGTTCACTTTTTGTAGTTGTTCCATAGTCCTTGAAGTTCTGTTGTGTTGTTTTCAGTCAGGTTTGGAAGTTTTTATCAAGTTCAGAGATTCTTCCCTCAGCTGTGTCCAATCTAGTAATGAACCCATCAAAGGTATTAGTAATATGTGTTACAGTTCTTTTTGTTCTCTCGCATTTCTTTTCGGTTCTTTCTTAGGATTTCCATCTTATTATGTTGCTCATCTGTGCATGCTGCCTGTTTTATCTATTAGAATCCCTAGCATATGAGTCACTGTTAGTTTAAATTACATTTCTGGCCTAATGCTTCCAACATCCCTGCCATGTCTGGTTATGATGCTTGCTCTGTCTCTTCAAATTATGTTTTTTGCTTTTAGTATGTCTTGTAATGTTTTTCATGATAGATACGATGTACCAGGTATTATAAAAAGAATTGCTGTAAATAGGCCTTTAGTGATGTTAGTGCTGTGGTGGTAAGGTGTGAGAGGGTGGGGGCTGTGAGGAAAGCATTCTTAAGACCTATAGTAGGTCTCAGTCTTTTTGTGAGCCTATGCCTCCGGACTGTGAACTTTACAAATTCTTTTCAGTCTCTGCCTTCCCATCACCCCAACTTAAGTGGGAAAGGATGGCTAGAGTTGGGCATTTCCCTCCCCTCAGGTCAGTTAGGCTCAGATAAAACCCTAAGAGGCTTGACTTTCATTAACAAGGCCCACCCTCAGGAGAAACTAGTTAAGAACAGAGTGCTCAGGCATATTTCAAAATGGTTCATTTTCCCCTTGTTTTGCTGAAAGCATGAGGGAATTTTTCTGATATTTACTGTGAGAACTTGGTTGAGCTCCTGGAGTAAAACTCATGAGTGTGGGGCTGCCTTATGAATGGGTCCTCCTGGAGTTTTTATTTCTCAGACTTGTCCACATTGAGGCTCCAGCAGGTTTTATCAATTACAGTTGAGGGTCTCTCACCCAGGCACTGCCTCCCCCAGTTGTTTCTGCTCATGACTCAGCTCAAGTAAGCTGTGATCCCTGTACTCACCTCTCTCTTTCCTGTGTTGGGACTGTGGTTTGTCCTGTGTTGTCCATCTTTATCATGGATAAAAGAAGAGTTTTAAATTTTTTTTTCCAATCTGTTCAGCTTTTTACTTATTGTTATGATGGAGTGATGACTTACAAGCTCCATCCATAGGGAACTGGATATCAGAAGTCTGACTCTTTTTTTTTTTTTTTTAAAGTCTTAAACGGCCTTTTCTGAAGACTATTAGTGGAGAACATGAGATGGAGAACTTGTTAACTTCAGGAAGCACTGATGATTGAAAGAATGAAATCTCTTGGATGGAATTACTTTTGGGGTTGTCTATCCATTTCAGAGAGTTGTGATCTCCTGTCACTAAGGATGTGTACATTCAGCATCAGTGGGATCCATCAGAATCTTACTTGTATTGGCGCTGTTGAAACACCCTGGCTTGATTTGCCTAAAAATAATTTGGAGAGTGGTTAGATTTGGGGAGGAGAGTTGAGGATGTAGAAGAGACAAAACTGGCTGTGACTTGGTAATTGTTGAGGCTGAGTGAAAGTCTCTAACTTTTCTTTTGTATATTTTGAAATTTTTTATAATAAAAATAAGTAAAAACAATCTCACCTACCACCACCTATCACCATTCTGGCTTTGCAGAAACAACGTGGTTCAGCCTAAAATCAGAGAAACAATGAGGTCTCTTTTGTGAAGCCTAGACCTCTTTAAAATTTTTTTTTTCTTTCCCTGTAGCTTATCTGGGCAGAGTTAGATATCATCTCTGTTATAGTATGCCTAATTTCTAAATAAGGAAATCACTACAATCTTTGGCTACTTGTTTATTACTTGAAATTGATTTTATGATATTTGACTGAAACAGAAACATTTATAAAAATGACATTAGGGCTAGGCATGGTGGCTCACACCTGTAACTCAGCACTTTGGGAATCCAAGGCAGAAGGATTGCTTGAGGCCAGGAGTTCCAGACCAGCCTGGGCAAAACAGTGAGACCATGTCTCTGCAAAAGAAAAAGCAAACAACAGACTAGCCGTGCATGTTGGTGCAAGCCTGTAGTCCTAGCTACTTGAGAAGCTGAGATGGGGGAGGGTCACTTGAGTCCAGGGGTTCAAGGTTACAGTGAGCTATGATTGCACCACTACACTCCAGCCTCACTGAGGGAGCGGGGTGAGACCTCTTAAAAAAATTAGATTTAATTTATTCCATTTCATATAGAATGGATCTCTCATGGGAGACTACTTTCTATCTGTTGAGTTAAGTAGCCAATGCTAACTGTGGTGTTAATCCAAGTATTTCACTCAGCATGGGATGTTTGGAGAAAGTGTCTGACATGTCATTTCTTTCTCCTGTGTTATTCATAGTAGGTAAGAGTGTCAAACTTATGTCTAGTTTAATTTCCGTCTAATCTGATTCATAGATGAGAAATAGTTATACATTTAAAAATACTGAGGAAAATAGGAAAATGCTGCTTACTATTTTTAGTCTCCAAATTTGAGATATCTTATTTTAACCTTTATCTTTTTGTTACAAAGAATCAATCCAGAAAAACTTATAGATGTCCAGAAAAAATTGGAATCTATTTTAGCTCAAGATCAAGATTTAAAAGAAAGAGCTCAAAGGGTAAGTCATTTTTCAGTTGGATACTTTCATTGACTGGAAAAACAGTAAAGTTTATCATTTTCTGCTACTTCTAGGTTGCATGTTTATGCTTCAGATATTCAAGCAGTGTAATTTGCTGACAGATAAGTCTAGCTTATTTTTTTTTTTGAGATGGAGTCTCACTCTGTAGCCCTAGCTGGAGTGCAGTGGCATGATCTCAGCTCACTACAACCTCTGTCTCCCAGGCTCAAGTGATTCTTGTGCCTCAGCCTCCCGGGTAGCTGGGACTACAGGTGTGCGCCACTACCACACCTGGCTAATTTTTTTGTATTGTAGTAGAGACAGGGTTTTCTCCATGTTGCCCAGAGTGGTCTTGAACTCCTGAGCTCAGGTGAACTGCCTTGGCCTCCAAAAGTTCTGGGATTACAGGCGTGAGCCACTACGCCTGGCCAGTCTAGCTTATTCTTTAAAATTTTGAAAAATATTTTTTATATATATGGATTGGGAAAAATCATCGTAAGTTTTTTCAAAGACATATGGAAAATCCTCTCAAATGTGATTTTTTGGATGCACAGTGGCCTGATTTCTAATACTTGATAACATTATTAAGTTTTTATTTCTTTTGTAAAATTGCTATAACTCCTGATTGTACTTTCTTGACTGTGAGATTAATATCTTCCTACATTAGATTAAATTTCTAGAAAGCATAGAACTGCAGCCAAATTATCTTTAGGAATGAGATTTTAACTTACGTTTATGACTTGTTGTTCCCCAATTACTTTTCTGGACTTAAAGATCTTGATTAGCAAATACATAAAGAAGTCAATATTTAGTTTTATTTTTCTTAATTGATAAATTATATTTCTGGTATGTAACATGTTTTGAAACAAATATACATTGTGTAATTGCTAAATGAAGCTAACTAGCATAGGTATTACCTCACATACTTGTGGTGAGAAATCTATTTTAGTTAAACTTTTTTTTTTTTAAAGTTTTTAGAATATTCCACAGTAGATTCTTCGGTAAAAGATGTGAAATTATTTTTCATTATGCTTTCCAATCTTTCTAATCTTTGAATTAACAGATATTTGAGTTCTTATCATTTTCACCTGTCCTTTATTGCCATTTATTGCATTTACAAGATCTTTGCATCTCCCATAGCATATCAGCAATGAGCCAGAGAGTAGGGATTCAGAGGTTGGATTCTATTTCAGCAGATAGATGAGGTGGGAGGAAGAATATAAAGAAGAGTTATAGAAAGGTCACCCTAAGTCGATAGGGTAGCCTGAGCAGAAAAACATTCAATAGTTAGGGTTTTATGTAATGGTTTTGAAACTGTTATTCCTGGCAAAGAAGTAAGTTTTTTTGTTTGTTTGTTTTTGATACGCAGTTTCGCTTTTATTATCCAGGCTGGAGTGCAATGGCGTGATCTTGGCTCATCGCAACCTCCGCCTCCCGGGTTCAGGTGATTCTCCTGCTTCAGCCTCCCGAGTAGCTGGGATTACAGGCATGCGCCACCACACCCGGCCAATTTTTTGTATTTTTAGTAGAGATAGGGTTTCACCATGTTGGCCAGGCTGGTCTCAAAACTCCTGGCCTCAAGTGATCCGCTTGCCTTGGCCTCCCAAAGTGCTGGTATTACAAGCGTGAACCACCACGCCCAGCCAGAAGTAAGTTTTATATAAAGAAGAGATCTTAAATTTTTTGCTAACTTATTTTATATTTTAGCAAATTATCATTGGTGTGCTTAGAATAACATTAATGATGAGGCTAAAATTTAAGTGCTTACTGTGTGCCAGGTACTTAGTTATGACAAAACTGTTTTACATGCGTTGTTACCTAATCTTCCAGACAACCAGTGAGGTAGGTGGTATTGATTTGACTGTACAAATGGGTAAATGCTAGCTTGAAAATTAAAAAATGTCTTGGATGGCTGGTTGGGGTGGCTCATGCCTATAATCCCAGCACTTTGGGAGGCTGAGGTGGGTGGATCACTTGAGGCTGGGAGTTTGAGACCAACCAGGCCAACAGGGTGAAACCCTGTCTCTACTAAAAACAATGACAAAAAAATTAGCTGGGTGTGGTGGTGCATGCCTGTAATGCCAGCTACTTGGGTGGCTGAGGCATGAGAATTCCTTGAACCCTGGAAGCAGAGGTTATAGTGAGCCAAGATTGTGCCATTGCACTGCAGCTGGCCTACAGAGCGAGGCTCTGTCTCAAAAAAAAAAAAAAATTGTCTAGAGTAACATAGTTATTAAGTGGAAGACCTGAGACTGAACTCCAGGTCTAGCTTTCTTGAGATCTACTGTGTTATATCAGGAGAAATTAATTCCAAAATATGAGAGCATCAAATGGTAAGCTATACCAAGTTGGACTTCTATAAGCTCACTTTACCTGAGAACCTTTTCATTAAAGGATCTTTGAACAAATGGTTAATATTCATTTTTCTTAAAAATGAATAGGCATGCAAACATGTACATTTTTTTTCTAGCAAACATCCTTCAAACTTGCAGTTGAAACCTAGGAGCTTTGGAAGTAGTACACACATTTAAAAATATTAGATTAATTTTGGTATGTCATGACTTACTGCATGCCTAAGAGGTCATTCAGTTATCTATCAGAAAATATGAAACATTGGAAAGATGTTTTTTCACTGGTTTGTGCATACAACGGATGAGCCTTCCAGAACACTGATTATAGAAAAGTGTGTTGAAATAAATGATGTGATTTATTGGTTGTCACGCATGGTTTAGCAGAATGGCCAACTGTGTTGCCAGCAGCAGCAAGCTATCTAGTTTCATAGAAGTGATTTTCTAGGTTTTGATTATAATCTGGATAGAACAAAAGTGATAAGCAACTGAGGTGATTGCTTGTGGATGATTGTAGGGGAAAAAATTATTTTTAAACTGGTGCCATTCATTGTTTTTTATGCCTATGGAGACAGAAAATGGTTTGGAGATTAGTTGGGTAGAAAGGATTAGTGTAAAGCTAGATAAAACATGAAGTTTAGGAAGTATGCAAACAGGAACTAAATATACTTTACAAAAGTCAACTTAAAAAATTACCTAGATGAGTTTTGTTATCTGTGTATTTGACAAACTGATAAAGGATCAGGACCCTGTTTATATTCTGGTTTGTGTAACTCTAGTATGAAGATAGTTTTTTTTTTTTTTTTTTTTAACAGAAACAAAATATTCCAAGTTAATGATGAATTACTTGAAATCATAAAAAAGAAAAGCTTTAGCAATAAAGTTTTTCCTGAAATGGTTTTATTAAATCTCAATATGTAAAATTTTATTTAATTGAAAACCTTATCTTTTGATACAATAATACAAAATATTATCAATAACTAGCATTTGTTGTTACTATATTCCAGAAAATATGCTAGGTATCTACATGCATTCTTCTAATTTTATTCTCATAACACTCTAAGTAGAAGGTAATGTATCCCTTTTTTGATAGATGAGGATACTGACATGTAGAGAAACAAGAAATTTGCTCAGTGAGTAAGAGTTTAAGCTTTGAATAGATTCCAAATCTATATTATTCCAAAGCCTATATTTTCCCCATGGTGTACCTTATTGTAATGGAATTATACTGACTTTTAGAGTAGCCTTTTGGAAAGAAGATATTCTGGGTTAGGTTGGCTTGAAACCAAATGCAAAGTTTTTTTCTAATATTACAGTTCTAAAAGGTAGGTTTTCATGTGTGCATGGAATGGAGATATACTGAACTATTTCGTGGTTTTTCAGTACTATTGAATTTATCCCATTGGCTAATTTTCTTATATTTTGGTCTAAACTCATTTTTAATTTCTATTATATTGTACTTTTCAACCTCTTAATTTACAGTGTTTCGTCTCCTATGTACGATCTGTATATCTGATGAAGGATAAAGAAGTATTTGATGTGAGCAAGTTACCTATACCTGAATATGCCCTGTAAGTATTCATAATATAGTTGTAATAGTGAATCCTCAAGGTTAGAGGGAATTAATTAATTAATTTAGAGATGGGGTCTTGCTATGTTGCCCAGGCTGTCTCAAACCCCTGTGCTCCAGCAGTCCACCCACCTCAACTTCCTGAAGTGTTAGGACTACAGGCGTAAGCCACCACACCCGGCCAGAGAGAATTTGTTTGAAACCTGGTTCTCTGAGATTCTTAGTTTAAGCCACTCTGCCTTACGTTAAAAGAATCTGTTTGTTAAAGATTCTCAGTGGAAAAGATGAAATTGACTTGGCAGAAAATTAGTTCAGTGTTCAGTTCTTGTTAATCAGGGAGCAGTTTATTATTTGTAAGTATAAATTCCTTAAAGTGACATTGGCCATTTCCTATAGTTTGATCTTAAAGGAGACAGAGAGCAACCAATAAGCATTCTTTGAAATCTTTAAGTGTCTATAGTTTTCTCGTTCTCTGAAACCCTTGCCTGGATTACCATAGACATTTTATGCTTTGAATGTGAGCCTCTTTGCTGATTCTTCTTATGTTAGGTTGTTTTCTTCAATTGCTTACTGCCTGAATATTCCTCCTGTCTTGGTGTTTCTTACAGGTACTCATAGTTACTATGGCAAGATGCTCCTTTTTAGTAACTGAGGTTACTATTGTATGAAACAGAATGGCTGGTTTTGTTTTGGCTTAGTATTTGAGGGATTTTTTGCGGGGGAGGAGACAGGGTCTTATTCTGTCACCCAGGCCATAGTGCAGTGGTGTGATCATGGCTCACTGCATCCTTGACCTCCCAGGCTTAGGTGATCCTCTCATCTCAGCCTCCTGAGTAGCTGGGACTACAGGTGCATGCTACCATGGCTGGCTAGTTTTTTTGTAATTTTTGTAGAGATAGGGTTTCGCCATGTTGCCCAGGCTGGTTTCAAACTCCTGGGCTCAAGTGATCCCCCCACCTCAGCCTTCCAAAGTGCTGGCATTACAGGTGTGAGCCACTGTGCCTGGCCGGGTTTTTTTTTTTTTTTTAAACCTTTTGACCTATAAAGAAGGAATGTTTATTCTTCAGTGGGCTCTTACTGTGGGAGTGGTAAAAACATTGGCACAATCTTATAGAAGCACCTTTGAGATAATCATACTTTGAATATCAGCATGAAATTTCCCAGACTATGGTGAAATATGTGATTACAAGGCAAGGTCTGTATGTTTGGCTTGCTCTTAGGAATTTGAGTGCCTTTACCTTTAAACTGAGTCTAACTACAACATATATCTAAGTGAGCTGTCGTTTTCTATTCTCTGTTAGATTGTATGTTTACCATAACAGGTAATATGTCAGTTATTACATTTTTGAACCTTTTAAATTGCTTTATAGCAGTGTAGGGCTGCTGACTTTCCATTTAAGTGACAGATGGAAAGCCACATGCCATGGATAACATGTTGTTGTTTGCTCATATGTTTAAATACCAGTTCCTAGTTTTATTATTTCTGAATATGATCCATGGCTTAGGTTATTAGTGGACTTTTGGCTCCCTGTTAATTTTTATCATGGTTTTCTGATTTGACCTACCTTGATATTAGCAGATAGGAAAGGCACAGGTCTTTAACACTGTAGGCCATATTTAGGGGACCATTTGTTGCAATAGATTCCAGTAAATTTTATCTATTGGTAGTTGATGACTTTTGCTTTTTGTGATGCTTAGAGAAGGCAGAAAATTAACGTTGAGAACAAATTTTAGTATAGTTGAGTTTGGTATTTTAATTTTTTTAGATATTTAGCTATGTTGTTTCCTTGAGGTATGTAATTTCCTTTAGAAGCCTTTGATACCTAAAGCAGTGCTGTGTATGTAAGATATATTAAAGGTTTTAAAATTTTACTAAAGAAACATGTTTTGAATACCTAATATGTGCAGGTCATTGTACTAGATGTTAAATTGTAGATGTATAAGATGTACTGCTGCCTTCAATAAACTCAGTTTTGGTAGCTGAGAGAGACATAAAAATGTAAGTGCAATACATTGAGTGAAATTCTCTGGATGAGTTTGTGATCCTAACCCTAACAGTGGTGATGGTGATGACATCAAGTTCTCATTAGTTCCCTATATGCCAGGCACTAGTTTTAACAGCATTACATCTGTCAACTAATTTATTCTTACAACAACCCTGTGAGGTAGGTACTCTTAGCATCCCGTTTTGCAAATGGGAAAGCTCCGGTATGGAAAGATTAAATCATATTCGTAAGATCTCACAGCTAGTAAGTGGCAGCCAGATTTTGAACCCCAGCAGTCTTATTTCTGAATCCATGCTTCTCAGCATTACATCTCTCAGTTTCTTTGAACCATGTCAGATAGGAAAAGAGCAGTGGGTCCATGTTATGATGTTACTGTTTATTCAGAGCAATCCTTGATAAAATCTAAGATTTTATTTCCCTTCGATCATTGAGAACTTAATGAAGCTATTAGCTTTGATCCAAGCTGGGAAAGACATGATAATAAATTGAATATTGATCATTGATGGAGAAAACAATATTTTTTAATTTCTTTTTTTGGTGTTTGGTTTATAAAATCCATTTTTATAGCAATGATTGTGCCATATTCTCTTTTAGGAAGGGAGATGGGGACCACATTCCAGTTCTTTCTCTGTAGAGAACTGTTTTGTCCTTTCATGGTCATGTCTTCTCTGGTTTATTTAGTACTTAACATTTTATGAGGTACTCTCATGTAGTTAGTTAATTGGATCCTTACAGCAACTGTGAGTTAGGCCTGGCAGGTACTGTTATCCCCATGTTATAAGGAAGCTGAAGCTGAGAGGGTTGAATTGGAAATTGGCAGGTCTAGTACTTGAACTGTTATCTTGTTTCTGGTCCAGTGCTCTTTATCTTATTCCATGTTACCCTCTTAAAGAAAAAATAGTGTCTAAAATGTTTTCTGACAGGTGTTGAGTGTATTTTGCCTTACTTTTTGGATCAACTAACCTGTTAGTATTGAGTTGTATCTCACAGGAACATTTTCTTTAAAAAAGCTCTAGGAATCTCTGCTCTTGAGAAACTCTTCTATGACACCTATAAACATATCATCAGTGTTGAGATGACTGTTTTCACGTTTTTCCATATTTAAGGTCTCTTGGTCTTGCTGTGGCACCACGCGTAAGATTTCTTCAGAAAATGCAGAAACAACCCACCAAAGAATTGGTAAGGAGCCAAGCCGATAAAGTAATTGAGCCAAGGGCTCCCTCCCTCACCAATGACGAAGTGGAAGAATTTAGAGCCTACTTCAATGAGAAAATGTCCATCCTTCAAAAAGGTGGAAAAAGACTCGAAGGGACAGAGCACAGACAGGATAATGATACTGGTAATGAAGAACAGGAAGAAGAAGAAGACGATGAAGAAGAAATGGAAGAGAAACTGGCAAAAGCAAAAGGATCTCAAGCCCCATCTCTTCCTAACACCAGTGAGGCACAGAAGATCAAGGAAGTTCCTACACAGTTCTTGGACAGAGATGAGGAGGAAGAAGATGCTGATTTCTTGAAGGTGAAGCGGCATAATGTGTTTGGATTGGACCTTAAAGACGAGAAAACATTACAGGTAAGTTTACTCCCAGTGGAGGGTCTTCTATTACATTGTCTTACTATGTGCTTATTGTTGCCTTTTGGGGACTGAGAGAAAGTGAAAACTAAGAAACTTAGACTGGGTTTCTTTGCAATGAACTCTTCCTCCTTTCCCCCATACTTAAACACAGAATAAGTGCCAATGAATTTTCATATTTTTCATAACTTTGGGAGCTCTAAGAGGTTAACAACTTTAATCTTATTTACTGGTTTTCTGATGCTGTGTTTTAAAAGTTGCCAAAGTCCTGATTAAGTCTCAAAGGAAGGCAATGAAGTTTTTTGGTTTATGGCATGAGGATCCTTCGTTAAAATTCTTAAGATACTGCTTTCTGATTGATTAAATTATAAGGAACAGTTGTAATTATTTAAATATAAGTTTTACTCTTAGTGCGACATTTGTTTATGGGAACCAAGCCAGTGTCTTAAATAGAAATTGAACAGTTCTTTTTTAAAGGCTACTTATGAATGTTTATGAAAAGTTTTCCTGTAAATCCTTTGTTTCTCCGTAGCCATCTTCTAGGAGGAACAAAAGAAATAATCCATTTAGATAAAGCACTTGTTTTCTAGGATGCTTTTGTAGGTGCACAGTAAATGTGTTTCCCCTTCTCCCTTATTCCCCTTCCTACTTCATATGCCTTTATTCTTGATCATCTTTTTAAAAGGGAATTGAATAAAAAATGAAGCTTGATTCTTACTCTTTATACAATGTTGAATAAAATTTCAAGATTCACAGTAGGAAATACATAATAGATTTTGACTGTGAAACTTAGAAGAGTGTTTCTTTAAGTAACTAAAAATTAAAAAAAAAACCTAGAAAATGTGCTTATTGAACACTTAATATGTGTTATGTGTTAGTCATTTTCTGAACATTATCTCATTTAGTGCTTGAAATAAAGGTCGTTACTACTATCTCATTATACAGGTGACGGAAAAAAAATAACTGTGGCACAGAAGCAATATAGTACTGTAGTGAGGCACACAGGTAGTAAATGGCAAAGCTGGAATTTGAACATAGGTGTTCTGACTTTAATATTTATGCTCTTGTCCAATAATCCTGTACTGTCTCATCCTGCTTCAAATTAGATCATTTTAAGTCTGTAGTTAAGACTCATTTTATCAGCAAAGTAAATACAAGAAGTTAGATTTTCGTTTTAAATAATTTAGCCACTGTATTAACTATTATGTATATCACTTTCTAAGAATCATGAACATAACCAAAGCTTCAAATTAAGATGAGAAGGAATGATATAGTTTTATAATACCATGAATTGTTCACGTAAGTAGGACATGTGTCTAAGTACTAATAGCTCATCTGGCATTTGAAAAATGTATATAGCAAAACAACTTTTTAAGCTTTTAAAAAAGTTTTACTCTATGTCAGTTATCTAAATCAATCTAACTCTTTAATATATACAGTTTGAGTTTTGGCAAATGTATGGTGTTGTGTAATTACCACAATTAAGAATAGAACAGCGTCATCACCCCAAAACATTTCTTATTCCCTTTGCAATTGCTTTACCCTTCACTCAACCTCTGGCAACCACTGATCTGATTTCTACCCCTGTAGTGTTGCATTTTTCAGAATGATATATAAATAGGATAATACAGTATTTAGTCTTTTGTGTCTAGCTTCTTTCATTTAGCTTAACGTTATTGCATGCATCAGTAGTTTGTTCCTTTTAATTGCTGAGTAAGTATTTCATTGGATGGATGTAGGTTTTCTTAAGCTTTAAATTGGCATTGGTTGTTTCCATTTTTTGGTGATTATGACAAAAGTCATTATAAACATATACATTTTTATGTAGATAATTTTCTCATTTCTTGGGGAAACGAGTGGGGTTATTTTCTAGGAATAGGGTTACTGGGAACATATGTTAAGGGTATATTTAACTTTGAGAAACTCCCCAGTTGTTTTCCAAATCAGCTCTTCCAATTTGTGTTCTTGCCAGCAGTGTATAGAGTTCGAGTTGCATCCCATCGTGTCAGCACATGGTATTGTCAGTCTTTTAATTTTAGCCATTCTAGTAGGCATGTAGTGATACCCTACTGCAGTTTTAATTTGCATTTCCCTAATGACTGAACATCTCTACATGTGCTTATTTGCCATTCATATATCTTCTTTGGTGAAATGTCTTCAAGTCTTTTGTCTCTCTTTTGAAATTGTGTTGCCTTAGTAAGTTCTACGAGTTCTTTGTATATTCTGAATACATATCCTTAATCAGATATATTTTGCTAATACTTTCTCCCAATCTATGGCTTGTTTTTATTTTGAGTGTCTGGCAAAGAGCAGGTATCTTAAATTTTGAAGTCTGATTTCAATCACATTTTAGGTAATTTATATATGTGTCGTATCTGATAAATCTGTGATTGACCCAAAGTCACAGATTTTCTCCTATGTTCTCGTCCAGAGGTTTTATAGTTTTAGCACTTACAATTTGGGCTAGGATCCTCTTCACCTTAATTTTTGTATATAATGCTAAGTAAGGGTCAAGGTACACTTTTTTTTGCATATGGGTATCCAGTTGATCCAGTACCATTTGTTTGGAAAAAACTATGCTTTTTCCATTGAATTACCTTGACTCTTTGAAAGTCAGTTGACTTTCAAAGATACGTCTGTCCTTTCACCAATAACACCAATCTTGATTAGTGTAGCTTTATACTAAGTCTTAAATCAGATCTTTGAGTCTGTCAACTGATATATATTTTCTTAAAATTGCTTTGGTTATTTTTGGACCATGGCATTTTCATGTAAGGTTTTGAATCAGCTAGTTACTTCGTATAAAAAGCTTGCCGATGACTTCATTGAGGTTGCATTGAATCTGTAAATCTAACTGGAGAGAATTGACATCATAACAATACCTTTTTATTTAGGCCTTCTTTAGTGTCTTTTTAGCATTGCTTTATAACTTTAAGCACATGTAATGTGCACATATTTTGTTAGAGTCATCTCTTACTATTTGATATTTTTTAATGCTATCATAAATGGTATTTTTAAAATTTCAATTTCCAATTATTTGTTGCCAGTATATAGAAATAGTTTGTTTTTTGTAGACTGATCATTCTAAACTGACCTGTTAGTTCTTGTGGCTTTTTGGGAGTTTCTTGGGATTTTCTTTTGTAACTGATTATGAGGTTTGTGAATGAGGATGGTTTCATTTCTTCCTTTTTCATCTGTGGACCATATATTTCTTTTTTCTTTCTTTTTCTTTTGCTTGATTTTACCGAGTAGGATCTGTGGAATAGAAGTGGTGAGAGTAGATATTGCTGTGTTGTTCCTGATCTTACTGAGGGGGAAGCATTCAGTCTTTTACCATTACATCTGATGTTAGCTGTAAGTTTTTTTTGTAAATGCCTATGAGTTTGAGAAGCTTCCATCTATTCCTAGCTGGCTTAGTGTTTTTATGATAAAATGAATTGTGACTTGTGTCAGATGCTTTTTCTGTAAACATTAAGGTGATGACGTGGTGGTTTTTAGCCTGTTGATTATGGTGTATTGATTTCCCCCTGCTACATGTTGAATCAAATTTAAATTCCTTTGAAAAACTCCATTTAAGCAAGATTTCTTTATATTTATATTATAGGATTCTATTTGCTAATATTTTCGTTAAGGATCTTTCTGTTGTTGTGAGGGATATTGGTTTGCAGTTTTCTTTTTTTGCGATGACTTGACTGGGAATATGACACATTTTGAAAGCTTTTTATATGTTTTGCCAGCATAGAGGTCATGTTGATCGTTGCCCTACTAGCGTCTGTATTGTTTGAATCTCTTTTTGATTCCAATATGAATATTAATAATTTATATCAATATTAACAGTTATTTAGAAAGTTATGATTTCTTTCTTAATTTGTGTATATATTGCTTACACATATTTTTCCCTGTTATGATATTAGTCTCTTTCCTGTTGATTCGTAAGATGTCCTCAAACAGTAAAGTTATTGTCTCTGGCTTTTAACTTTGCTTTGTGTCCCTTGTCACACACAGTTGTTCATTTCCCTGCCTTCTCTACTTTATTCCAAATTCCTTGAAATGTTGTCTTTTGTTTACTCAAGTAAAAATACTCAGAATTTTATTGCCATATGAATAAATTCAGAATTGTATTCTCACTTTAAACAGTAGGGTTCTTGATTTTATTTTCTATTTTAGAAATCAATTAATAGCTAATTTAAAAAAATCCATTACACCCACAATCAAAACAGTAAAAATTCACATTCTGTTTTTTTTAAAATGTTAACTACTAAGGTACAATGTCCTTACCTAACGTCAGTGTCTAAGTTTTCTTGTTTGGACCGTTTTATACTTTCAAGTATAGATTCACATTCACTTAGGAATGACTAAGTCTTTTTAGTCATTCCTAGAAAGGACACATAGAAAATACATGTGAAGAGATCATCAACTATTTCATCCTTCAACTTTAGCGTTCCTATTTGAACAACTACATTTTCATTTTATGCTGTGACAAGGGCATGGTTAAAGATGAGTGAAAACATGATCCTTATGGGTACATTTTAGTAAATGCAAATTTTATTAAGTTGGGGGAAAAAAGTCCTAGAAAAATGAAAAAAGAAAAAAAAAACCCAGAAAGCACACACAGTATACAAGCCCATTTGAAAATTATTTTTAAATTCAACAGACATGAAATTACTTTGGCAAATTGCTGTAAAAATTTAAATGCTCATTCTAAGAAAACAACAACAACAAGCCCTTTTCCTAACTTAGGTTCCTTTCCTCTCAGTCCTGCTCAGACTTAGTGTTTCTCACATCCAGGGCACCAGAGATGATGTTCTTCCAAGGTTGAGTGCTCTGTTCTTGAGGGGCAGGGCGGGGGACTCTGCAAGAGTGGTTTTGAGAAAAATTTCCTGTAAAATACCCTTTTACCCAGATTATAAAATGCTTATTTTTGGTGGAAAATCTCTAGTAAAACACAGAAAATCACAAATAAAAATAAAAATAACCTGTAATTTCACCACCTAGAGATAACAACTGTCTTTGTTTTTTTAAGTATACATACACATTTGTTCTTTTTTTTTTTTTTTTTTTTTTTTTTTAGAAATAGGGTCTCGCTCTGTCACACAGGCTAGAAGGCAGTGGCATGATTGTGGCTCACTGTACCCCCAAACTCCCAGGCCCAAGCGATTCTTCTGCCCTAGCCTCCTGAGTAGCTAGGACTTCAGGTGTATGCTACCATGCCTGGGTAATTTTTAAAAATTTTTTTGTAGAGGTGGGTTCTTTCTGTGTTCCCCAGGATGGTCTCAAACTCTTGGCCTCAAGTGATCCTCTCACCTTGGCCTACCAAAGTGCTGAGCTGACAGGCAGTAAGCCGCTGTGCCCTGCTCATATACCCATTTTTAAATAAGTGAGATGCTCCTAGGTATATATATTTCCCCATGTCATTAAAGTGTCTTCGCAAATATTTTTATGGTTGCCTAATATGCCATTAACCTTTATTTAACCATTCTCCTGCTGTTGGATACTTAGGTTAATATCCTTTTTTTGAATCTCCGTTTAAAGAGTTCTACTAATTGGCAGGTTTCTTCTCTCCTTCACTTTCACTACTCTCACCAGCATAACATGGAACTGATTCTACAGTTCGAAAATGCAAGATAGGAATCTTCTCCTTATCTCATGTAAACACTTACTTTATAGTAATTGTTTCAAAAATTTTACCCCCAAATGATTACCGAGCTTACACATATTAGGGCATAAGATGACCTAGGTCTCTTTGGGTTATCGACAGGGTTCTAAGAGGGCCCCAGTGACACTACGTAATACCTCCTTATGCCGCTCTTATTGAAGGAGGGTCACAAATTCCTCCAGACCATATTCAGATCTGCTCATCTCCATCCAGAGAGGTTTTAGCACATCACAGCTTGCTCCTGGCCTGATAAACTATCAGTCCCTGAGGAGTGATTGAATAACCCACATTTCAGTAACTACCATAAAATATGATTCTGCATCCACTCAGTGGCATCGTCTCACAAGTGCCTTTGATGCAGGGAGCAGCCTCTGCTTGTGACAGTGCAGCTCGACTGAGCAAATATCCTTTTCTCAGAGTGAAAAAAACAAAACAAGGAAGAACAAAAGAAATTGTTGCAGGCCTTTTTTTTTTTCCTCCATTAAACATATGATGCCTGACTGGATTTTCTACTTTGTACTTAATAACTCACTTGTTAATACTATACATCAGGCCAGGCATAGTGGCCCACACCTGTAATCCCTCTGAGGTGGGAGGACCACTTGAGCCCAGAAGTCCAGGGCTACAGCAAGCCACGACACTCCAGCCTGAGCAACAGAGAGAGACCCTGTCTCTAAAACAAACAACACAATGCACGTCGTTAATGTACACCAGAGAGGAGATTTGGTCTGCAAATTCTTTAATGATATCTCTTGTGACCATTAGAATACCTTCCCAACTACTAGTAAGCTGATGAATCATTTTGAACATCTGGAAACATTCTTCTAAAGTTTGTTTTTTTCCCTTGTCAATCACAGTTTTGTCTGATCGTGGATTCTGGATCCATTAGTTCTAATGGATCAATTCAAGTGGGCATGAAGTTCCACTTTGGCAATTCAGAGTAAAAGCTTACCTTCCATGGCTGATGCTCTTCTGCCTCCATTATAATTTTACCAGGAAAACAATAGTCCCTCTCCACTCTTATTCTTGGTATGAACAATAGGATGTATTTCAGTCAGTAAATTCTGTGGTTCTGAATTTCCTTCAGATTGCTTTACTTCTAAACATTTCGAAAAGATTAGCTGTATGTGTAGCTCTGGGTTCAGCTTCACCTCTTAGAGATTTCTCAACCACTAGGACCTAGACAGGTTTTCCCTTATGACTGAAAGTCTCGTAGAAAAGTGACAACTCGGGCTCCCCTAACACACATCTCAGTGGTAGGGAGCTGTCTTCCTGGGAAAACATAATCCAGGGCTATCAAACAAAAGGAAAATATTGTCTTACTGATCAGTGTGTTTTCAGGGCCTGGTACAATGACTAGTGCAAATTTCACAAATATTTTGTGAATGAGGGAGTGAATTAACTGAATTTCTTATTCCTTCACTTTGGTTTTGTTTGCTGTGAGTTATATAGAACTCATAGGTAGGGTTTATTTTTGGAAAACCTGTATTTTGTGAAGTTCACCTCATGACTTACAGTGGTTCAAAAGGTATTGTTGAACTTCCTATAAATGTGAGCATAAAAAACTTACTTGACTCTAAATGATATACTTATGTAGGCCGAGCTTTATAATTTAATTTGGATAGTAAGTGGTAGTATCTAATTATAGTGTTGTAAAATTCGGTTTACTAAGACTACATTTGCATTATACTATAAGAAGTTCTATCTTTAAAGTACACACGTACCTGCATGTTTTTTTTTTTTTACTGTAATAAATTTAAAGTATTATGTCATGTCTGTTGAATATGAGGAACATTTTGGGGCAGTTGATAGGATTTTTGATGCTAAACAAGGAATGTTTTGCTGTTTCTTCCTGTACATTCCCTAGTACTGTGCACAAACAGTAGAGTTGAATTTCGTGGTTCTCCAGTTGAAATAGAAAGGCTAATTGCCGTTTCTTTTTTTTTTTTTTGAGACGGAGTCTCGCTGTGTCACCCAGGCTGGAGTGCAGTGGCCGATCTTGGCTCACTGAAACCTCTGCCTCCCAGGCTCAAGTGATTATCCTGCCTCAGCCTCCCGAGTAGCTGAGATTACAGGCACGTGCCACCACACCCAGCTAATTTTTGTATTTTTAGTAGAGACGGGGTTTCACCATGTTGGCCAGGCTGGTCTCAAACTCCTGACCTCAGGTCATCCACCTGCCTCAGCCTCTCAAAGTGCTAGGATTACAGGTGTCAGCCACCATGCCCAGCCCTTTTTTGAACTACCTCACCTAGTCTTAACTTCACCTGTTACCTACTTTCGAATTTTAAAAATTAATACTTATTTTCACTCGTGTTAATATCTTTTGATTCTTCTCCATGTTTTTAAGCAATTGGTTTTGAATGTGACCCTGCAACCGTGATCTCAATTGGGTTTCTTTTTTTTTTTTTTGAGACAGAGTCTCTCTCTGTCACCCAGATTGGAGTGCAATGGTGTCATCATGGCTCGCTGCAGCCTCGACCTTATGGGCTGAAGTGATCTTGAATTGCTGGACTCAAACCATCCTCCTGCCTCAGCCTCCCAAAGTTCTGGGATTATAGGTATAAATCACTGCACCCATCCTGGCTTTCCATTTTATCCTTTACTTTTGCATTTCATATTTTAGTGTTGTATGCATCCATCAGTCACTGGAGGCTGCTTTTTTCCTTTATTACCTATTTTTAAGGATAGACGAGATATAGAAAAATCAAATCATACATAAAATGGGAATAATACTATCATTTGCACATATAAATGAGTATATTCCCTGTGGGAAGACTAAGCACTTTTCCAGACACTGCTGACTTTGTTGAAATTTTTGTTGCTCATGTTTTAGAATTGTCTTTGTAGACACCATACCAGACACAGAAGGGAACTGGCTTTGTTACTTATAACTTATCCTCTTTATCTTGATTATCTTTTTTTCCCTTTCTTGTCTCTCTGGAAAAAGAAGATTTGTACAAGAACCAAATTGAAACTTGGAGCCAGTAGGAACCCATTGGATTGTAGATTTTATGGAATATGTCTAATAATCATATCATTATAATTAAGACCATAATTATTTGGCATTTTACCATATACTGAACACTTTCTGCATAAGTTCTCATTTTTCCTTATGACAAGAAAGGTAGCTATTAAAATTTCGGAGGAGGAAAGGAAGGCTTTTAAGTGACTTGTCCAAGGTCACAGTGGTGAAGTTAGCAGTTAAACCTATTTGTGATGCTAAGTCACATTTTCTTTCTCTGCTGTCGTGCCTACCATTATTTGTGTGTAGTTTGCTTTCTGTAATTGGGTAATGTCAGTGTAATTGACAGTATTGTAAATAATTTTGGGCTACTCATTGTGTGCGCACACTTGGAGTATAAAATGAATGTTTGCCTTTAGACTTCGGCGTAAATGGAGACGAGAGGTACTGAGTGCCAGGTGCAAGCAAGGCCTTCTGGAATGCTGCCTTGTCACAATCCTTTTCTGTTTGACGAGATCGATGCAGTGAAGGACAACAAGATTTTCTTAGCAGTGGAGAAGTGCCACGAGTGATGAAGCAATAAGACATGTGCAGGAGAGAGCGCAGGTGTAGTGATCAGGCACAAAGGCAGTAAGAGATGGCTGGTTGACCTCCCACCATAGGGAAGAACCTTGTTTTGGCTAATTGTCTTGTTGGGTGTTCAGAAAGTTGACCTCCAGGGAGACAGTGTTAGATAAGAGCATGAACATACAATTAAAATGATTAAATTAAAATTTATTTTTGGAACACTTATTTCCTTAAATGTGAGAATGAAATCTCTAAGCATATGCTTTCTTTTCTTTTTCAGTTTAAACCTTTTTAGAAATGAGACTGGGTAGATTCCATTTTAGCTCAACAAATGTCCTTTTAAAGCTTTCTTAAAAGTAAACATAGGTCAGTTTTAATTAAGATTTGAATGATACCCATAGATTATTCATTGTACCTTAGAGTTGATTCCAGATCCTGTTTACATTGATTTAGTCCTACTTTTTTTTTTTTTTTTAGTAGCTTTTTCTTTTTTTAGTACTGTAAGAACTCACTGTTGGTGTTAAAACACAGATTAGCTAACTTTGAAGCTTATAAGTATACTCTTATAAAAAGATTCCAAGTTCCAAATCAAGATTCTCCTATGTGGGAGCTAGGATGTTTCTGCCTCTTGTCTCTTCACTTTTTCTCTTTCTCTCTTTTTCCCTCCTTTCAGCAGCAGTTACCTAACGGATGCCAGGGACTGTGTTAGGTACTTAGTGACTTTTAGGAACTTGGACTAAGTATTTGTAAAATAAGTACTGGAAAATGATTAACATCTATCAATTTTTTTATAACTTACCATGCACTTTGACTATCATATCTCACTTATTTAAATTCTTACCACAGCCTTGTGTAGTGTTGTTGTCATGTTACAAGTTCAGACACAGGCTTTGACAGGTTCACTTACTTCCTTGCCTAATGTTGCATAGTTAGTGAAGCGCTAGCACTGGAGTCTGTACTTAGGCCCCTCTGACTTGCCTCGGTATGATTGTGCTTGCTTTGATTCCCGTCATTTCTACATTTAGTGGTGGCTTTTAGTGTTCCATTTTCACTTCCCACTTACACTGCCATTCTGCCCCCAGATTCTTATTACCTCATTCTTGGCTCGGGGGGATAAGCTTCATAATTGGTTCTCGTTGTTCTTCTGAGTCATCTTCCTGTGAACCTTGGTCAAATTAGTATTTTTTTTCAAGTGGTTTACCTTCCATGCTACCCTTAAGTTCACCCTTGCAGTTGGGTTTTGTAAGCTAGCCCCTATCCTATTGTCCTGCGAGACCATTCTTCCCAGTTTCCACTTAAACAGTGAAGGATTCCTTCCTGGATTATTTTCTTCCCACTCCAGCATTTCACATCTTTCAAGATGCAGTGCTTATCTTGTCTCTTCTTTGAAGCCATCCCTTACTTCTTCAACCCACTGACCTCTGGATTCCAATGGTCTATTTTGCTAGTATTTTTTTCTTTTTCTTGACATTTCATAATGTAGCCACATGTCTCTTAATTTTTATCTCTTCCATACCTGGTGATTTGTGTTCAGGGGCCTTATGTAATGTTCAGTTGACTTAAACAGAAGGAAGAACTCTAAAGTCAAGACTACTGTACTCCGAATTTTTGCTACCATGAAGTGAAACAATGGTAGCATGATCTCAGATGTTGCCAGCTGAAATAGTTTGGTATATATGCTCATTTGTCTTATAGGTGTCTTTTCTGTTTTTTGGCATCCTGTGCTTAATTCTTTTTTTGTAATCTAAGCTTTGTTCCAATTCAAAAGGAGTTGTTATTGTGTAACATGAAGCTTAGATGCATATATTGAGTTGCTTTATGTATTTTTTTTCCTATTTGAGTTTGGTATGCAGATGACTTCCTGAGGATGTAAATTTTCAGTGGAAAGCTTAAAGCTGGTTTTGGCATGATGTTTATTCTGTAACATGCTGAATCATTATATCAAATATTGAGTCGTTTTCCTTTATCTCCTTCTTTTATACAATATTCAATATTTATAACATCTGCTAACTACTGAATTTTTAAATCTACTTTTGTGGTTGAAGTTTAAACAGCTACTTTTACAGGCCGTATTTATCTTTATTTTAAGGTAGTTACACAGGTAATGAAAGAAATGTGAAATAGGACAGGCTGTTCTTGAAGGTCATGTGAATTGCCCTTTGAACTTGTTATATGATTAGAAATAAGGAGTTTTCAAATTCATAAACAAGTGCTTGTTTATATGGCTCTAACAAATATAATTGTACAACACTGCTAATATGGCAGATTAGTTTCCAGAAATGCTGTTCATAAGACCACTTTTTAAGTCTCTAAGCAGTGTGTGTATCTGTACCTGAACTTGTTAATGGGAGGACTGTCTTTGTGATGGCACTGGATTCAACTTTCACATTTCTTTTCAACACTTTTAAATTGTCCAAGCAAATTTTTGTTTTGACTTTGTTCTTTTCAATGCATATTTTGAAACACGGTTTCAAGTCCAAGGCAACATCTGAGGCTAGTGCCATCTGTTGGTGACAGTTAGAATTAAATCACTTTTGCTTTGATGCGAAGCTTTGTTCTTTACCATGAAAGTGTACATTTTAGGTGAAATGCCGGCTTATTAAGTGAAGACTTCATGAAGTTTTTAGAAAAATTTATTCAGCAAATATTTGAACACCTGCTGTGTGCTAGGCATTGAGAGCTGTTAGCAAAACCAACAGTATTCCCTGTGCATTAATGGGTGGGATGGACAAAAAATGAATATGTGTGCTATGGTAGGGGCAAGATGAAGCAGTGTAAGGGGGATATAGAATTCAGGGAAGGTGGGTGGCATGCTGCAATTTCAGATAGAATGATCAGAGGTGGTCACCATGGAGGGTGTATAAGGCACTCTTCTGTTGTTGCTGGATCATGAACTTTAGAGGTTTTAAGCATTGAAAATATTATTGTTCCTCCTCCCCCATAGGTAATTTGAAATGAAAACAGTATGAAACTTGAAAATAGTAAGAAAGTCCTGAAGTTATTTTCTCCATGATGGCTACTTCACTGCTTTTGTTGAAATAAATTATTTCAAGAACATTAAAAAAAAAAAGTATTCCAGCTTTACTGGTTCTCTGAGCATATGTGTAAGCTGCCAGTTGGTTTATTGAACACTGAGAGCTAGGCACTCTAGGGGGAATGTGAAGATAATTCAGACCTTCTTTGAACCTTGCACTAGCAGGTTGATTGGTTAGAGCAGTGGCACTTCAGTAAATTAAGTGGGAACAGGGATGTCTGCATATTAAGAAATGCCTATTGTTTAGTGAAAGTGAAGTATAAGTATAAACTTACTTATAAAATAAGTGTAAGATTAGCATACAGATTTCATGATGATTTAAATCTTAAGTCTTTAGGACAGTGTTTCTCAAGCCGTCTTTGCTGAAGGGTTAATGTTGTAATTTTGAAGCAATCACAAACCAATGACTTTGTAAAATATATTAAAGTTAAAATATGAGAAAAATGAACCCCTCTTTGCTTCCCTAGTTCTTTTTTTTTTTTTTTTTAACCTTTTTGCTTCTTCCTTTGTCTCCCTCTAGGTTGGATTATTTTATCTTTTAATAATAAAACCTCATTCTGTATTCTTCTGTTTGTTTCTTCTGTTTATATGGCCATAAAATTATACAGTGTTGTGGTGTGTTTTTGCATGTGTGAGTGTGTGTATTCGTAACATAGTGAATGTTTAATGGAAATACACTGTTTGTCACTGAATACGTTTTGCAGTTTATCACCCTTTCTATGCCTCTTGGGTTATCATGGATGGGCGGGATTTGGCCTTATAAGTGATACCACCGAAGTTGAAATGTGAGGGTTCCTTGATTCTTTTTGGTATTGGGCTCTGTTATGGTTTGAATGCATCTCCTCCAAAATTTGAATGTTGTCAGTGGAATAGTATTAAGAGGTTGGGGCCTTAAGAGGTGATTAGGTCATGAGGGCACCTTCCTCCTTAATGGGATCAAGACCCTTATAAAAAGGCTTCTTGTAGTGTTCTTCCAGCTTGCTCTTCTGCCATGTGAGGACACAGTTTTTCCTTCTTGCCCTCTGCCTTCTGCCATGTGAGGATGCAGCAAGAAGGCTCATACCAGATGTCAAATGCTGGTGCCCTGGTCTTGGACTTCCCAGCCTCCAGAACTTTGAAAAATTTCTCTTCTTTATAAATTACACTGTTCCAGGTATTTTGTTATAGCAGCACAAAGCAGACTAAGACAAGTTCTCTAGTTGAATTGTCCACCCTATACCCCTAAAGGGAAGGAAGATTAAGAAGAAGAATTAATATATAGGCTTCTGTAGGCACATTGTCTATATAATGAAGTGTGTAGTAAGATGAATGTCTTTGAATCAGGTAGCACTTCTTGCTTTTTTTTCAGCATTCTCTGCAGCATCTTTCACATGTTAGGCACTTAATGCTTGTTTGTAGCATGGAGTCCATTTCTTCAAATGAGCCTCTTCCAAGGCATTCATTGACAACACTTTCATCCCTAGTATCAAAATAATAAAATGTAGTTCTTCCTCAACACATTATGATCAGAAACATCTATGATTTTTGTTTTAATAAACCAAATTTTTAAAACTTATTTTTCAAGCCAGGAGTGTTTTGCCATAGGACAAAAAAGTTTATCTCTATTAAGCAGGTAGCAGATCATCAATCTCTGGAAATTTTTTCCCCTCCAGAAGGCTGTTGCTGTTTTTTATTTCTTTTATTCTTTTAGCTTGCCTGCTGGCTGTTAGAATAGAGGTGACAGACGGTCTTGATATACTGTTGGGCAGAGAATCTGCTGGTTTTTATTTGGCATAACAAATGATTGAAAACAGTGATGTTTTGTTACAGTTCTAATAAGGCCGACATGGTAGTGATTCTTAGGGTGCATAAATTCTAGGCTCTAGAAAAAAGTGCCTTAGTAAACTGGGCACTGTAAATGTCCCTGGACTATATAAGAAGAAATTTCTTGGCATTAATGTGCATGAGATAGATATCACTTATTGCAGCTTTTGGAAAAGTGCATAAAGGATGAAGCTAATATTTTCAGCGATGATCTGTCTTGGAGCCGTTTTCCTTCCTGTTGGTCTATTCTCTCTCCACCTCTTTCATTGCTAGACTCAGTGAATCAATTTCTCAGTGACAACCATGATAAGGCATGCCTACACCTAATAATTCTCACCCAAGTTTGTTTTTAAAATTAAAATGGCCTATTTCCTATTATATCTTTGGGTGATAACGATTAGAATAATTCTTCCACCTGCGTGCATTTTCATATGCACTGATTTTTGTCATGGGAAGAAACAAAGCAGAGGAATGTTTTCTTCCTTGCTGTGATACCTAATTTTGGAAGGTACACTAATTTCAAAATGTTTGATATGGGAAATGGTTGCATATTCCAAAAACACTTAGCACGACCTTGCTAAATAATGCTCTCTCCTGTGGTTTGGATCAGCATTGTTTTGTTTTCTTTGCATCTTTTGATCTATCTGAACTGTCTTCTGCTTGCAGATATATTCATAAAATAGGATTTTGCAAATTGAAGAGTAGGTAAATTACTATTAAAGCGCTGTATTTGTACTCCCTACTCAAATCTTCTGAGACTGAACTTTTTTTTTTTTTAAAGGAATCTATGAAAATCTGGCTTTCAGCGAGTCTTATTTTCTTTTTACTGTTTCCTCTTAAGAGTTTTTTAAGTTGGCTGAATTTACTCTACTTACTCATATGTGTTTTAGTAGCTATTGAGCCATTTTATTTAATAGCTTGAATAAACTATTGGTTATTGAATCTTTTTAGAAATACTTATTTCTAATCCCCTCTCTTTCCTAAAAAGGAGGGAAGAAGAGATATTTTATTATCCAAGAATATGCTATCAATATCCTGGAGCCCACCTATCTAGTTTCCAGTGTGTCAACTAGCACCAGCTTAGCTAACCAGACTTACAGTGAGTTTGTAATTACATGATTAGGTATGGCATACCCAGTTACTCCTTCTTTTCTCTGCCTACCCCAAGCCCCATTAGCTCTGTTTTATGACAGAAATTTCAGATTTCTTTGGCTTTTCTGATTCATTTACTGACGAAAGAGACTTTTTCTAGGTTTCAAGAATTATGAAGAGTCTGAGATTCTACCCTACTTGCAGGTTAACGTATTAGCCTGCCATACTTTCTTATGTTGCTGGACAACTCATGGCACAGCAGGCAGTATGAGCTTGAAGTTTGCATTGACTCCCCTGCCCCTCAAGTCCCACAGGGGCCACATGGAGACAGGCCTGGGTTGGTGCTGTCCACAGAGTGGGTTTGTGTCCTAGGTGTAAAAGCTCAAGCTTAGGAGACCCCTATTGTTATTAAGACTGCTAGCAAACCTGGACAACTTTCGCCCCTGAGGGAGAAGTTATCTTTATTCTGGTCAGGAAACAACTCTGCCCCCCCAGGGAGACACTTTCTGTCTCTCCTAAGGCTGTATGCTATCCAGACATCCATAAAATCGTGTGGACAAGTTGCTGACACAAGATGTACAGAAACATGAGATGTCCATGGATGATGGCTTCCCAAAGTTAGGTAGTAGCAAAAAGTAGAACTCTGAATTTTTCTGTTTTTGTCGGCTTCTCCCAAACGAGAAAAGTTACTTTAAATGATGAACATGAATTCCAGAGAGACACAGATTCCTCCATGTGAAAGCCATTGCTTTTGTTTTGTTTGATAAGACCCTAAATTAGTGGGCAGTTAGCTTTTCTGGGGCTAAGTATTCCAAAGTGTGCTTTCTGAGCAATCTGTGCTTACTGCTGTTAGAGCACTCAGCATACTGCTGTCATACCTGTTTTTCCCACTATACTGTATACTTTTATGAAGGTAAGGAATATATATTATTCATTTTTGGGTTACCTCTCAGGTTTGCCTGTCATTATAATACATTCTTAATAGCTGGCTGTTGAGTGTAATGAGTGAATAAATCATTAGAAGCTTTTCCATTCAAATCTGGTTGTTCTTTTATCTTTGCTTATTCAGATTCTTTACCCCAATTTGAGAGTGTACCGTCTGGTAGAAAAAGTATCAGGAATATAAAGGATTAGTAAATATTAGTTTTCTGAATGGGTTGATCTTAGATAGAATCCTGTGTTAGTTTTGAAAAGCTGGGTCAGATGCCGAGTGAGTATCTTGTGTGAAATCATTCCTAAACCTAAATTAATCCACCCGTCATCCCTTTCTTATCAGATTGCTTTGATCTCTAGGACCAGTTTTCTTTGTATGGTCCTCTCATATTATCTTAAATTTTAGATTTTAGGGTTTTGTTGTTGTTGTTGTTTGTTTTCGTGAGAAGTTTTGGCTACCCACCTTTTTTTTTTTTTTTTGAAAAAATTTGGGTTTAGTGGTATATGTGCAGATTTGTTATATAGGTAAATTGCATGTCATGGGGGTTTGGTGTACAGATTATTTCATCACCAGGTGATAAGCATAGTACCTGATAGGTAGTTTTTTGACCCTCACTCACCTTCCTGTCTCTACCCTCAAGTAGGCCCCTGTGTCTCTTGTTGCCTTCAGATCCATATGTACTCAATGTTTAACTTGCACTTATAAGTGAGAACATGTGGTATTTGGTTTTCTGTTCCTTTGTTAGTTTGCTTAGGATAATGGCCTTTAGCTCCATCCATGTTGCTACAAAGGACATGATTTCACTATTATTTTTTATGGCTGCATAGTATTCCGATGTGTGTACATACCACATTTTCTTTATCCAGTCTGCCATTGATGAGCATTTAGGTTGATTCCATGTCTTTGCTATTGTGAATAGTGCCACAGTGAACATACGTATACATGTGTCTTTAGGCTAGAATATTTATATTCCTTTGGGTATATACCCAATAATGGGATTGCTGGGTTGAATGGTAATTCTGATTTGAGTTCTTTGAGAAATCACCAAACTGCTTTCCACAGTGGCTGAACTAATTTACATTCCCACCAGCAGTATATAAGTGCTCCCTTTTCACCACAACTTTGCCAGTGTCTGTTATTTTTTTTTACATTTTAATCTCCATTTTGACTGTGTGAGATGCTATCTTATTGTGGTTTTGATTTGCATTTCTCTAATGATTAGGGATGTTGAGCATTTTTTCATATGCTTTTTGGCTATGTATGTCTTTTTGAAAAGTGTCTGGTCATGTCCTTTGCCCACTTTGTAACGGAGTTGATTTTTGCTTGTCGATTTAAGTTCCTTATAAATTCTGAATATTAGACATTTGTTGGATGCATGGCTTGTTAATATTTTGGTTATCTGCCAGGGTTTTTATAGTTTCAGGTTTTACATTTAAGTCATTAATCTATCTTGAGTTGATTTCTCTTTATGGTGTGAGAAAGGGGGTCCAGTTCAATCTTTTGCATATGGCTAGCCAGTTATCTCAGTACCATTTATTGAATAGAGAATCCTTCCCCCATTGGTTGTTTTTGTTGACTTTATCGAAGATCAGATGGTTGTAGGTGTGTGGCCTTATTTTTGGGCTCTCTATTCTGTTCCATGAGCCTATGCATCTGTTTTGGTACTAGTACCATGCTGTTTTGGTTACTGTAGCCTTGTAGTATAGTTTGATGTTGGGTGATGTGATGCCTCCTACTTCATTCTTTTTGCTTAGGATTGCCTTGTCTATTTGGGCTATTTTTTTGGTTCCATATGAATTTTAAAGTCATTTTTTTTCTAATTCTGTTAAGAATATTATTGGTTGTTAGATAGGAATAGCATTGAATCTGTAAATTGTTTTGGGCAGTATGGCCATTTTAATGTTGATTGTTCCTATCTGTGGGGATAGAATGTTTTTCCATTTGTTTGTGTCCTCTCTGATCTCTTTGGCCAGTGTTCTGTATTTCTCTTTGGGGAGATCTTCCACCTTCCTGGTTAGCTGTATTCCTAGGTATTTTATTTTTGTGGTTGTTTTGGACGGGATTGCATTCTTGATTTGATCCTCAGCTTGGATATTGCTGGTGTATAGGAATGCTGCTAGTTTTTATAGATTGATTTTTGTATCCTGAAACTTTGTTGAAGTTTATCAGATCAAGGAGCTTTTGGACAGAGACTATGGGATTTCCTAGGTGTAGAATCATGTCATCTGCAAACAGGGATAGTTTGACTTCCTGTCTTCCTATTTGGGTGCCTTTTATTCTTTCTCTTGACTGATTGCTTTGGCCAGGACTTCAAAGAGCTAGAAAGATCTCAAATTAATAACCTAGTCATCACAACTAGAAAAACAAAACCAAGAGCAAACCAACCCCAAAGCTAGAAGAAGAAGACAAAAAGTAAAATTAGAGCAGAACTGAAGGACATTGAGACACACAAAAAAACATGCAGGCTGGTTGCAGTGTCTCCTGCCTGTAATCTCAGCACTTTGGGAGGCCAAGGTGGGTGGATCGCCTGAGATCAGGAGTTCAAAACTAGGCTGGCCAAAAGTGGTGAAACCCTGTTTCTACTAAAAATACAAAAATTAGCTGGGTGTGGTGGTGTGTGCCTATAATCTCAGCTACTCGGGAGACTGAGGCAGGAGAATTGCTTGAATCTGGGAGGTGGAGGTTGCAGTGAGCAGAGATGGCGCCACTGTACCCCAGCCTGGGCAACAAAGTGAGACTCTGTCTCAAAAACAAAACAAAACAAAAAAAAAACCCTGGGCATGGTGGCTCATGCCTGTAATCCCAGCACTTTGGGAGGCCAAGGCAGGCAGATCATGAGGTGAGGAGTTCGAGACCAGCCTGACCAACATGGTGAAACCCTGTCTCTACTAAAAATAAAAAATCAGCTGGGTGTGGTGACGTGCACCTGTCATCTCAGCTACTCAGGAGGCTGAGGCAGGAGAATCGCTTGAACCTGGGAGGTGGAGGTTGCAGTGAGCTAAGATCGCGCCATTGCATGCCAGCCTGGGCAACAGAGTGAGACTCCATTTCAAAAAGAACAACAACAACAACAAGAAACAAAAGATCAATAAATCCAGGGGTTGCTTTTTTTGAAAGAACTAGATTGATAGACTGCTAGCTAGACTAATAAAAAGGAGAGAAGATACAAATAAACACAATCAGAAATGACAGAACATTACCACTGACCCTACAGAGATACAAAAAACCCTTAGACTGTTATGTACACCTCTATGCGCACAAACTGGAAAACCTAGAAGAAATGGATAAATTCCTGGAAACATACAACCTCCTGGGATTGAACCAGGAAGAAACTGAATCCCTGAAGAGACCAATAATGAGTTCTGAAACTGAATCAGTAATAAAAAGTCTACCAACCAGAAAAAGCCCAGTACCAGACGAATTCACAGCCAAATTCTAGTAGATGAAGAAAAGTTGTTACCATTCTTACTGAAACTATTCCAAAAAATTGAGGAGAAGGGACCTCCTCCTGAATTCATGAGGCCAGTATCATCCTGATACCAAAAGCTGGTTGAGACACAACAAAAAGAAAACTTCAGGTCAATATCCTTGATGAACATAGATGCAAAAATCCTCAACAATATACTAGCAAACTGAATCCAGTGGCACATCCAAAAGCAGATCTGCCACAATCAAGTAGGCTTTATCCCTGGGATACAAGGTTGGTTCAACATATGCAAATCAATAAATGTTATCCATCGTATAATCAGAACTAAAAGCAAAAACCACATGATTATCCCAATATATTCAGAAAAGGCTTTCAGTAAAATTTAACATCTCTTCATGTTAAAAACCCTCTAACTAGGCATTGAAGGAATAAACGTCAAAATAATAAGAGCAAGCTATGAAAAACCCACTACTGACATCATACTGAATGGACAAAAGCTGGACACATTCCCCTTAAACTGGAATAAGACAAGGATGCCCTCTCTCACCACTTGTATTCAGCATACTAGTGGAAGTTCCACCTTCTTTTAAATATGGTTGGAAAAATTAACTTATTGTATTGAACTATTAGTAATTTTATTTTAGAGTGAGTTCACCATAGAGATCAGTAAGATCTCAGTGCTGTCCCAGTGCTGTTCCGCACTTAAGTTTTGGACCTAAGTGTTTATATGGTTTTGAGTAGGGTAAGATAAAGGGTGTGCGTGCTAATTACCATTGCCAGAAGACTTTGCAAGACCTTTTTCTATGGCTGTGTACTTCTTCAGCTTGAAAATAACCTTGGTAGAGGGAGTGGCAAATGGAAGCAGGTGTCCCATTTTCAGTGCCAGCGCAAGTGCTCCTAAACACACACATGCTGCTTGAACCCTTTGTCCCCATAATTGAGAATCTTGGAGAAGCAATATAAAAACTGCCAGGTAATACTTATGTTCCTTTTGAGACATTTAAATAAATTTAGTAATCAAAATTATATAGTTATTTTTAACCAGAAATGAAAGTAGGCTTTTTGGCAGGCCTATGTGTTCACATCTGTGCTGGGTTTATATGTTCTTGCCAACAGTGTACTTAGTGGTATAACAGAGAAAAATGATTCATAAGCTTTTTCAAATTCAGACCTACGACTCATTTATACTTATATTCCCATTAATATCGTTAGTATGAATGGCTTTATATAGTTTTCTAGGACTCCCTCATTGTAAGTTGAGAGAGAGGGTAGTCTCGTCATAGGAAGCATTTCTTTGATGGTATCCATATATTGAGTTGCATACATTGTATGAAATGTAAAGCCTTAGCAGATGCCTAAAAATGGTTATTTAATGAGGCCATTTATGTCCCTCGTTTCTCAGGTTGGAAGATTCTGCTGGACTACTTAGAACCCCAACTTTATTCATAGTCTGTTGAGATCTCTGTTAAAAAACAAAAAACAACAATCCACAGCCACTTCAGGGACTCATTTATTCTTCCAGTGAAAAGTCCATAGTGTACAGACCCCAAAGTCTACTGATGAAATAATTAAAAATACTATTGAGCCTTTATGCAGAGTGGGTTAGCCTGAGTATTTGGGAGTGTTAGTTGACCTTAAATACCCTCTGCCATGTCCCCTCTTAACCCTCAATAGTTAACCAAGTATTCTTTTACTCACTTATTATGGATATATTACTGTCCCAAATATGAAAAAGTTAGACTTGTCAGCCTTCAATAAACTTACATAGTGACACAGGACATTTATGTGGAAATGTTAAGTGAAATGATACAAGATAGCAGTGTAAGAAAGACAATGTAAACTATTTACCTGCAGTAATAAAATATTTTTAATTTGGCCTAGAACTTTGAACTTTGGGGCTAGAATCTTGGAAGATCTTTCTGGAGTAGTGGAGATTTGGTAAGTGTCTAAGGCTGTGTTAGATGTGATAGGTGAAGAAAGAGGGAAAGAGGATATAAGAGCACAGAGTGTGTTGTGGCCAATCAATTTTGGAAGGGTAGAAGAGCTCTATAGGAAATAGCAAGGGCTAATGAAACAAGTGAAGGAAAATTACTTTTTCCTTCCCCCTTCCCCCTTCCCCCTTCCCCCTTCCCCCTTCCCTTCCTTTCCTTCTTCCTCCCCTCCCCCTCCCCTTCCCCTTCCTCTTCCCCTTCTCCCTTCTCCTTCCACTCACTCCCCTTTCTTCCCTTCCTCCCTCCCCTCCCCTCCCCTTCCTTCCCTTTCGTTTCCTTCCTTCCTTTCCTTTCCTTCCCTTTCTCTTTCCCTTCCTTCTTTACCTTCCTTTCCTTCCTTTCCTTCCGTCTTACTCTGTCACCCAGGCTGGAGTGCAGTGGCGAGATCATGGCTCACTGCAGCCTTGACCTCCTCAGTCTCAGGTGATCCTCCCAAGTAGCTGGGACTATAGGTGCTTGCCACCATGGTCAGCTAATTTTTGTATTTTTTGGCAGAGATGGGGTTTCACCATGTTGCCCAGGCTGGTCTCAAACTCCTAGGCAGAAGCAATTCGCCTTGGCCTTCCAAAGTGTTAAGATTACAGGCATGAGCCACCACATCTGGCTGGAAAATTTCTATTTTACGTTTTAATGTTATCCAGTGTTACTACTGTGACCACTTACTTAGTGCCATTTAAATATAAATCTGATGATGACCTTAAGTAAATGAAAGTTAATACAGATCCATCTTAAAGCATGACTTCTAAAAGTGAGTCTTCCTTTCTATAATTCTCTGAAGTCTTAAATATAAACATTTTAACTAGCTTTAATAGTTTGAATTTTTATTGGCAAGATGAAAGTAGATTATTCAGATATTGAAGTCTTCTAGACCTTGAGGACCTGATATGACATAGGGTTAGATATGTTGAAAATTAGTGCATCATGTTATTCCATTGTTTTTCTTTTAGTGTGTCTTGTTCCTTTTGATAATAGCTTTTTTGAGATGTAATTTCTATCATACAATTTAGTCATTTAAAGTATGTAATTTAATAGTTTGTAGTATGTTCACAAACTTGTTCAGCCATTACCATGATCAGTATTAGAATGTTTTTTATCACTTCCAAAAAGAACTCTACACCCTTTAAGCTATTACCTCATAATCCTCTATTCCTTTCAGACATAAATAACCACTAATCTATTTTCTGTCTGTATAATTTACTTATTCTAGACGTAAGTAAATAATGAGGGCTAATGAAACAAGTGAAGGAAATTCACTTGTTTTCTTCCATTTCCTTCAGACATAAGTAAGCACTGGTCTATTTTCTCTATATATAGATTTACTTATTCTGGACATTTCCTAAGGAATGACTTCAAATGGAATCACAGTAAGTGTCTTTTGTAACTGGATTCTTTCACTTAGTATGTTTTTTTTTTTAAGTGTCATGTTGTTGCATATATCAGTATTGCATTTCTTTTTAGGGCTAAATAATATTCCATTGTATGGATATATCACTTTTGTTTATCCATTCATCAGTTAATGGACATTTGGATTGTTTCCATCTTTTTGGCAATTGTGAATAATGCTGCTACAAACATTGATGTACAAATTCCTCAGTGGACATAATTATTCATTTCTTTTGGGTATATACACCTAGAAGTGCAGTTGCTGGGTCAAATGGTAAAACTTGAACTGTATGCCTATATTTTAGAAGAACTATCAGACTGTTTTCCAAGGTGGCAGCACCATTTTACATTTCCCACCAGCAGTGTATGAGTGTTCCAATTCTTCCACATCCTCACTGTCACTCATTATCTGTCTCTTTGATTACAGCCATCTCACTAGATAGGAAATAGTATCTTTATGGTTCTGATTTGCCTTTCCCTGATGATCAATAAGGGCCTTATTCTCATGTTGTTTGTGGGTTGTTGGGTATAGAAAGCATCAGCCTTAAAGATAACAATACCTCTTAGCTTGGTTTGCTATAGAAATGTTTTGGGGGAAGGTAACGCAAGGGGCTATGAGGATAAGACTTGAATCTTGAAGAAAAGAACTTAGCCAAGAATTGTAGTTATAAGGGCTTTTTAGCAAGGGGATAGTGTAAACAAAGAAAGGCTTGCAGATAGAAATGTGTATGTCACATTGTAAGAAGTGACTGGGTAGAATTGAACATGTATGTAAAGGGGTCTGAACATATATATATAAGAGAATAGCTGAATTTGAATGTGCATTGTGCTAGATTAAGAGGCCCAGTATATGAATTTGAGCTTGACAGTAAAAACAGGGATCACTTAAAAAATTATTTTTTGTTTAGTGTGGTTATATATACAATAATTTAAGGTAGACTAGTTTGGTCAATATGTAAATTAAGGATAGCAGATAGGTGTCCTACAACATGCTTAACTGATCAGTTGGTAGTGATACCCTGGAGCTTCTATATTAAAAAGAATGAGACATTCAGTTTGGCTCAGTTGGCCAGAGTGCAGTGATTGATTAATGAGGTCCACTTTTAGCATGGGATGGAAGAGTTTTGACATGATCATTGCTTATTTTCCATTTCTGTAGGGTAGGCTGAGGTGATAGCAGTGAATGTAAGAAACATGGAGAGAAGAGTTAATGCCTTAGTATTTTCAGACTACTGATTGTGGGAGCAAAATATGGCTTCTCCCTTGACAGTCCCTTTAATTTCTGTGGAACTTGTTTACTTACCTGTATACTGCTGATTTCTCTGGCCTAATCCCCATTGTTTTATGCCTCCTATTACTTCCTAGTCTATCCTTTGGATTGTTAAATTAGTGCCCTATCTGATCTTCTTTCTCAAATCCATCCTCCAACATAGTTACTGGAATAGTCTTATTTAAATAAACATTTAACCACTACTATTAATGACCTTCCTCTTGCTGGAAACATTATGACCCTAAAGTTACCGATTCATGAAGTTGTTCTTGTTAGTACCATGTTTATCAAACTTTTTATAGATCCTTGTCTTCCTAGGTACAGTATGTCAGATAGAGACAGACACATACATATACAGTAGGAGTGAAAAAAAAATTGTCTGTGTAGGGGCTTTTGATATGGTAAAATAAGCTAATAGACTGATGTGCGTGCAAAAAATAATTATAAACTTTGGACACAGTATAAAATCTAAGTACTCTAGAGTGTGAGCAAAACTAAGCAGATTTTAGAAGGGACTTGAAACTTACAAGAAAAAACTGGCACAGGGTGGATTTTCTGTTTTAGCAGCCTGTCCTAAGGATGGGCCACAGCCACAGGGTGGAAGGCTCCTACAGAAAGTATGCAGTCTTTCTGGTCTGGGGAACACAGAGATACGAAGCTAGGGCAATCATGTCTGTCAGAGAATGAGCGGAGACTTCTGAACGAGAGAGAGCGCCAGAGGAGGCTAGCTCCAAATTATTACAGGGGACTTTAACTCTCCTTTGTCAGCAAATGATAGAACAATTAGATAAGAAATCAATAGACATTGAGACATTGAAGATCTGGACAACACTGTCAACCATCCTGGCCAAAATGTTATTGTAGAGCACCATATCCAACAATTGCAGAATATTCATTCGTTAGTTCACGTGGTATATTCATAATGCACCATATACTGGGTCATGAAATAAGGGTTGAAGACAGAATGTACTGATTACAACCGAATTAAAATAGAAATCAGTAAGACATCTAGGGAGACCCCAAATATTGGGAAATTAAGGTCTGAAGATAGTGTTCTTGCTAATTACCTGTTTTTGATCAGCTCTTGTACTCATTTATTTAATTTTTTTTTTAAGAAGTGGAGTCTTGTGCTGTCACTTGGGCTAGAGTACAGTGGCATGATCATAGCTCACTGCAGCCATGAACTCCTGAGCTCAAGTGATCCTCCTGCCTCAACCTCCCAGGCAGCTGGGACTATAGGTACACACTATCATGCCTGCCTAATGTTTTTAAATGTTTTAATTTACTATTTTTAAATTTTAAAACTTTTCTTTTTTTTAATCCTCCTGCCTTGGCCTCCAAAGTGCCAAGATTACAGGCATGAGCCACCACGCCTGGCCTAAACTCATTTTTAAATACTGGGGCAGTAGAATACAGAGTGGGTTGGATATGAATTACTGACAACCATAAATATCTAGACAACCATGTCTCTCTCTCTCTCTCTCTTTCTCTCTCTCTCTCTCTATATATATATTATATATAGTTTCTTGATGATCTCAATCTCCTGACCTCCTGATCTGCCCGCCTCGGCCTCCCAAGCTGCTGGGATTACAGGCGTGAATCATCGTGCCTGGCCGTATGTCTAGATTTTTGAAGGCATCTCTATTTTTGAAGGCTAGAGTGGTGATAGAAATAAAAATTCATCATTACGCTCCATGTGTGAAACAGGGATTTGGTTCAGGGTACTATAATTCTCCCAAATAGATGTTTATACTGTTATTGATGGAAATGTTTTTCAAGGAGTAGGGTAGTACTAACATTTATTTCACTATTCAAGGTTATTAGCTTACTGACAAGATGGTATGTTTTATCAGGTCTAAATTTAAAGTTCTTTTGATACTTAAAGGTCAAGGAGCTGATCGTTTTTTGTTACACTTAAAGAAATCATATAACTTTCCTATTAAACACTTCCCTTAATTGCTTGGCTTTCTCTACTGACGCTTCTTAGAGGTGTCATTGCTGTGAGTTTTTCTGTAAATGTCAATAAATATAGCATCTGTAAGACAGAAGTTGGATGAATCACATTTAATGTGTAAAATTTGTCAATGAAGTTGAGTAATTTGTCGTGAAAGAAGTCATATCAAAATTAAGTATTTAATGATCATTTAAAGCGTGCAGAATTTTAACTAGCTGTTTATTTTGATTTAAGTAGAATTATTTGCAAACATTATTAAAATGGCCATTTATCGTCTTGTTGCAAAGCTTTTAAGAAACTTAGGTAAAACAAGTGTTTATAGCTGTATTTTACTGAAATTTTACATGTAATTTTTTGGCACTTCTAGTATGATGAGCAATACTATAAGTACTCTGTAAAAATGATTTTTGTCTTGGGCTTGTAATTTCCTTTTCTAAGGAAGAAAATGATTAGAATCAAGTATGATCAAAGCTAAAATTAAATTGCAAAATCTGTATAAAGTACAGCTGTTGCTTTGAATGTTGTGGTTGTCCTTTGAGCTGGTGCTGCAAGGAAAAAAATGAATGTTACAGTTAATGGAAATGAGAAGCCATTTTAAGATTCTGTTATAAAAGATTTCATTTGAGAAACTGGTTGTTGGAGAGTGTCATTGTTTTCTTCTTTGGGAAACAATCAGGAAAGCTAACCTCAAAGGTTTTTTATTTTAGTATGTTTAGCAGTTAGTGATGCTATAGTACCCACTACCAGCTTATTTAGTACTAAATAGGCAGGTGTGATTTAAACTGAAAGACAGTTATATAGTTGACTTAAACTGAAGATTCACTTGCCAAATGTCATAATAGGAAGATAATGGGAAATATGAATCTTAAGTTATCTTCTAACTAGTTATTAGGTTATTGAACTACTCACACAATTATGCTGTAAATCAATTTCCCTTTTGTACAGAAGTTCCCCCAACTCTCTTTCACTCTCACCCTCTTCCTCTTGTCACAGACCCCCTTCAGCAGTCTGATAATGTCTATGGGGCCCTTCTTAGAGTAATGTTTCTAATGTGTAATATATACATTGGATTAGTTGGTACCACATTTATAGACTTCTCCCACCTGACTTTAATATATTAACTGCAGATTAAGAGGTTTTGTTATGGTACGAATTGAATTAGATAGACTTTTCTTATATATATGAATTTCATATATATTTTATATCTATATTGTATATTTAACTTTTTTCTTTTTTTTTGAGACAGGGTCTCACTGTTACCTAGGCTAGAGTACAGTGGCACAGTTATAGCTCACTGAAGCCTCAAACTCCTGGGCTCAAGTGGTCCTTCCACTTCAGCCTCCTGAGTAGCTAGAACTAAATACATGTGCATCACCACACCTGGTTACTTTTTTTTTTTTTTTTTTTTTTTTTTTTTTTTTTTTTTAGAGATGGGCTTTCACTATGTTGCCCATGCTAGTCTCCAACTGCTGGCTTCAAGCGACCCTCCTGCCTTGGCCTCCCAAAATGCTGGGATTAGAGCATAAGCCTCAACTCCTGGCCCCTAATTATGTTTTAAATTTCCATAAAATAGAGTACTTTTTATTTTGTTGCTTTTTATTCCTAGTATCTCTAGCATTGTATTTTGATCAGATAGATGCTCAGAAGAGTTTAACATATTCACTGTCTGGTATAAATGTCTCAAAATTTATAAGTAAATATGTAAGTAAACCTATCACAGGCCATGTACTTTAACATAAAAAATTCAGGGTTTGGGGATAGTGTAGGTATAGGTATCTAAAGAATCACAATAAGTTATAAAGCAAATAATTTTTACTTTATTTACAAGATTTTGTTATAATCAAATGAAACTTTCCATGAGTTTGGAATCAAAGACTAATTAGAAGAGTCCATCTAATTCAGTTCCTTCCATAACAAAAGCTCTTAATCTGCAGTTAATATATTATGAAAGTCAAGTGGGAGGGGTCCATAAATGTGATACCATCTAATCCAATGTATAATCCAATGTATATTTTATGCATTTACAACATTACTCTGAGAAGAGGCCTGTAGACATTATCAGACTGCCGAAGGGGGCCTATGACAAGAGGAAGAGGCTGAGAGTGAAAGAGAGTGAGTTAGGGGAAACGTGTGTACAAAAGGGAAGTTGATTTACAGCATAATTGTGTGAGTAGTTCGATAACCTAATAACTAGTTAGTAGAAAACTTAAGATTCACATCTCCCATTATCTTTCTGTTATTACATTTGGCAAGTCAATCTTCAGTTTAAGTCGACTGTATAACTGTCTTTCAGTCTAAATCACACCTGCTTATTTAGTACTAAGTAAGCTGGTAGTGGGTGTTACTGGGGCCACTGGAAGGCTTTAAAGAGGTTAAGAAACCAGTGAAAATACAGTTTTGAGCCGAGATGGGAATTAGCAATATTTTACTCCAAAGCTAGAGTTCTCTCCACCATATCAGCCAGGTCTTAGTATATGGTTAAGTTTCCAATAAGTGTTATTCATTTTTGGTTCTAGAGCTCTCTCTCCATGGGGTAGGTGGAGAAGGAAGACATCTCAGAATTATATGGGTTGTGAAGAATGGGGCATGTGGTAAGAACAAGGTACTGACGTCGTGAAGTTACGTCTTGAGGATGGTCATGGTAGTTTGAACACAGATACTGGCTTTTCTGTGGAAGTGTTAGAGCATTTGTGAGGGGTCCTCCAAGTTTAATCTGAGGTTAAACCTACCGGGTTCCTCTTGCTTCTGATGCTTAACACAAGTTAGAGAAAACAAATGGTGTCCTAGTGCATCTGTCAGTGTATGCAGTGTTTTGGGTTGCTACTTTCATTTTTTGGTGTTCTTTTCACTTTCTTTCCTGTGGGATGAATTGGGTGGAGGTGGCTCACTGAGTAATTCAAGTAGAGCCTTGATTAAATTCACAACTGTCACCTGATAGCAAGAACATGCAATAGTATTTTATCTGATAACAAGTGATGCATGCTTTGCATCACTATTATGGATCCATCTTTGTGTACTTATGGATGTCTGTTCTGAGTAGGTAGCTGATGAATGTCATGAATCAGTTGGAACAATTTTGTTGTTCTGGTCTAACAGCCAGATTGCCACATGCCATGTGGTAGTAATTTATTGTGGAATAATCACAGTGGTATTTATTTGAGGTGGTTTGTATTTGTCATATTCATATTACATATACTTTGAAAGTTGGATTTTTCCAATACCAAACCATAAACGTAGCCTAATATTTTTGCCATTGTGAACACCTTAGATTTTAACACCTTAGGAGATAAAGGAATATAAAGTGATTTGATTTTATATTCCTCGGAGATTAAATTCCTAGGAGATTTGATGCTAGATTTCGAGCCACTGCTATACAGTGAATGTCATTTGAGCTTCATTTTTCTCCTTTGGAGCCTGACATGTAATATGTGCTAAATAAATATTTGCTGAATTGAATTCTGCTAGCCAAGCTATAATGTTGGAAAATGTACCACTCTTTGTCATAAATTGGAAATGTGCTTTGTATATATGACCAGTGACTATTAGGAGTCTTTATTTCAGAAGGGAGAACTCTATAATGCATAAAATTTCTGCAAACCAAATGTGTGTTTAATTGTTTTCTACAGATGAACTAACAGCAAGACTGAGTGCTCATTAAAAATTTATGTCTTAATCCTAAGGCACAAACCTTACATAATTACTTGAATGCTTATCCTTGGTTGGATAAAAACTACTTAAAAATAACCACTGTTTTGTGATTTCACATTTGCTTAGTTTTAGATTAAAATAAATAACAGTCCTTTTAAAATAAAGATTGTTTATAAACATACAGACAAATCTACAGAATGCAGTCATCCATTCCAATGTAGATAAATGTTTACCAAAGGAAGCAACAGCATGGTACATATTATGTACGTATGTTGCTTACAAGGATTAATGAAACAAAAAATTTTGATAAGCATTAAAGATACTCTCAAATGGCCGTTCTCCCTCTGTCCATCGTGTTTTCATGGGTTACACATTTTATATATCATGAATGGAAAAGATTCTCTGTTCACGAATTCCTGGTTCAGAACAAAATAGGAAACTAAAGTAAGCATTTACGACATACAGTTCTTGTGGTGTATTTTTGTTTGATAATTGAAAAGCATCACGAAAAATTGCAAGTATTGGACACAATGGCAAATAAGCAAAAGTATTCTGAAATGAATCTAGAAATTTTTTTAGTGAAGTTTTATATTACATGAGTGAGTTTCATTTTTAATTTGGTGTTACTCTGAGCCACGTGGTACTTGCTTTAGTAGTATTTATAGGCTTAATCAATTTAAAATTTCTTAGGCTTTTCTTGAGATGCCTTAGGAATGTGAAGTGCTGAATACAGGGTCGGGTGTGTATATATAAAGTAACATATATTACATTTATTATTGGCTGTCTTTTCCCTTTAAAAAAGTGAATCCAAGATATTAATTTCCTGATTTATCTTTTGCATTTAGTGTTGACATCACCTCATTCATTAAAGAATTTGTTTCTAACAGTTTTGATGCTGATTTATGTTGCAACAAAGTAATAGGCTTTCTATAATGGCCTGTTTTCTGTTCAGATTTGATTCTGCTGTGTTGTCGGAAGTGAATCGTTTAGCTGAATGATTCATTTAACAGAATCATTTACTGTTTCTAGTATACAGTATAGATTCCAAAGGCCTAGCCTTTAATATGAGCTTCGCTTGCCCTCCGTCTGAGTTGTCTAAGTAGCATGAATTATTTCCCCATCAGTGTCCTCATAGTATTTATTCATTAATATGTTTGAGGGCAGTGCTTAATTTTTAAGGTTTATGTTGATAGTGTCAAGTTTAGAATCTACTGCCATAATCGAGTTTTCAGGTGGAATGAGGTTAATCCATTGGGGTTTAGGAAGAAAATATTAGAACTTGTTTTTATTTAATCCTTCATATTTTTCTGTGTATACTTGATTTTATGTATACTCACATTCATTTATTATAAATAAAGTATACATTGGGTGCATATTTAAAATGTTCCTATGAAAAGATGTAAGTGATTAAAAGCACTTGGAAATGAAATAGATGAGTAAGGGTCAAAACTAGAGTATAGCCTTAGGTATATGAGAGGAAGAATGGTAATTCAAGACACACTGTACATCTAGAATCTATGGGTGATAGAAGGAACAAAAAAGATTCTGTTTTCTTGTTCATAACTTTAGTTAGCCTGGGAAATCTATGAGAACGGAGAGCAAACCTTATTCACTATTCTATCCCTTGTGCTTAACTGGATGGGCAACCAGGAGCATAACAGTTAAAAACCAGAAAGTCAGAACATCAGAAAAGGTTGGATTTTCAGACTGATACATTTACATCTGTTTAATTTGAATATGCTAGCTCAAGTGAGCTCTCTTATATTTCCTGCCTTCACTATTTGAGGAAATCTGATTTTGTTGGCTGAATGTCATGACCCCTGACCCTGACACAACAGATGCTGTCGATGGGGAATAAATGTGGGACAGGAATGATTGTAGGCTGTGTAGTAATTATGGTACAAACTGCTGTGGTTTTGTAAGACCTGTTCTTGGCAGGAGATGTTGCTTTCCTTGGGGACTTAGAAAAACCTAGAGGTGTCCATGAGAGCCACAAAGAGAGAACGTGCTCTTAATCAACACTAAAGCAATGCATTCTGATAACACAAGCAAGAACACAAATCCTTCCTGCTAATAAAAGCATTTGCCCTGGAGAAAATCCTTGAAGTTACTTTTTATAGCTGCATGATTTTTTCTCTAACTTATGAGAGTCATGAATTTTATTGTGTACTCAAACTTTTAAAATATCTTTTTGGTTATGATTTGGCAAAGTAGGCCCCTGAGACAAATCTGGCCTATTGCCTGTGTTGTAAATAAAGTTTTATTGGAACACAGACATACTCATTTGTTTAGGGTTGCTTTCAGGCTACAACCACAGGATTGAGTAGTTGTGATAGACCATGTGGGCCATAAAGCCTAAAATATTGAACTGTCTAGCCCTTTATAGAAGAAAAATTGTGTACCTCTGAGGCTTTTGAGCTTGCAGATATTTTATGGATGGTTCTTTCTCTTTTCCCAGTTAGATGATTTTCAGATGATTACATGGAGAAGCTTACTTTTATGAGACAATATAGTGAAATGGTTCACAACGTTGGCTCTGGAGTAAAACTTAGAGTTCAAACCTTGCCTCAGCCATTTGTAAACTGTGTAACTTGGGAAATATTACTTCTTACTTTAGTTTTCCTCTTCTGGAAAATAAGACTAATAATAGTACTAGCTCAAAAAGTTGTTCTGAGAGTTAAAGTGAAGTGTTTAATGCATAACAGATGCTCAACAATTAAATATTAGGTGTTATAACTTGAGCCTTTTTCTTTCTCTCTCTCTCTCTTTCTTCCTCCCCCTTCCCTCTTTCCCTCTTTCCCTCTTTCCCTCTTTTTCTCTTTTTGTAAAGGAAAAGGTAAAAGGAAATATTCCAAAGTCATGTGTCATGTCAGCAGCTGAATCTTTCCTTATGCTTAGCTTCTGGCTATACTGATTGTGTTAGTGCTGCTACAGTTGTCTTTTTAAAAGATGTTTGTTGAAACCATAGGAATGTTAGTTTGCAGTAAACTTTATCTAATGTGATTTGTGTTGGTAAATTTGTATTTATTTTTCATACGTTGATTTAGTGAAATTCAACTTGAGGTTGTCATTAGATTGCTTATGGTGTCCTGTATGATTCTTATATGGAAAAGAATTTACTAGTGCTGTGAGACCACATACATTTGGATGTCAAGCTCACGGAGATCAAATGGCATTCTTGGGTTTAATCAGATTGCAAACACAATGGAGTTTATAGTTGCCTAGAGAATAAGGCCACTGAATAGATCAGAGCTAAATTTAAATTGACCCTCTATTTTCACTCAAGTTAATTTACTCCACTTAGCTATTTATTTAGCTTTTAGGTTGCTCCATGCATTTGGATTTGTCTGTTGATTTAAGATATTGTGGACTTTACCTGATCTTTGGTTTATATACTACTAACCTAGTAACTTTGTTTCTGTAATGTCTTTGTGGGTCAGCTGTTAAAGCTGAAAGTGTGCTAGAGCTGTGTATAATTTTCCGCAGATTTTAGGTTGGCTTCTTTCAGAAGTCCCCTTCATTGCAGCCTCACTAAAGCAAATAAGGTAGTGTTCTCATGTTTCAGAATATCTGTCTGTGTTCCTTGATGGTTCATGATGCCCATTAGGCTTTTGGCTAGTCCTATGGTGAATAAAATACAGTTCTTACGTTTTAGTAAATTACAGTCAACATCGAGTCATGTCTTGTTATCACATACTTTTGGTCTTAATTGAAGGCTAATACATTATGAAGTTATTTGGGTAGAATTATCTCTTTTATAATTCCTCAGACATCCTGACACACAATCTTTCCTGACCTGGGAAAGATCTGAAAAACAAATGCAGTAAACCCAGAACAGATGATTGTAGTCTGAGTCTGTGTTAAACTTTTCACTTTAATAGGTTCTCCCTGTGGAGAGGACAGGGGAAGGCGCTGCTGAGGAAGGCGCTGTAAAGTCTCCCTTCTCTCCCCACAAATAATTCCTCAAACCAAATCATCAACCTGTCTGCAGTCTCCTTCACCTCTGTCTTCTTCCTTATTTCCTCTCTCTCTGCAAGAAATGTTTGTTCTCTTTTCCAAGATTCACGTTGCATTTCAAAGTTTCCGACTTACAAAAACTGTTACCAACTTTTGTGTATCTGTCTGTGTAACATAAGCTACACCTGTTAATTATAATTTTATGTAATTATCCAGCTAAAAATATTTACTGTTAACCATATTTTTCTAGTTTTGGAGACTATTTATGGGATTTGGAAACAGTTGTGTGCACATGTCACACTTCTATTTATTATGATAATTTCCATACTTATCAAGGTTCCTAGGTTGCAATAGCTAGAAGCACTGTGGCCAGGAGTGCTCCCAAGGGATTTCCTGTAAAAGCACAGTTAACTTCCTTGGTGTCAACCTTAAAAATTAAGCCACCTTAATAATCAAGCTTTTTTCCATAGTCTTGTGATTACGCTTAGATGTGACTAGACCCTTCGACTACATTTTTCCAGAACCACTTGTTGGTTGTCCTCTTGAAAACTTTTTTCCCTCTGACCCTAATTTCTTAACCTTCTGACCCTTATAATCTGTTTTTCTCCCAGTACTTGTTTTCTGGCTTTTCCCTGACCTTTGGTTCATTTTCTTACTGTCTGTCAATCTCAGCTAGTTACTGCTTGCTGTTTTTACTATCGACTCTGTGATCGATCTCTTAACCTTTTCCTTTTTTGTTTTGGTTTTATCAGTACCTTTAATGTAATTGCATTCCTTTCTTTCCACTTCATTGACCTGGCAAACTTTAAACCAGAATTAATTTGACTGTCAGACTTCCCTGTGCTTATGCTTGGGCTGCCTACTGCTACAGCAACCTCAGTTGGGCGCTTCTTCTTTTACGCCATAGTGGCAGCATTGTCTTCATGGTTCTTTACCCTCCTAACTAGTCATCCCCCTGCTCAACTGTTTCAAATGTCCTCCAAGAGATGTACAATGTGGCAGAGACTTAGGTTCATGGTGATAAGTGAGGGGTGAAGCTATAGGTTATACTTTTTGTATTCTCATCACCTACTACAGGTTCATGCTCAGTGGGTTTTCAGGGTGTTTGACAAATGCTTATATTATTTATTTTTAGAATCTATACCATCTCAGTCTATAAGAGATCTGAAGTAGCTCACAGGAAATACATACCAAATAGTGAAATAAACTTAGCAGTAAAACTTCTGGCTTTGGTAAAACATTAGGACAGGAGGATCTGTATCATGGAGAAAATGGAATAATACAGGGATTGTATTAGTTTTCTGTGTTTGCTGTAATACATTGCTATACACTTAGTGGCTTAAAGCAACACAAAGTTATCTTAGAGTTCTGTAGGTTAGTAGTCTTAAATGAATCTCACTGGAGTAAAAGCAACGGGTCAATAATGCTGTTTCCCTTTCTGGGAGGCTCTAGAGGTGTTACCCTTTCCTTGTCTTTTTCCAGAAACCACCCACATTGGCCTCTTTCTGTATCTTCAAAGCCAACAACAGTGGGTCAAGTGCCAAATTCTTGCATCACATCACTCTGATCTCCCCTTCTGCCTCCTGTTTCCACTTTTAAGGATCCTTTTGACTTTTGATTACATTGGACTCATCTGGATGATCCAGGACAGTCTCCTTACTTTAAAGTTAGCTGATTAACTGCCTTAATTCGTTTTTGCCATGTAACTATATTCACAGGATGCCAGGATTAGCATGTGGACATTTTTTGGGGTCGTTTTTCTGGCTACCACAGTAACTGATGATAAAGCTCCATTCAGTTGCTCTAGTTAAGTCATAATTGTGCCTCTAAGCTGCCTTTATGGTGGCCGAAAGGAAAATGGGAAGTAGTCCTTGTTAGCTTTTGTATCTATGCTAATGAAAATACCACCTATAGTAGTGCTATTATAGTACAATCCATATGATCACTTCAATTGTTCTGGGTTCTGCACTAGTAGAGGTTGGCACTAGTATGGCTAATAAAATAAATTGGAAATGGATAATTTAATAATTAACCCATTTATCTCAGATGCTATTTAAATTATTTTTAATTATTTGATTATAACAACATAAAACTTTGCTTAAGTTTCTTTTACTTATAGCTGTCATATACCTATATGACCAAAACAAAATAACAAAGCTAAACACCAATAAACTTCAAATAAATAGCATTTGTTTATGGGATGGATGATAGTTTTTTTAGTTGGCCATGTGGGTACTCCACTGGTTTGTGTGACGATTCAGTGTTCCTACTCTATTTGAACTTACGCTAACCATCGCTCATACAGCTCCAGGGGTGTTGTTTGGTATTAGTGTAGTTTTCAATACTCCACTGAACTCAGATGGTAGATATGGTTGTAAGGTAGTCATCTATTTGATCTAGAATGTGCATTTAGATTTTAAGATTGTCATTGAAATGCAAAATTAAAAAGTTTTTATAGCCAACAACTCTTGAGACTTCTTGACACTACATCTGTTCTAGGGCTTTTAAAGACTCTGAACTTGACAAATGCTAAAATGGCAGAATTTGATTGTGTGTCTCATAGCCCCGCATCACTTTTTTTTCCATGGATAATATCTCACGACTAGATTTTCTATGCATTACTTTAATCCAATAACTCAGAGTAGGATGTGGCAGTAAGATTTTTGTTTTAAGATGCTGCCTCCCCAGGTATATTTTATCAGGAATATTTAGTATTATTATAAAATTACCAGGTAAAGAGGGAATTTTATGGCCACATGTTTTTGTGTGGAATGTGTTTTCTTACCTACTTCATTGTGTTGAATTTGTGAAAGAAACGGTTTTGATATGTCTTCAGAAATTGCCTGCATTGATCCATGTTAAAAAAAAAAAAAGAATCTCACACTATAAGAGTTAGACATAAATTGTGTTTGTTAGTGAAGGGTACTCCTATCAATTCCTTTGTTTCTCATTTTCTTTGAATTTGGAACATTCACTTACATCTTTTCCTTTTTGTGTTTTCTGTATGGTGTACGTGGGTTGATTCCCCCCCCACCCTTAGCATTCAATATGCTTAAGTGTTATTTTATATATTGGATTGAATTTTTATGGATGTTATTTGTCTTAACAAAATATGTATCTCTACAGAACATTGGCATAGCTTCCTAGATTCCTTGGTGGGTTAGTGTGTATATGAGGTAGCATGGTTATGGGTGGCCACCTGAGGACTAAGGAGAAGGCAGGGAAGGACATGGAAATGCTAAATTCTTTTCCACTTTCTGTATTTTTAAGAATGACTACTACATCTAATATGTTTACAAAACCCAAACCTGTTCAAACTCATGCATGTTTTCATATTAGTTTATATGGGAACATTCTCAACATTGATCCTTCAGAATTATGTATGGTCATTTTATTTGGGCAACTTAGGGCTGCCTCATTTGGTGAATAATTTCCTTTAAATGTATATGTAAATGAAATATGTTTTTATTTGGAAAAATATAAGATCATACTGGGATTTAATGTGTTTTTATTCATGTACAACATAACACTGTTTTTTTTTTTTTTTTTAAATTGGACTTCAGGGCCTGTATAGGAAAGACAGTTACTTTATCCTGTTTTTGTATCTCAATAACTTAGAGATGAGTGACCTGTTGAAGTAAAAGCCTAGAGTTTAGAAATGGGAAAATTGTTTATGCTGTTCTCAAAAAGGAGTTCTAAGTTTGTTGTTAGTCATTGCCACATATTCCTTTTCTGATTGGCAGGGCTGTTCACTTAAATCTTCACTGAAGTGATGTGAAAAATTTTCAAAGGTGGAAGAGTGAATAAGTATAGTAATTCAGTCACTAAGCACGCCTATTGGAATTCTAACAGTGTAACAAAATTTAATCTAATATATAATACTTTAACCATAGCCTGCATTTTAAAAATAATACAAATATAAGGTATAAAATGAAAATAATTTTCGAGTTCTCATCACTTCTGCTTTTATTATGGAGTGTGTTATAATCTCCAAGGACCTGGTTAGTTTTCTGCCTTTTCTTTTCCTAATGGCAACAGTACAAGCATCCATCAAAAATGAGAACCAGGGCATGAGCGGATCTTTTTCAACTCAGTTGATTACTCAAAGCAGGGAAGTTGTAAAGGAAGCCTGCCTCTGTTTTAAATGTTAGAAAAATGTTAATATTACTTGTGTTTTTCCTTTTGGAGAACAGTAGTAGTCTAGAGGCAGCGCCTCTAAATTTTTTTTGTGTGGCCTATGAGTTCGTTTTGTGTGGCAGTAACTATTTGTGGTCCTCTTTGATTCAGGACTCTCTAAATGGCTTTTAAAGACTTTAAACTTCAAATCTTTTCTATTACAACATTCCCTTGGTTTCGTATGCAGTTACTTCTGGCTTGGTGAGACAGTTTTCCTATCATTGTGTTGTCCTCAGTGATTATTGATTAGAACTCCTTTGTTAGCTGGGCAGCTCAGAAAAACATGTGGGGATCACTGTATTACAGAGACAAGGATTGTAGAAAAAGGGTCAATTATAAATTTGAATTTGTTTTCCTTGTAAGACATTTAGTATCCCTAATGATGGTGTTTCTACTCCAACTTACATATCTTTTGGCCTCTGCCATTTGGGTCACCAGAGAAAGTATCTTGTAAGAAGTAAAACTAACTGGTAGCATGGAGAGCTGTACTGTATACTCAATTTCCTGTAGTGTACATTATGTGGAAGACCATACGTTACTGCCATGGGAGATGTATTAAGAATGGAAAATAAGGTGTAGTTGTAATAAATCATTAAGTAAATTTATATAATATTTTCTACACTAATATAAATATGAAAAATCAAAGTTTGAGTTACTGCCCTCATTAAAAATGAGTACAGTTGACATTTATTGTTTAGACCTTGATCAAATTGCTATTTAAGCTTCTAAACTTTTAATTTCTATTGTGATCTAATAGCTGACAGGAGGAGGTTGAACTAGATCTCTTAACTCCCTTCCTTGCTCTAAAATTCTGATGCCTTGGGGTATTTTTATTCTTTATGGTTTGATATGATTCCCTTGTTATTGAATGCAGTGCTCAAATACAGCATTGACAAAACAGGCATCTACTAGTGAGGCAGAAATAGATAAGCGGCCCCTATGTAGGTAACATATTTGAGGAAATTGGCAGTTATTCCTCTTGGAGTTACTTTCCCACTTAGGACCAGTGTACTGTCAGGTAAATGGTGTGGCTCATTTATGTTTGGCTTATGAAAACAAAGCACACACCAGGGACTACAGGATAATAAATAAATCCTTTTCCATTGTTGATATCACTGAAATGATGGTAATTGGGCATTATCAGTACAGATCAGCAACCCAGGTTTAAAAACTAGGCAATAGAGACCAAAAAACCTAAGAAGGAGTTCCTGAAAGCAGAACATAAGTTACTAGTCAACTAGAAATTATCTTCTAGATGAAGGGGGAACTTGATATTGAAGGTCCTATGAGACAGAGGTTCTCCAAACATCTTAATTGTGTAGGCAAGGTGGATCACATTGGGGCTAAGTAAATGATCCTGATTAAAGTTAGGGGAATGCAAAAGTTAAGTCTAGATCATGGTCTCAAAGTTTTTTCATTTATGTAAAAATTATATACATTTTTACCCTCACATTTATAATATTTTTCTTCCACATCCCCATGGAGAGTGCTTGTCTGTTTGGCTGACAGTGAATACTCCTTTCCTTCTTTCCTTTCTCGGACAATAATATTGTTTTAAGCATTTCTTAAAATGTTGCCCATAGGCTGTGCTGGCTTTCCTTCGCTGTATGTAGAACTCTTTGATTCCCTTTAGTCAGAGTGTCTTTGAATTTCCCTATTATGCCTCAAAGAAATTGCAGCCACAAAGTGATGGTAGAACATATAGATCCTCTTCTCTTGTAACTTGTTGCTACTCCCTGTTCTCATTGATCCTTGAGCAGGCTTCACTACAGTGCATACCTCCCCACAGAGGGGAAGCTGGGTGTCCTTGGCAGAACAGGTGCTCACTTAATAGAGGCAGAGAAGGGTCTGGTGCATTTTCTTCCTCTGGTTGCAATTCCTTGGTGGCCAGATCACACTGTGCGCTGTAGCAGTAATATTGAGAAGTTGATTGCTCCTCTAATGGAGCAGGATGCCATTGCTGTCTTAATTTCATAGGCCTTCCTGAAGGTCATCCTCACTTGGGCTTATTTTTACTGTCTCTCTCTTCTTGGTTTAATAAGAATCCATAGTAACATAAACATTAAAAAAACCTATCCAAAAGGTATTCTATTACTAGAAACAATATGCCAGTAACAAATAAGTCTAAATAATCCAATTACCAGGTAGGAGATCTGTGGCCAGAGATGTGGGGGGATACTTAACATTTCAGAATGCATACTAAGTATTTACCGTATCAGTTAGCACCATGCTTTTTCCAGTATTGAATTTACTGGGCTTCCTTTTAAAATGGGCTAAAAAGCTTTTTATTTTAGGAGTGTTTTATAGTCATACTGTGATACAACTAAACTCATTTGATGAAAGAAAAGTGGACTTTCTTAATTGAATCTTTCAATTGAATTGTGACTCATTGGATAGTAGATGCTATTTTAATTGGGGATTAAGTTGGAGAGAATTTGATTCTGTTCAAAATTTGTGTGTAATAAAAAGCAAAGAGTTTTTATTACTAATAAACATTCTGTATCTAGTAATAATGCATTAAATAGTTCAAGCTTAACATTTTTGTGTAAGGATAGCTGATATTCAAAGGGAATATGCTGTGTTCTAACAGGTTTCAAATTACTTACAGAAAATACAGATTGACAAAGGTTAACAATTCCAAATATAGAGCTTTCATTATTTTATTGGCCAAGTGAATAAAATAATGAGAATTGTAGAAATAGGCCATTTGTTTTTTGAGGGCAAAACAACTAAAACCTTTGGTGGATTCCTGAATGGAAAATCTTTAGAACTTCCTTTTACAGGCAGTATATATTGTGTTAGATAGCAGCAAAATGAAGTTTGCCTCCTTCAATTTTATTTTATTTTTTTAAAAGCTTGCTTGCATGTAATCGTTAAAACATTTCATAAAAGGAATGTAACATCTTCCAGTGAATTTTGGGTTTAGCCACATACAGCACATGATGAAGAGTGAAAGAAATGGTGACAGGTGGTGTTAGTTAATTTTGATGTTGGGGGGAATAGCATCTTGAGGTTATTTTTTATAAAATTCTCTCCAAGGCACAACACTTCTACTGTTTGCAAATGGGCCAGGTGCGGTGGCTCTAGCCTGTAATCCCAGCACTTTGGGAGGCCAAGGCAGGTGGATCACCTGAGGTCAGGAGTTTGAGACCAGCCTGGCCAACATGGTGAAACCCCGTCTCTACTAAAAATACAAAAAATTAGTTGAGTATGGTGGCGGATGCCTGTGATCCCAGCTATTAGGGAGGTTGAGGCAGGAGAATTGCTTGAACCCAGGAGGCAGAGGCTACAGTGAGCTGAGATCGCGCCACTGCACTCCAGCCTGGACGAGAGCGAAACTCCATCTCAAGGAAAAACAAAACAAAAATGAACAGAATAGCTACCCTGATACTGTGAATATAAGCAATCACTATAATTTGAGATGGAATGAGGTTTAGCATGGAATGTATTTCTCAGCATTACTTTCTTTGATTTTTGTCTCTTAAAAACCTGTAAAGATTTGAGAACTGATCATAAAATAACTAATTGAATAAAACGACTTGAATTGTCATCTGTAGTGATTCTAGTGTAAATTATGGCATAAAATTAAAACTTCGGAATGAAAAAACCTGTTCTTCAAAAGTATGTTGTCTTATTTAATGACAACATGCAAATGAAAACAAATTTACATTTATTGCAATTTAAAATTTATTTCTTTGTTTTAACTAAGATATTAACTTTTATGCAAGGTTTCAATAGACCTTTCTATTAAATAATATACTGAAGAAGCCAAATTTCTTTATAGACCTGAAAGAGAGGCAGAGTAATCTACAGTAACATTATTTTGCCAATTCCCTAAAGCGGGTTTGTACCCTGACTCTGAGGGAACAAATATAACAGTCTATTATTTGCTTAAAATTGATGGAGGTGTCACAGCAGTGGTAGTGGGGCTGAATTTACAAAATGGACTCCTTCAGTTTATTCTAAATCCCCATTCTGTCCCTCCCTTGGATTCTTTAACCTATATAAAATTAATCATAGTATTTGAATAGGGATAAGAAAAAGCATTAAACTTAAAGTTTCACATACTGTAGTAGTTTTAGAAGATTACTTACAGCTCTTTCAGAAACATTACTTAAGACTAGATGACAAGAGACTATTAGTTTTAAGGTAAATTAGGTGCTCTGTCTTTAAGTTTGGCCCAGAAAAATATTTGTAGCCCTAGTTTCACTTCAGCTGCCAAAATGCAATAAAATATTTCGACTGCAGTTTGAGAAATTTGACAACCTCATATTAAATTCAAGAGTTAGCCTGTATTTAATATGTGTCAGTTTACTTCTGCATTGCAAAATACATGGCTAACCATGGTGTTTGACACTTGCTCATGCACTTTTTATCACAGGAGCATCACAAAATGATTTTTTATCTGCATTGAAATAAATGAGATTTTCTGTTAAACCAGTGCAGCAATTCAACAATCATTTAGTTCCTCACTGTGTGTTTTGCACATTACTTGGTGAAGTGAGAAGGTATTAAATGGACTAGAAGATTAGGTTAGGTGTTACTGTAAAGAACCTTAAATTGTTGTTGAATTTGGACACATTTTAAGGAAATTTAAGTAGCTTCTCATTCATTTGAAGTATTGAATCATAGGTGCCTACAAAATTGAATGACCAAGGTTCTCCACAGTTGCATTCCTAATTGCTGCAAAGCCTTACGTAAATGTTACTGATAGTGTTTTACTTTTAAAAATGATTTTGATTTGGGTAGATTTCCCATATTATCCACAGGCCTCTACATTTATAGTTCTGATTATATTTTCCTTTGTTTTTGTTTTTGTATTCTTTCTCCTCCACTGTGATAACCTAATGAAAGCATAATTTTTTTGTTTGCTTTTATATCCCTCACAGAATCCAGCAGTTTTCCTTAGGAAGAAGTAAATTAACATGTGGTTATACAATTCATTTTGTATCGTATCCGCTGTTACGTATTCCCAGTTCTTCCTTTGTAATGTCTTACCTGTAACTTTGTTTCTGTCTTAATTGTCATCATGAGAATAAGGTAGCGCAGGATTTTTAAAATTCTTTACTTCACTCAAGTACATACCTATGTATTTAAACTCTTTGCCCTGGTGTCTTTGGAGACTCTTGCTTGAAAACCATTGTAAATGCTGTATTCTTTAGATCTCATATTATCATAATGACTATTAAACATATATAGAACACACACTATGTGACGTGTTTGTTTTCTCATTGTTACTATTTAGATTTGGAGTAAACTTGTATTGTAATAACTTGGGAGTGAGTTTTATTTGTGGTTCATAAAATTTTTAACAAAACGATATGGAGGAAATTGTAGTTTAATGAATGTTGTGGTTTTTGAGATTAAATTTTAATAAGCCGGGGAAGTGCTATGTCATATTAGGAAGGGTCATCTATTTCATCACAGTATTTCCTGCACCAGTGCCTGGTACATAGTTAACACGCCTTGAGTATTTGAAGGACTGACTGAGTGAATGAGTAACTGAGTACCATTACACATCGTTGGTAGAGTAATTAACTGGCTAGACTGGTGTGCAGCCATCAGGACTTTAGGTGCCTTGTTGGTTAAAAGCTTTCAGGTTGGCTTTAAAAGTATGGAAAACTTAATTATTTTGAGAACCCTTTTATTACGTAATAGATGCTAATTGATGTCTTTTAAGTGGTTGTTGGGGCAAGGGACTCTTCCACTTTTGGGGTACCAGCTGTTTCAGCTCTTATATTGGAGAGTCAAAAGAAAAAGCAGTAGTAGGCACTAAGTGATGTGGACCTCATCATACATATCGCCAATTGTCTTTAGCATCTTCATATGATTTCAGCTGCCAGTAAACAATTCATCTCTGGACTTATCTTACTGATTATTGGAAGTCAGCATTGGGATTACTTGTTTTATACTGAGATGCTTTTGGAGAAAAGGCAGTATAAAAGTGCATCTGTGCTAAGGAAATTCATTTTCTCCAATGAAGTAGAAGTCAGATTTCATGTTCCTCTGGGACCAAACAATAAAACCCTGTCTCCTTTCCAATTCCAATAAAGGTATTCAGGCATCGTAGACTTGATAACATGTGGTGAGTATAAGACGTTGATTACTATGAAGAGAGGAAGGTGGAAAAGATTAGACTGCCTTCACTGAGATCTACTGGCAGCATTAGCACCTACAGTGGGGATAAAGGCTGTCTCCTCTTAGTTTTCAGTAGTCAATCCCAGAGAGATGTGCTTTATGCCCTAGCAGTTCACAACTGCAAATTTCAAACTTTTTAGTTTTCCTACTTAGATTCTGCTATTTTATCCCTTGTCCTTTACTTATGCTGTTATGAATACCCTTTACTTAGCTTTTTCCTTGCTGAATTAACTCATGATTTAGTACATTAAGAGTTGTTTTATGTGTGGAACTGCCTATATAATCCTGGACATATACAGTTGACTCTTGAATAACATAGGTTTGAACTGTGAGAGTCCACTTAAATGTGGATTTTGTTTTTCAATAAAAGTAACCCCAAGTGTGCCTGCCTCTCCTGCCTCCCTTTGCACCTCCTCCACTTCTTCTGCCTCTGCTACCCTGAGACAGTAAGACCTGCCCTTCTTCTTCCTTCTGTTCAGCCTACTCAGTGTGAAGACAACCAGGATGAAGACCTTTATAATGATCCACTTCCACTTGATGAATAGTAAGTATATTTTCTCTTCCATATGACTTTCTTAATAACATTTTCTTTTCTCTAGCTTACTTTATTGTAAGACTGTGATATATAATACATGTAACAAAATATGTGTTAATCAACAGTTTATGTTATTGATAAGACTTCCAGTCAACAGTAGGCTATTAGTGGTTAAGTTTTTGGAGAGTCAAAAGTTACATGTGGATTTTTGACTGCCTGCCTGGGGTGGTGGGAAGTGAGGGGAGAGTCAGCGCCCCTAATTCCTGTGTTGTTCAAGGGTCAGCTGTGTATCTGTGGTTTCCAAAGTGAGGAGCAGGATGTTCCTTTGGGATGAAAGAATGAATTAGATTTTTCTATCTATACATTTATCTTGAGAGGAGAAAAGGTTTTCTCTTGTTTATTAGTTGAGTTAACACTGGCACTGTTGTGTCATGTCAAGTGGACGTTTGTTATTATATACAATATGAGAAGTGTCCTGAGGAAGAGTGGGAGTTGGTGAAACAGAAGAGTTTGTATCAGTATCCTGACTTATTTATTGGGTTTCTGCATATTGCAGCATATTTTAATTTGTCTTGCGGCCTGGTTATCTTAAGCATCCAAATTTTGTGGTTATCTTTGATGTCATAAGAGCATACTTGAGGTAACTAAGTCTAAGATTAAGCAATATTTCTACCTCATGTACAATTTAAGACCCTTGGAACACTATTCACTTTTCCAATTTAAATGTTACTACATTCCGTATTTTGGTTTTATTTTTTAAAGTACTTCCAACATTAGTTGTTATCCTCTTCCTCGGATATCCTATTTCCTCGTCTTTTTTTTTGCCCCGTTTTAAAAATGGCATTTTGATTTTTAATATGGTATTTAAAAATACCATATTTTAGTAGTTATTTCAGTGAGAGTATGTTTTGTTTTTGTTTTGTCTGTCTGAAAATGTTTTTGTTTTGTCTGTCTGAAAATGTTTTTGTTTTGCTCTGAAATGTTGATTGGGTATGACAGTTATCTTTGTTAATCTGAAGGTATTATCCCATTGTCTTCTGGCATGTGCTATAGCTTGGACTAGTCTAATTGTCATTCTCCTGAAGTAATTTGAATTTCTGATTGCATTTAAAATTTTGTATACATAGTCACTGATTGGGATTCATATTTCCTGTGTCTGAGGATTCATCTCTTTCATCAGCACTGGAAAATTATCAAGTTTTTTTTTTTTCCCTTCACGACTTCAACTTGATATGTTTCCTTTGATTTTGTTGATGTTGTATAATCTCTTTTTCATATTTTTATTCCTTTATCTGTGCTTTCTTCTGTTTAATTGCTCAGATTCATCTTCTAGTTCATCTCTGATGTCTTTTTCTGTATCTGATTTATGGTTTTAACCCAAGCATTGGTGTTTAAATTTCACTGCCCATTTTTCATTGCAATAAGTTATATTTGGTTCTTTTTCTAATCTGCTCTTAAAAAAAAGTAGTATCTCATTTTTGTGATGTTGATTTATTCTCTTATATCTTTAGTAAATGTTAAACTTAGTTATTTTGTAGTATCCGTCACATAATTCTATTATCTAAATGTCTTGGAAATATAAACTCTTGTGTTTTGTGTGTGTTGATTTTCACAATGATAGGTTGTTTCCATTTTTTTGTATAATTTTGTATTATGAACTCATCCTTAGGTTGCTTCCCACCGTGGGAATTTTGTGTGGTCTAGTTTGAAAACATGTCCCTCCAGGTCCTATTTTATATTTGCTTACTCTTTTTAGTCTCAATAACCCTGTAAACTCTCAAATTATTGAGGGGCTCCAAAGAGCTTTTGTTTCTGTGGGTTATACCTATTGATATTTACTGTATCAGACATTAACACTGAGATATTTATTCAATACTTGTTAATTTAAAATAATAAACTCATAACATGCTAACATAAAATAGTTAATGAAAAATAACTGTCTCAAAATAAAAAAAATTTAGTGAGAAAGTGACAGCATTAGTTTTGCAAATCTCTTTAACATCTGGCTGAAGAGTTGAATACAGCAGGATTCTAATAAAAGCTTCAGAGTTCAATCTGTTGCAACATGTTTCTTTGAAAGGTGTTAAGAAAATCTGGCCTCACACAGATTGGTAGTGGGAAAAGGAGGAGTGTTTTTATTTATTTATTCATTCATTCATTTTAATTTTTGTGGGTACGTAGGTGCATATATTTGTGGGGTACATGAGATGTTTTGATACAGGCATGTAATGTGAATTTAACACATTATGGAGAATGGGCTATCTAGCCCCTGAAGCATTTATTTATCCTTTGAGTTACAGACAATTTGATTATGTTCTTTAAGTTATCTAAAAATAAACAATTACTATTCACTATAGTCACCCTATTATGCTATCAAATAGTAGGTCTTATTCATTCTTTCTAACCACTTTTTTTTTGTACTATTATGCTATCAAATAGTAGGTCTTATTCATTCTTTCTAACCACTTTTTTTTTGTACTCATTAACCATCCCCCCTCCCCCCTCCCCCCTGCACCAACCCCCACTACCCTTCCCAACCTCTGGTAACCATCCTTCTACTCTCTCTGTCCATGAGTTCAATTGTTTTGATTTTTAGATCCTACTAATAAGTGAGAATATGAAATGTTTGTCTTTCTGTGCCTGGCTTATTTCACTTAACATAATGTTCTTCCAGTTCCATCCATGTTGTGGCAAATGACTGGATCTCATTCTTTTTTATGGTTCACTAGTACTCCATTGTGCATATGTACCTCATTTTTTTTTTTAATCCATTCATCTGTTGATGGACACTTAGGTTGCTTCCAGTGTTGCAACAAACATTGGGAGTGCAGATGTCTCTGATATATTTCCTTTCCTTGGGGTATATACCCAACAGTGGGATTGCTGGATCATATGGTAGCTCTGTTTTTAGTTTTTTTTTGTGGAGTTTCCAAAGTGTTGTCCAGAGTGGTTGTGCTAATTTACATTCCCACCAACAGTGTATGAGGGTTCCCTTTTCTCCACGTCCTCACCAGCATTTGTTATTGCCTGTTGTTTGGATAAAAGCCATTTTAACTGGGGTGAGATGATAACCTCATTGTAGTTTTGATTTGTATTTCTCTGATGATTAGTGATGTTGAGCACCTTTTCATATGCCTGTTTGCCATTTGAATGTCTTCTTTTGAGAAATATCTATTCAACTCTTTTGCTCATATTTTGATCAGATTATTAGATTTTTTTCCTATAGAGTTCTTTCAGCTCCGTCTATATTCTGGTTATTAATCCTTTGTCAGATGGGTAGTTTGCCAATATTTTCTCTCATTCTGTGGGGGTGTCTCTTTACTTTATTGATTGTTTCCTTTGCTGTGCAGAAGTTTTTTCTTTTTTTTCTTTTTTTCTTTTTTTTGAGATGGAGTCTCACTCTGTCACCCAGGCTGGAGTGCAGTGGCATGATCTCGACTCATGGAAAGCCACGCCATTCTCCTGCGTCAGCCTCCCAAGTAGCTGGGACTACAGGCGCCTGCCACCACGTCCAGCTAATTTTTTTGTATCTTTAATAGAGACAGGGTTTCACTGTGTTAGCCAGGATGGTCTCGATCTCCTGACCTCGTGATCCGTCCGCCTCAGTCTCACTGTGCAGAAGCTTTTTAACTTGATGGAGGGTTATGAGAAGGAGACTTGGTTCTGGATTAGATGTTGTGGGGTCAGTGGGATGGTCTCTTATTGTTTATCTAAATGAGTGTTGTATTTCAGGAGAAAGGAATAAATGGAGGCTATAGCTTTAATTGGTAAAGAAGTTGTAGTCGTTCTTGTTAGCAAGGAAAGGTAGATATTTGGTTATTTTTGTTTTTTGGACAATGTTGATATGTTTGCTTGTTTTTGTCTTGATCCATCATGGTCAGTAGTCTTGTCTGATGTTGATGTTCTTCTAACAGGAGGACATCAAGTCTTTGCTGTGAGGGTCAGGTCTTAGCAACATCAGGGCTCTGCTAACGGTACTGGTTTTGTAGCTTTTAGGCTGTTTTTAGCTTGTAGTTTGTCCATTGTTCTTGCATGTAAAGATGGTGCCCATGCAAAAAGGTTGTAGTTGATCTTGTGACTCAACCTCACAAGTGTTTTTCCTCAAGGTAACTATTAAACTTCACTATGCAGCAGAAGTGCTTTATGCGTAGTTGTCACGTGGTCACACAAAATATTAAAAAGACTAGTCGTGAGATGAATAATGTCTCCTGCAAGAGATACACCCATGACCTAATTATCACAACCTACGAATATTACCTTAATTGGAAAAAGGGTCATTGCAGATATAATTAAAAATCTTGAGATAAGGAGATAATTTTGGATTAGATTAGGCAGGCTCTAAACCTAATGACAAGTGTCATGATGGGAGAGAGACACACAGGGAAGACAGAGACAGAAGGGGAGAAGACGCAGAAGAAGAGGAGGAGGCAGTGTGATCATGGTGGCAGAGATTGAAGTGATGTGGCTACAAACCAAGGAATGTCTGGAGCCACCAAAAGCTGAAAGAGGGAAAGAATTGGTTCTCCCCTAGTAGCCATTGGCAAGGACTGTGGCTTTGTTAGCAACACTTGGATTTTGGGCTTCTGGCTTCTAGAACTTAAAATAAATGCCGTCGAAAGGCCATGAAGTTTGTGGGAATTTGCAGCCTACCGGTCTGTGGCCTGTTAGGAACCAGGCCACACAGCAGAAGGTGAGCGGCCAGGCGGGTGAGCGGGCATTACCGCCTGAGCTCCGTCTCTTGTCATATCAGCAGCGGCATTAGATTCTCATAGGCGCTCGATCCCTATTGTGAACTGCACATGTGAGGGATCTAGGTTGCACATCCTTATGAGAATCTGACCATCCCCTGTCAGTGGAAAAATTGTCTTCCACAAGAATAGTCCCTCGTGCCAAAAAGGTTGGGCATTGTTGGTAAGGTACCAGTAGTTTAACCCACGATTGCTTTTGTATCATAACTGAAAATGTCAGTATGGTAAAATTTCGGTATTATTGTGAACATAGTTTTGACCATGCAGACTTCTGGAAAGGGTATTTGAAGAACCTGAATAGAAAGTGAAGAACTTTCTTCTTTGAGACTCTGGAGTACAGGATATAGTAACTACTTTCTCACTGCCAACTCAGATATAAAATGTAGCAGAGTTCCTTTTATTAATACATATGATATTTGTTGAATTAGAGCTTGTTACTTATTGTTATGAACTTACGATACTGGCATAAGTGAGGAGTAAGAATGGTTTCTCTCATCATTTGAGTGAAATCTACATGTAAGAGTAAATCTTTTAAGTGACAGAAAGCAAACTCAACCCTAACTTTGTTTTCTGCTTACTTAGACAATTGGCTATTGATTTTAGAGATTTACCTGTCAAGGTAGCTGCACTTACTGTTGATGTCTTGTCTTTTGGTGAAGTCTCCCTATCTACCTGTGTTCTTTAACTGCCATGGTTCTCTCTTGGAAATAATAAATTTTTTTATTTATTGTTCTATTCTTCTACCAAATGATGTCTAGGAGATCCATGAGCCTTTTCTCTCCCTTTTCTGCTTCCAACTGTGTGTACAGATGTGTGCACATGCACACATACTCAAATGCATAAATGCACTTTTCACTTAGTTATCTAGTTGTCAGCTCTTCCTGGAATCTGATTCTATCATTGCACAACTGTATTGATAAATATTGATTTCCACAGATACTTAAGGGTTGGCATTAGTCTATTTACAGCCAAATTGAGGACAAAATATAGTAAGGGCATTTAATTTGCATCTTAGAGTTCCCTATAAAAAGGAACATAAAACTTACTAATGTTTTAAAAAAACTCATTTAATTGCTTTGGAGTGTACCATAGTGCTGAGAAGGGAGACCCAGCCCTTGAACTGCTAGTAGGAGGGTGAATATCGGGCCCAGAGAAGCATAAAAGAAGATGTCTTGCTTGTATTAGATGAGATAGGAAGTACTGGTTCCCAGAGACACAAAGAATGGTGAGCTAGAGAGTGTGTCATAGCTTCAAGGCTGCATACATGAAATCACTTGGTGACTAGAGCAAAGTGCTCTTATGACAAACTTCAACAAAAAAAGCAAATTATTCCTAAGCTAGTACTGTGTAAGCAGTGGACAACCAGAAAGAGAAATCAGGCTTGTTGTCTTACTTGTTACCAGTAGGAAATGTGGAATAACTGAATTGTTGCTGTATTCTGTATATAATAAGGAAATACGTTTTGCCTTGGTTTATTGTACCTTGGGAAGTGAGAATCATTTGTTCATTGGCCGTGTGACTAGGCTGGCATCTTGTGGGCATTGCCCTTTGCAGGCACTTAGGTTGCAATTTTCTTTACACTGCTGAGTTGTTTACCATTGTTCGTCCTTTTAACACAGTATACCATTTTGTTAACATCTGTTTGCTGTTATCTTTTTGTCCTTGGAGGCTTATGCTTAAATTATTTCTTGCATGTTTTAAAATTTATCGCTTGCTGGAGGAAGCAGAGTTGGGTATACTCAATACATTATTTTTAGCTGGAAATATCTGCCTTGATTTAGCCCTTGGTTTTGAAACATACCTGAGGTATTGTTTTTTTTTCCTTGCAATTCCTGGAATCTGTACTTGATTACGTTAGAGAACATTGTTTGGCATTTCTTTTATCCCCTCCAAACTATAGGGTTAAAAGGGATAAAAACCTTTTAACCCTATAGTCTTTCTTATGCTGTATTCTGTGTTTTCTCCAGCCAAGAAGACTTTTCAGCTGTATTTTTTATAGTTTGTATGATGGAGAAATATAGGCTGTTAAATATGCTGTTTCATACCGTTCTCCGGTATGCTTTGAGGATGGATTTGGGCACACATGCAGCCTCTCTCCTCTCCAGTGAAAATCACATACTGCTCATTGTTAAGAGATTCCTGTCTCTGCCCTTACTGAGCTTCTAACTTGCTGGAACAAGAAGACATATCAATTTATATGACTGGGTGGCCGGCAGCATATTGACCTTTGGTAATTTGTAACAACTTTTCTTACCAGTCTGTGCACTTGTTGAAAGGAAACACTACCAACTAGGTCTATGAGTGACAGAGACCACGGTGAAACGTTTTCAAAACCTATTCAGAATTATACATTTGCTTATTTAAATGGTTGGTATTGCCAAATGCATCCTATTCTGAAAGAAGTGAAATAAATGTGAAAGCTGTCTTTAGCTCATTAGTGAAATGAAGGAAACATTGTGAATATCAGGATGACTTGTCATGGGAAATTAAATTGAATTGAAAAAATGTTAATCTCAAATAGATTTTGCTCTGCATACTGACTTTTTAAATGTGTCAGGTTTACATTGACAGAAAGATCTATGAAGACTTTGACCTTCACAAGGAAACACACAGTTATTTGACAATTGAGTGAATGTATTAAAAAAAAATGAGTGATATACCCGTCTGTTCAATTTGGGAGTTGGTGATGAGCTAACTGAAAAGAGTGGAAAGGAAGAATTTATGCTAAGCCTTGGTATCTGAGTCAAGTTATGGAGACCTATGTGTCTGTTTGATTAATTGCATCATCTCAAAGCAATGCCTAACTATGCTGGTTAGCTCAGGTAGCATGTGAGAACAGGGAATGCATTGACTTTCTCACTTTGCTTCCTAAATACTATTTAAAATTTAGATATAGCTATGATATTAAAAAATGTGACTTCAGATACTTATTCTCTATTTTTGTTTTTGTTACTTTCTCAATATAAATCTGCATATTTTTAGTTTTAGTACAATAAGTTAAATTTTTCTTTTTTACATTTTGAGGCATACTTTACATGCAATATAGCCACATATTTTAAGCAAGACCCTGTGCCCTTTCCAGCCCCATGTCCTTCTACGTGACTATTATTTCATTTACCATGGCTTAGCTTTGCCTGTTTAATAACTTCGTATAATCGTACAGCATGTATTATTTTTATGTGTGGTTTTTTTAGTTCAACACAGTGTTTAAAAAATTCATTATGTTGGACGTATCAGTAGGTACTTCATTTTTGATGCTGTGTTGTATCTTGTTGTTTGAATATACAGCAATATGTTTAGCTGTTCACTTGTATATGGACATTTGGGTTATTTCCATATCTGTTGTGGTTTCACCCTTAGTTTTGAGAAACACTCTTCAGTCCTGGAACCTTTCTGGGATTTCAGTGGAAAATCCAAAGTGCCATCAAAGCTCTTCTAATTTGGTGGAACTCAGACTCCAAACTTTGTCTTCCTTTCAGCGAGGGTCAGCTAAAATCTCTTTTCTGTTCTTTCTTCGAACTGTTATTTCTATCTGAGCTCCTTGGAGTTTTGCCACTTGCACGTGCATTTCAGCTGTCAGCCAAGAATTTGTGGAGGATTATACAGATATCTGAGGTACCCTTTCTGTGGCTCACTCTGTTTTGGGATTCTTAATTTCTAGATTTTCTGGGCCTGTGGTGCATGTTCTGACTCCTTAGACTAATAGATAGTGGCTTTCTGTTTCAGTGCTAGCAGTCCAAGCCAAGTAGAATGGCAGTGACCTCAGGGAAAAAGTGGGTACAGTACATAGAATTCCAAGAACGGCCCCTCGAGATTCCATATCCTAATCTTTGGCACCAATAAATATAATATTATTCCCATGAGTATGTTAAATTATTAGTTGACATTAAGATGGGGGATTATTTTGGTGGGCCCAATACTCACGTGAGATCCTTTAAAAACTCCGAGGGTTTTCTGTGGCTGGTGGCAGAAGAGGAGCTCAAATTTGAGGCATAAGGAAGATTTGGCATGTTGTTGCTGGGTTATAGATGGAGACTTTGTGAGAAGGTGGTCTAAAGAAACTGAGAGAAGTCCCTGGCTGACAGCCAGCAAGAAAATGGGGACTTCAGTCCTACAACCGGAAAGGAAGTAAATTTTGCCAACAACCTGAATGAGCTTGGAAGTCAAGTTTTCTCCAGAGCTTCCAGGTGGGGACTTGGCCCAGCTGACATTTTGATTTCAGACTTGTGATAACCCTGAGCACAGAACTTGGCCATGCTGTGCCAGCTTTCTGACTTATGGAATTGTGAGTGAATAAGTGGATATTAAGTGGCCAGGTTTGTGGTAATTTGTTATGCAGCAACAGAAAACTAACACAACAGGGATTTCCTGCAGCATGATTTCCTTCTTTCCTAAGGCTGTCCTTCAGTTTCTGCCTGATTTTGCTTATTCTGTAGTCCTTCAAATAGTAGATTTATATATTCTTTGTTGGATTTGTAATTGTTGCTATGAGAATGTTTGATATAAATTATCCTGCCATTACTGGAGCTAGAACTCAGTCTCCACGTAATTTGAGGGTTCTTTTTTCTTTTTCTTTTCTCTTTCTTTCTTTCTTTTTCTTTTCTTTTGAGATAGAGTCTTGCTCTGTCACTCAGGCTGGAGTGCAGTGGCACCATCTCAGCTCACTGCAACCTCTGCCTCCTGGATTCAAGCGAATCCCAGCTTCCCGAGTAGCTGGGATTACAGGCGCGTGCCACTGCATCTGGATAAGTTTTGTGTTTTTAGTAGAGAAGGGGTTTCACCATGTTGGCCAGGCTGGTCTCGAACTCCTGACTTCAGGTGATCCACCCACTTCAGCCTCCTGAAGTGCTGGGATTACAGGTGTGAGCCACCATGTCTGGCCAAGGGTTCCTTTTTCACTTTAAAATTATTTACACCACTCCTATTCAACATAGTGTTGGAAGTTCTGGCCAGGGCAATCAGGCAAGAGAAAGAAATAAAGGGTATTCAGTTAGGAAAGGAGGAAGTCAAATTGTCCCTGTTTGCGGATGACATGATTGTATGTTTAGAAAACCTCATCGTCTCAGCCCAAAATCTCCTTAAGCTGATAAGCAACTTCAGGAAAGTGTCAGGATACAAAATCAGTGTGCAAAAATCACAAGCATTCCTATACACCAATAACAGACAAACAGAGAGCCAAATCATGAGTGAACTCCCATTCATAATTGCTTCAAAGAGAATAAAATACCTAGGAATCCAACTTACAAGGGATGCGAAGGACCTCTTCAAGGAGAACTACAAACCACTGCTCAGCAAAATAAAAGAGGACACAAACACATGGAAGAACATTGCATGCTCATGGATAGGAAGAGTCAATATTGTGAAGATGGCCATACTGCCCAAGGTAATTTATAGATTCAGTGCCATCCCCATCAAGCTCCAATGACTTTCTTCACAGAATTGGAAAAAACTACTTTAAAGTTCATATGGAACCAAAAAAGAGCCTGCATTGCCAAGACAATCCTAAGCCAAAAGAACAAAGCTGGAGGCATCACGCTACCTGACTTCAAACTATACTACAAGGCTACAGTAACCAAAACAGCATGGTACTGGTACCAAAACAGAGATATAGACCAATGGAACAGAACAGAGCCCTTGGAAATAATACCACACATCTACAACCATCTGATCTTTGACAAACCTGACAAAAACAAGCAATGGGGAAAGGATTCTCTATTTAATAAATGGTGCTGGGAAAACTGGCTAGCCATATGTAGAAAGCTGAAACTGGATCCCTTCCTTACACCTTATACAAAAATTAATTCAAGATGGATTAAAGACTTAAATATTAGACCTAAAACCATAAAAACCCTAGAAGAAAACCTAGGCAATACTGTTCAGGCCATAGGCATGGGCAAGGACTTCATGACTAAAACACCAAAAGCAATGGCAACAAATGCCAAAATTGACAAATGGGATCTAATTAAACTAAAGAGCTTCTGCATAGCAAAATAAACTACCATCAGAGTGAACAGGCAACCTACAGAATGGGAGAAAGTTTTTACAATCTACCCATCTGACAAAGGGCTAATATCCAGAATCTACAAAGAACTCAAATTTACAAGAAAAAGTCAACCCCATCAAAAAATGGGCAAAGGATATGAACAGACACTTCTCAAAAGAAGACATTTATGCAGCCAACAGACACATGAAAAAATGCTCATCATCACTGGCCATCAGAGAAATGCAAATCAAAACCACAATGGGATACCATCTCACACCAGTTAGAATGGCAATCATTAAAAAGTCAGGAAACAACAGGTGCTGGAGAGAATGTGGAGAAATAGGAACCCTTTTACACTGTTGGTGGGACTGTAAACTAGTTCAACCATTGTGGAAGACAGTGTGGTGATTCCTCAGGGATCTAGAACTAGAAATACCATTTGACCCAGCCATCCCACTACTGGGCATATACCCAAAGGATTATAAATCATGCTGCTATAAAGACACATGCACACGTATGTTTATTGCAGCACTATTCACAATAGCAAAGACTTGGACCCAACCCAAATGTCTATCAATGATAAACTGGATTAAGAAAATGTGGCACATATACCCTATGGAATACTATGCAGCCATAAAAAAGGATGAGTTCATGTCCTTTGCAGGGACATGGATGAAGCCGGAAACCATAATTCTGAGCAGATATCACGAGGACAGAAAACCAAACACCACATGTTCTCACTCATAGGTGGGAATTGAACAATGAGAACACATGGACACAGGGTGGGGAACATCACACACTGGGGCCTGCCGGGGGTGGTGGGAGGGGGAAGGATAGCATTAGGAGATATACCTAATGTAAATGCAGCACACCAACGTGGCACATGTATACATATGTAACAAACCTGCACGTTGTGCACATGTACCCTAGAACTTAAAGTAAAATAAAAAAATAAAAAATAATAAAAATAAATAAAATTATTTACATGGGCTTCATGTTAGTTGCATAACATTTCATTGTTTTGGAGTACCATTTTCCTAATCTTAGCTGTTGGGTTGTTTCTGAATTTCGCTGCAAAAAAGTTGCAGAGAGATCCTTGAGAGTCTGTTTTTTGGCTCTGTTGTTTTATTTACTTGGAGGTAAACTGGAGCAAAATTCCTGGGTTAAAGGGATTAGAGGAAATAACAAAACCTTTGGAGTGAGATGAGTTAGTATTTTACCTTCCGTTATGCTACTTAACTGTCCGTGAGACTGTGGCAAGTTAACCTATTTTAGCCTCATTTTCTCCTTATGGGAAAGGATAAGAAAATCTATCCTTAATGGTTGATCAAGGATTAAACTATAAAGTTTTTAGAAAGCATTGGCAAAGAGATGGACATTTAATGGTAGATGAGGAGATGAAGATAAGGACCATAGCTATCGATGTGTTTTGCCACCTTGCTTTCCAAAAATAAAATGCCAATTTATGGTTGGGTTGCTTTCTTTGAATAGATCTTCTGAATAACTAATGAAACAGAGATGAGTATGAATAGAGCACAGGACAGGGTGGCTGAAGTTAAAGAGGAAGGAACAGAGTTTAATATTTACATATCAGTTGTTGAGTCAGAGCTCCAAAAGATATATAATTATTCTTTTCTCTTGAGTTTGCACATCTAAAGGAAATCCTTTTGAGATGACTTTAAGAGGGGTGGTTTTTGGACTTTTTTTCTTCTCTGTGCTTCCCTATAGGTCTAGTCTGTCTGTTTAGGCCAGAAAACATCTTTGCTTGGTTTGTTTCCAGTTTAGCTGTCATTTGAATAATCCAGAGTTCTAAGAATTTTATACTGGAGATCCTTATCCAGTGCTAATTGGATTGTGATTTTCCTAGTGTACCACATCCTCTATAAATATACTTGTCTTTGTGTCCCAAAGGATGCTATTTTATAACAACACATTGAAATAATACTTTCTCAGTATTCTACTCAAGCACTTTATTAATGTAGATGCTTAGGTTATATTGTTGGAAAATGTTTCTGTTATTGACAACTTGCTCTTTTTATTTGGATGGGATAGTAAATAAAGGTACTTAATTTACATAAGCCTATTAAATGAAATTCTCAAGAGGAATGAATTTTAAATGCAGCTTACAATGTGGTGACAGCTGATTCACTTATAAACAAGCTCGTTTAGTGGAATTGGACTAAATGAAAAAACTTTATGCAGTAGTTTTTCTTTTTTTAATTTCAGCTTTTATTTTAGATACAGGGGATACATGTATATGATTGCTACATGGATGTATTGGACCTTGTAGTGAGCATAGTACCCAAGAGGTGGTTTTTCAATCCACACCCTTTTCACTCCTTCCCCTTTCTAGTAGTCTGCAGTGTCTCTTATTCCCATTTATGTCCATGTGTGCTCAGTGTTTAGCTCCCACTTATAAGTGAGAACATGTGGCATTTGGTTTTCTGTTCCTGTGTTAATTCATTTAGGCTTATGGCCACCAGCTCCACCCATGTTGCTGTAAAGGACATGATTTCACTCTTTTTTATGGTTGTATTGTATTTCATGGTGTATATGTGCCATATTTTCTTTATCCAGTACACCATTGATGGGGACCTAGGTTGATTTCATGTCTTTGCTTTCATGAATAGCATGGCATTGAACATGTGAGTGCATGTGTCTTTTTGGTATAATGATCTATTTTCCTCTGGGTATGAACCCAGTAATGGGATTGCTGGGTTGAATGGTAGCTCTTATACAGTTGTTTCATAACATAATTGTTTGTGGTATATGCCAAATAGTATTCATAATACTGAACTATATGGAGGGATTATCTCCATTCCTATCAACCCCTTCCTTTCTCTCTTCTTACCACAGAAGGTAAAAAGAAAGAGATTTTGTTTTGTTTTTCAAAATCGTTCTACCAATTAATAGTTGAAATGCCTTTTTAAAAGAGAAACTAAAAGGCTGAGCTTTGGTTATCAGAGGTTCTAAAAAGTGTAGTTAAAACTGTAAACCAAAGAATCGCCCTCTCACCCCCATTGTTTGTTTCCTTTCTTGGATGAACAATTTGCAGTCTTGGTTTTGTTTTTTTTTTCTGGTAGAAATAAAATTAGCGAGATAATGAATAGGACAACTGAATTGCTCTATTTTTAATTTCTCTTTAAAGGTGTTAAAAATGCTTCTTCTGTAATATTATCAGTAAGGACTTTGTTTCCTTTGGCCATTGGGAGTTAAGAGCACAGCCGTCAGAAGAGATTCTTCTGGGATACTCCCCTCTGACCTCCACAGAAGTAAATTTTCTCCTTGAGGAGGCTACTTGCAAATTCAGCTAATGCAGAACATGGTGTTCATTTGTTTAAAGGCTTGCAGCCCTAGGGCACAGATGTAACGTATCTGTTCTTCCAATTAATTTCTGACAAGCTCAGGTGATGACTTTGATATGTCAGACTGTATATGGTATAGGCCTTGGTTACCTTAGAAACCATCTCTTTTCTTAGGTTTCTGCTTAGGAATTGTAGTTCCCACAGGCAGTTCTGCAGAATATTTTCAGAACTGAATTTGGAAATGGAGGACCCTGTATTCTTCAGAGAAAACACAGCCTCAATTTCTTCTATCAATTCATTTAGCTATCATCCTTGAATATCTCTGGGTATGGTTAGAATCCCTATGATAGGTTTTCCTCAGCTGCAGTTAAATTCTAGACTATTTCTTCATCACTTTAGAGTCTGCGTTCTCATTTCTCCGAGATCCCTTTCTGCATGCTTCTGTTCAGTACATTTTATTAATCTGTTGGAATGCACCTTAGACAATACTCATCTACCATATCCTTATAGCTGCTGTTTTTTAATGTTAATTTGTGTAATACTTAGCAATTAGCTTGGCATATCCTGTGGAGAGAAGTAAATATTTTTTTTTTACTCACAGGTACTATCATATTCATTCCACAAATGAATATGTTCCTTTTTATCTTCCCTTTATAGTGACCCTGTTTGCAGTGTCTACCAAATGACTAACCAGTAGTAAGCTTCAATCAAATCAAGAGTATTTAGAGTGTGAGGAGGATTGGGAGCAAGACTCTTGGGAGTATACATAGAATCCAATAAGAAAGAAGGGTAGGAGGAAAGTCAGAGAGACCAAATCACGAAAGAGTAGTCAGTGGTATCAAGTTAGGCTTGACAGGTTAACTTCTCTGCAATCCTTCCACTCCCCTCAGTGCTCACTGACATGGTCTGAGTTTAGGTCATTTCTCTATTCTTCACCCACATATGCTTTGTCTGGAATATCTTTTCTTTCTTTGCTTACAATGTTATGCCTTCCTGTTAAACCTGTAAAACTCAGATTATTCATCGCCTCTTTGAATCCGTTTCCTAGTGCCCACTCACTATGATTTCTCTTTGTCATGTATAGGTGTCTATTACTGAACTTACCAAAATATTAGAATTGTTTCTGTGACTATTTCTTCTATTAGACTGTGAGCTTTTTAAAGATATGAGACTGTTTCAGTCATCTTTATACATCAAGTGCCTAATGTAGAATTTAGCTTTAATGGAAGCTTAAAAGTAATCAAGAAAGAAATATGAAGACTTAAAATGGGCCATTAGTTTTAGCAATGAGGGAATAATTGGTAATCTTTACCAGAAGGTTTTATTCAAGTGGTAGAGGTGGAGAGCTATATTGAAGAGCGTTGATAAAGGAATAGAGGAGAGGATGAGTGGGCCACAGTTCAAGAAGGCTGGCTGTAAAAGGCAGGAAGGTGGATAGTGGAGGCTTGTAGCTGGCAGGACAGGAATATGTATATGGTGCAGTCTTTTGGATGTACAAACTGGGAGATATGAACATGTTTTATAGCCTAAGTGAAGAAGCCCTTGAAGAGAGTAGGGTTCAGGAGGATGTGGGAGGGGTTAAATCCAGAGTATGGGAGAAAGATGAGCTTTTTAATAGCAATCTTAACCATGCTTATTTTTATTTTTTATACTTTCAACTTTTATTATAGATTAAAGGGTACATGTGCAGGTTTGTTACATGGCTGTATTGCATGTCTGAGGCTTGGGGTACAAATGATCCTGTCAGATAGTGAGCATAGTACCCAATAAGTGCACGCCCCTTTTCCTCTCTCCCGCATTTAGTAGTCCCCAGTGTCTATTGTTCTCATCGTTATGTCTGTGTGTATTCAACGTTTCCATTCCCATTTAGAAGTAAGAATATGCCACATTTTGTTTTCTGTTCTTGCATAAATTCGCTTAGGATAACGGCCTCCAGCTCTATCCATGTTGCAGCAAAGGACAGCCTAAGGCTGCGTAGTATTCTGTAGTGTATATGTTCCACATTTTATTTATCCAGTTCATCATTGAAGGGCACCTAGGTTGACTCCATATTTTTACTATTGTGAATAACACAACATTGAATATACAAGTACATATATGTTTTTGATACTGTAAATTATTTTCCTTTGGTTATATACCCAATAGTGGGATTGCTGGGCTGAATGGTAGTTCTGTTTTAAGTTCTTTGAGATATCTCCAAACTGCTTTCCAAAGTGGCTAAACTAGTTTGCCTTCCTACAAACAGCATTCCCTTTTCTTGGAAGACTCTGTAACATCTTTTATTTTTTTGACTTTTTTAGTAACCTCCATTGTGATTGGTGTGAGATGGTATCTCTTTGTGGTTTTGATTTACATTTTCTTTGCCCTCCTGAACACCCGCTTGTTTTTGAGACAAGGTCTTGCTTTGTTGCCCAGTGTGATCTCAGCTCACTGCAGCCTTGATGTCCTGGGCTTAAGTGATCCTCCTGCCTTAGCCTCCAGAGTAGCTCTTTGCCCATTTTTAAATTATATTGTTTGTTTTTTGCTTGTCGTTTTAAGTTCCTTGCAGATTCTGGATATTAGACTTTTGTCAAATGTCAAAATAATTGCAAATATTTTTTCTCCGATTCTGTAGGCTGTTTACTCTGTTGGGAATTTCTTTTGGTGTGCAGAAGCTCTTTCGTTTAATTAGGTCCCGTTTATCAATTTTTGTTTTTGTTACAATTGCTTATGGGGACTTAGCCACAAATTATTTGCCAAAGCCAGTGTCAAGCAGGGTATTTTCTAGGTTATCTTCTAGGATTTTTATAGTTTGAGGTCTTACATTTAAATCAGTAATCCATCTTGAGTTAATTTTTGTATACAATGAGAGGAAGGGTCCAGTTTCATTCTTCTGCATATGGCTAGCCAGTTACTCTGGTATCATTTATTGAATAAGGAGCCCTTTCCCCATTGTTTATTCTTGTCAATTTTGTTGAAAATCTGATGGTTGTAGGTGTGTGGGTTTATTTCTGGGTTCTCTGTTCTGTTCCATTGGTCTATATGTCTCTTTTGTACCAGTACCATGCTGTTTTGATCACTGTAGCCTTACAGTATTGTTTGAAGTTGGGTAATGTCATCACAAATGGATGTTGGATTTTATCAAAAGGTAAATTTTCTGCCTCTATTGAAATGATCATATGATTTTTGCTTTTGATTCTGTTTACATGGCGAATCACATTTATTGATTTGTGTATGTTCAACCAACCTTACATCCCAGGAATAAAGCCTGTTTTATTGTGGTGAGTGAACTTTTTGATGTGCTGTTAGATTTGGTTTGCTGGTATTTCGTTGAGGATTTTTGCTTCTATGTTCATGAGAAATATTGGCCCGAAGCTTTTTTGTTGTTGTTGTTATTGTTGTTGTTGTTGTATGTCTGCTAGATTTTGGTATCAAGATGATGCTGGGTTCATAGAATGAGTTAAGGAGAAGCCCTTCCTCCTTGATTTTCTTGGAATAGATTCAGTAGTACTGATATCACTTCCTTTTTGTACATCTGATAGAATTCGGGTGTGAATCCCTCTCGTCTGGAGCTCTTTTGGTTTGGTGGATTTTTAATCAGTGATTCAATTTCTGAACTTGAAAGTTGTACTTTCTTCCTGGTTCAATCTTGAGGTTTTGTGTTTCCAGGAACTTATCCATTTCCTCTAGATTTTCTAATTTGTGTATGTAAAGGTGTTCATAATCGTCTCCAATCTTTTATATTTCTGTGGGATAGGTTGTAATATCTTTGTCACTTCCGATTGTGCTTATTTGGATCTTCTGTTTTTTGTTGTTGTTAATTGTGTCTCAATTTTATTCAATTCTTATTTGATTTTAATTATTTCTTCTACCAGCTTTAGAGTTGAATTTTTGTTTTGTTTTGTTTTTTAGTTCCTCTAGGTGTGATGTTAGATTCTTGAGATCTTTCCGACCTCTTGATGAAGGCATTTAGTGCTATAAACTTTCCTCTTAACATCACTTTAGCTGCCTCCCAAAGATTTTTATAAGTTGTGTCTCTGCTTTTGTTAATTGCAAAGAATTTTTATTTCTGTCCTGATTTCATTGTTCATATAATGAACAATGGTTCATTCAGAAGCAGGTTGTTTAATTTCTATGTTTTTGTGTTATTTTTGAGAAATCTTCTTTATCAATTTCTGTTTTTATTGCACCGTGGTCTGAGAGTGTGTTTGGAATTATTTCAATTTTTTTTTTGAATTTACTGAAACTTGCTTTAAGACTCAGCATGTGGTTGATCTTTGAATATGTTACATGTGCACCTGAGAACAATGTATATTCTATGGTTGTTAGGTGGAGTATTCTGTAGATGTTTATTAGGTTCAGTTGTTCAAGTATCGAGTTTAAGTCCAGAATTTGTTAGTTCTCTGCTTCAGTGATCTGTCTAATGCTGTCAGTGTGGTGTTGAACTCTCCCACTACTATTGTGTAATAATGGCGGTGTAAGTGTTTTCGTAGGTCAGGAAGAACTTGTTTTATGGATCTGGGTGCTCCAGTGTTGGGTGTGTATATGTTTAGGATAGTTAAGTCTTCTTGTTGAATAGAACACTTTATCATTATGTAATGCCCTTCTTCGTTCTCCCTGATTGTTATTGGTTTAAAGTCTGTTTTATCTGATACAGGACTAGCTACTCCTGCTCTTTATTTTCCATTTGCATGATAGGTCTTTATTTTTACTTTCAGCCTGTTTGTGTCATTACATGTGAGATCCATCTATTGAAGGCACCAGACAGTTGGGTCTTGCCTTTTTATCCATCTTGCCATTCTATGCCTTTTAAGTGGGGAGATTTAGAACATTTACATTCAGGATTAGTACGATATATGAGATTTTGATCCTGTCTTTATGTTGTTGGCTGTTTGCTTTGTAGAGTTGGTTGTGCAATTGCTTTATATTGTCTGTGAGCTATTGTGCTTGAGTGTGTTTTAGTGGTAGCAGGTTTTAAACTTTTATTTCAATGTTTAGCACTCCCTTTAGGACCTCTTGTAAGGCTGGTGTGGTAATGAATTCCCTCACTGCTTACCTGTCTGAGAAGCATTTTATTTTGCCTTCACTTACAAAGCTTAGATTGGTGGGATATGAGGTTCTTGGCTGTAATTTATTTTCTTTAAGAATGCTGAAAATAGACCTCCAATCTCTTCTGGCTTGTAAGGTTTCTTCTAAGAGGTCTGCTGCTAAACTGATGGCGTTCCCTCTGCAGGTGACCTGACCTTTCTCTCTAGCTGCCTTTCAGGTTTTTTTCTTTTGCATTGACCGTGGAGAATCTGATGACTATGTGCCTTGGAATGGTCATGTTGTATAGTATCTCGCGTGGGTTCTCTGTTTTTTCTGAATTTATATGTCTTCCTCTAGCAGGATTCGGGAGATTTTCGTAGAGTATATTCTCAAATACATTTTCCAAGTTGCTTACACTCTCTCCTTCTCTCTCAAGAATGCCAATGAGCTGTAAACATGGTCTCTTCACATAATCCCATATTACTCAGTGGTGTTTTTTTTAATTTTTAATTCTTTTTTATTTTTGTCTGGGTTGATTTGAGAAATTGGTCCTCAAGCTCTGAGATTCTTTCCTCAGCATGCTCTATTCTGCTGTTAATACTTTTGATTGTAAGGGGCTGGGTGCGATGGCTCACACCTGTAATCCCAGCACTTTGGGAGGCTGAGGTGGGCGGATCACCTGGAGGTCAGGAGTTCAAGACTAGCTTCACCATGGAGAAACCCCGTCTCTACTAAAAATACAAAGTTAGCTGGGCGTGGTGGTGCATGCCTGTAATCTCAGCTACTTGGGAGGCTGAGGCAGGAGAATTGCTTGAACCTGGGAGGTGGAGGCTGCGGTGAGCGGAGATCGTGCCATTGCACTCCAGCCTGGGCAACAAGAGCAAAACTCCATCTCAAAAAAAAATACTTTTGATTGTATTATGAAATTCTTGAAGTAAATTTTTCCCTTCCAGAAGCTCAGTTTGGTTCTTAAAATGGCTATTTTGTCTTTCAAGCTTCTGGATTGTTTTACTGTATTCCTTGGATTGGGTTTCAACTTTCTCCTGCATCTTGATGCGCTTCCTTGCCATCCAGATTCTGAATTCTTTGTCTGTCATTTCATACATCTAAATCTGGTTAAGAACCATTTCTGGGTTTATTTGGAGATAAGGGAACACACTGGCTTTTTGAGTTGCCAGAGTTCTTGTGCTGATTCTTTCTTGTGTGTGAGGGCTAGTGGCTAGTGTTCCTTTAAATGTGATGTAAGTTGGGTATAGTTAGTTGGCTTTGTTTCTGGGTGTTTACAGAGGATCATGACTCTATACAGAATCTTTATTTGTAGCTAGATTTTTTTTTTTCTTTTTTGAGCTGGAGTTTTGCTCTTGCTCCCTAGGCTGGAGTGCAATGATGTGATCTCGGCTCATTGCAAGCTCCATCTCCCAGATTCAAGCATTTCTCCTGCCTCAGCCCCCTGAGAAGCTGGGATTACAGGTATGCGCCACCACGCCTGGCTAATTTTTGTATTTTTAGTAGAGATGGGGTTTCTCCATGTTGGTCAGGCTGGTCTCGAACTCCCGACCTCAGGTGATCCCCCCACCTTGGTCTCCCAAACTGCTGGGATGACAGGCGTAAGCCATGGAGCCCAGCCCTGTAGCTAGATTTTTAAAAGTTTTCACTGGTGTTGTATACTGGCAAAATGTTTTGGTGGTGTATTTTGGGCTGCAATCCAGTAGGTGGTGCTTCAGAATGTTGGTCAGCAGATAGGCTCTTACTTAGCCACACAACTCTTTTGTACTTTGGTTCTTTTGTATTTTGGTTCTGTTGGTAGTTAGTGTCTGTGTTGGTGGGAGAGAGAGATGACCCCTTCACCTGGTCCACTCCTAGGCCATGAAGGAGCCCTGTCCAGTCACTGGCTCCATGCCCACATTTCCTTTGTTAGATGTTCTGGTCCCCGGGGCTCTCTCAGGCAGGGGCAGATAGGCCGTACCCTCTCTGGGCTGGCCCTGTTGAGTGAGACACACCCCACTCCCCTGCTGGTCTGTGAGCCCAGGCATCAGAGGTTAGATTTTGATGTGACAAGCTGTCCTCATTCCTTTGAGACCAAAGGAAGTTCTAAATAATTGACTTAGAATTGAATCTGGGTGCAGAATCCCTTAAATCAGGTACTTCCTGTTCTTGTCACACCTTCAATCAGAGCCAGAGATGAATAGTTTGCCCTAGCAGCAGAGGATTGGTGGCAGTGGCTTTTACTATGTTTAAGTATAGAATTGATGAGCGGGACAAGTAGGAGATGTCGTCACCTATTTGTTTCATTTTGGTTTTTGGAAATGTCCTTATTTATTTCAGACTAATCTATCTAGGAAACAGATCTTTAAAAACTCGTGAAAGATGTGTGCATAAGATTATTGTATATACTCTGCATCATTCAGTTTCAAAGAAAAGTCTGCAGCTATCTTGAGAGGCAATTGAGTAGGTACCTGATACCTGCCTATCTGTCCATATTCAAAATTAGACATATTTTATAAGTTGTGGAAAATTATTTGCATATGCAGTAAAGTGACATCATTCTTGTCTGGCTCATGTAAAATTGGCTTGTCCTTTGTCAGCAGAATGACTGAAGTTCTACTTCTTGTTTATAAAGCCAAACTTGTATCTCAAAAATTGTATTGCCAGGGATAACATGTAGGATGCTTTTCACTGCAGGTAACAGAAAACACGACCATAGGTGGCTTAAAGAACCAGGAAAACTTTGTTACTTACATGATGAGAAACCTGGATGAAAGGAAATTCTAGGGCCGATTAACTCAATAACATTGTCAAGATCAAGGTTTTATCCATCTTTCTGCTCTGACAATCTTAGTTCCTCATTGATTTGGCTTTTGTCCTCAGACTTGTCCCCTCTTGATTAAAAGACCCTGTAACTCCGAACCAATTAAATCAGAATAGCTGGGGAGGGGGACCAGGCATTAGTCTTTTAAAAGCTTCCAGGTGGTTTTATTGTGCAAGTAGCTAGGATTGGGAACACTGAGTTACATCAATTAAGAGCCACTCAGGGGTTTATAAATCTAACCCCCCTAAAGCACATGGTCATTTGGTAACCAAATAAATCAGTTCTTTTAGCAAGTAATAAGGGTGAGAAATTCAACCATAGATGTCCGCCCTACTCCAGATGATGTAAGGTTTTTAAAAATTTCGCTTATTCTTTGACTTCATGTATGTTCACTATCATTACTTAAAAAAGAACTATGTAAGTGGTTTCTACCCCCTCACTTTAGAGGCAAATCTCTGGATAGGCAGTTTTATTAACCCAATGAACTACAAAGAGAATATTTTGGGCAAGAAGGAAGCAGAGGTATTAAAGCATACTTTTCAGTCATTTTATGTGCAGATAAATAACAATATTTAAGGTAAATATAATCTATATTGCCTTTTCTCAGGTGGATTGTAGCCAACTCTTTATCAAAATTGATTCCCTTCTTCACAAATTGTATCAAATATGCTCTCTGTTGTGGCTTTCTCCTCTCGTTTTCTGTTTTCAAATGCATTCTCCCTTAACTAACATGTGCCAAAAAGAATATAATGTCCCTCTTGAACTTTGTCTCATTTAATGGCATCACCTTGTTCCAGAGGATGTAGGTGTACTCAGATGCATGCATTTGTGGCCAAGACATTTCTGTCATACTTAGAGTCTCTGGCTGTTTTTCACTTCAGTGCACAGAATTTGTGCCACTTCATGGTCTCTCTTTTTGTTTTTTTTTTTGACTCTTAAAATTTACCTTAAGGTACCTCCCACCCACACACACTTTCAGTCTCTTTTTTAGTTTATCCCCAACAGTGCTTCTGGAGTTATCCAAAAATATAGATGAGATCCTGTTGTCTTCACATTGCCCTAATGGTTCCCATTTATCTACAGAATAAAAATCCAATGTGGTTGGTTGTCTTTACTAAGATAGCGAGAAAAATATTTCCCATCTCACACATTCTACTTTATAATGTGGTTTTGATATTCTTCCCACAACGAGGTGGAGTCTGTGTCCCTCTACTAGAATATGGACAGGCTTGTGATAATGGTGGAAGAGATACTAGTGTGACTTCCTAGACTGAGTCATAAAAAGTGTCTTGGCTTCTGCCTGTACATCTTGGCATGCTCATTTCGGGGCCACAGCTACCATGCTGTGGGAAAAAGCCCACCAATACCTTAGCCTGTAGCCTTTGCTAAGCTTCTAGCTGACAGCCAGCATCCGTGTACCTGCCAAATGGGTGATCTGAGAAGTGGATCCTTCAGTTTCCCTGCCCTCGCAGCTGATGCTGTGTGGATTATGGAGATGAGCCATCCCTGTCAAGTCCTGCCTACATTAGAAAGTCATGGGGGGAAAAGTGATCATTTGTATTCAAAGTGATTATTTGTATTCAGAGCATCTTTTTTCTTTTTAAAATCAGTTTTAGTGAGCTATAAGGTATGTATAATACATTCACTAATTTTAAGTATACAATTCATTGAGTTTTAACAAATGTTTGTGGTGTTTTTTCATACTGCCACATTTAAATTTTGTTGATTTTCATCATTTCATAGAGTTCTCTTGTATACCTTCCAATTTAGTTCTGTCACCATCCTCAGCCCCTGGCAACTGACAGAAAGCTAATGTGCTTTCTGTCCCAATAGTTTTGCCTTTTCCAGAATGGAAACCTTGTTTCTCTACTAGTTTTGGGCTAGTGTAAATAAACTTGCTATGAAGATTCATGTATATGTCTTGTGGATGTAGGTTTTCATTTCTTTTGAGTAAATGCTATAGGAGTGGGATTTAGTTATATGATAGTTAGTGTTTAAATTTTTAAGAAACTACCAAACTGTTTTTCAAAGTGGCTGTGACTGCGTATTTGACTTTGCCAGCAGTGTATGATAGTTCTAGTTGTTCTTCATCATTGCAAGCTCTTGGTATTGTCATTTAAAAAAATATAGTTATTCGAGTGGCTACAAAGGCTTATCTCATTGGTGTTTTAATTTGCATATTTCTGTGACTAATGGTGTTGACATCCTTCATGCGTTTACCTTTTATATATCATTTTTGAAGTTTCTATTCAAATCTTCCATTTAAAAATGGGTTGTTTATCTTTCTAATACTTAGTTTTAAGATTCTTGACTATATTTGGGTATAAATTCTGTATCATATAGATTGTAAAGTTCTTGGATTCTGTGGGTTGTCTTTTTACTTGCCTGATGGTGTCCTTTGAAGCACAAAGTTTTTAATTTTGATGGAAATCCAGTTTATCAAGTTTTCTTTTACAGTTTATATGCATTATGTTCTTTTAAAAACTTTACCTTAACAAGGTCACAAAGGTTTTTGTCCTTTGTTCTGCGCGCTTTCTAATTTTTAGCTCTTGGATTTAGGCATATGATCCATTTTGATTTTAAGTTTGTATATGGCATGAGTGAAGTTTCAAAGTTCATTTGTTTGTAAAATAGATATCAGATTGTTTTAGCAACATTTATTGAAAAGACTGTCTTTTCCTCATTCAATTATCTTGGTACCTTTAGAAATAAGTTTATCATATTCATATGAATACATTTCTCTTTCTGGAGTGTATATCCTATTCCTTTGATTATCTGTCCTTATGCCAATATTCTCTTGATTACTGTAGCTTTATAATCAGTCTTGAAATCAATGGATGCCCTTTAACTTTTGGTCTTTTTTTCAAAGTTTTTCTGGCTATTCTAGGTTCTTTTCACGTCCGTATATATTTTGTAATAAGCCTTTAATTACTATGAAAAGATTGCTAGAATTCTTGGGGAATTACTAATATTGATCAATTTGTTGGCATCTTGAGAATATTGTTTTCTGATCCTATATTTCCATTCATTTGGGTGGTTTTAAAAGTTTTTCAAAGCAGTGCTTATTAGTTGTTTTCATTGTATGTGTCTTGTACAGAGTTTGTTAAATTTATGTGGTAGCCAGTAGGATTCAATTATTAAAGAAAACTCAAAAGATCCAAAATGACAATGTCTAGAAATCGATGACCTGATGTAGGAAAAGGATGCAATACAGCAACAGGATTAGAGCATTAAAGATATGCGTCGTAGGCAAAGGCTTCCTAATAGCAAGGGGTCTAGAGGGACTGAGCATGACCTCTAATTACTCTCTCTGTTGGCCATGAGGCACCCTTTTTCTCTCAGGTGACACTCCACTGATATGTGCACAGAACCTGGGAGTGCAAAATGGAATCAAAGCTGGGACTCATTATATCCTGTTGACCAAATAGGCTTATTCTTTCACATAATGAGTCCCAGTGGTACAGCCCTCTGGTAGATTTCAATGAGACCAGATGCAAATCAGCAAATCTCACTGTTATCAGTAAACATTACCGACAAGCTGGTACAAACTGCCCTAAAACTTGCCTTGGATGTATTAGTACAAAGCAACACTATTAAGGAGTATATTTCATGACTTGACCCAGGGGTCTAGTGCCAAGTAGGTACACCTTTACCTCAACAAAAACATTTCAGGTAAATTTCAGGCGTGCTGGAATTAACTCATATTTTTCATCCTATTATAAATGGTGTTTTAAAAAACATATATTTCCAACTGTGAATTGCTTTTATATGGAAATAAAAACATGATTTGTGTGTACTGACCTTGTATCTTGTGACCTATTTTGAAATATACAATACATTCTTGTTAATTATAGTAACCCTACTCTGCTATCAAACATTAGAACTTACTTCTTCTAACTGTATGTTTGAGTTATTCCTTCTATCTAACCGTATGTTTGTACCCATTAACCAACCTCTCTTTATCTCCCTCTCTCCTCACAGACACCCTTCCCAGCTGTCTCTGGTACCTATCATTCTATTTTTTACCTCCATGAGATAAATGTTTTTTTTTTTTTACTCCCATGTGAGTGAGAACATGGGATATTTGTCTTTCTGTGCCTAGTTTATGCCACTTAACATAATGACCTCCAGTTCCATCCACGTTTCTGCAAATGACATGATTTCATTTTTTTAATGACTGAATAGTACTAATAATTCCATTGTGTATAGCACATATTCTTCATCCATTCATCCCTTGATGGATACTTAGATTGATTCCATATCTCTGCTATTGTGAATAGTGCTTGCTGCAATAAACACTGGAGTGCACACTTCCCTTTGATAAACTAATTGCTTTTTCTTTGGATGAATACCTACTAGTGGGATTGCTGGATCATATGGCAGTTCTATTTTTAGTTTTTTTTTTTGAGAGATCTCCATACTAGTTTTAGTAGCTTTTTTGTAGGTTTTTAAAGAATTTTCACATTGACAGTTATGTAATCTTTGAATAAGGATACTTTTTTGTCATCCTTACCAATCTCTATGCCTTTTGTTTCTTTTTCTTGCCCTATTGCACTAAAACCTCTAATACAATGTTGACTAGAAATAGCAACAGCCTTTTTTTCTCATCTTAGAGATAAAGTATTGAGTATCTCAGTGTTACATAGGATGTTACCTCTAGAGTTTTGGAGGTGTCCTTTATCAAGTTGAATAAGTTCCATTTCCTTCTGTTCAGTTTTTTTTTTTAATCACAAATGGGTCTTGAATTTTGTCAAATGCCTTTTTTACATTATTAAGACAATCCTTTATTTTTGGTGGGGAGTTTGTTAACGTGGTTAATGGTGTTTATTGGTTTTTGAATGTTAAACCAACTTTTCTTTCCTGGCATGTACCCCTCTTGACCATGAGTCTTTTTATATGTAGCTTGGTTCACTTTGCAGATATTTTAAGGACTTCTACACCTATGTTTGCGAAACCTGTTCCCCTATAGTTTTTTCTCTCTCTCTCTCTTTTTTTTTTTTGAGACAGGAGCTCACTCTGTTGCCCAGGCTGGAGTGCAGTGGCACCATTTCGGCTCACCTGTAACCTCCGCCTCCCGGGTTCAAGTGATTCTCCTGCCTTAGCCTCCCCAATAGCTGGGATTACAGGCATGTGCCACTGTGCCTGGCTAATTTTTGTATTTTTAGTAGAGGTGGGGTTTCACCATGTTGGTCAGGCTGGTCTTGAACTCCTGGCCTCATGTGATCCGCACACCTTGGCCTGCCAAAGTGCTAGGATTTACAGGTGTGAGCCACCACACCTGGCCTAGTTTTCTCTTTTTTTATAATGTCTTTTTCTGGTTTTGTTCTTGGTAATGTTTGACTCAGAATGATTTGGGAGGTATTTCTGCTTCTGTGTTTTACAAAAGTTAGTGTAGCAGCATTTTTTTTTCTCCAAATTGTCTGGGCCTGGAAATTTTTTTTTTTTTTTTTATGGGAGGGTTTTTATTTTTATTTTATTATACTTTAAGTTCTAGGGTACATGTGCACAACATGCACATATGTATACATGTGCCATATTGTGTGTACATATGTATATGTACATATGTATGCATGTGCCATGTTGGTGTGCTGCACCCTTTAACTCATCATTTACATTAGGTATATTTCCTAATGCTATCTCTCCCCCCTCCCCCCACCCCACAACAGGCCCCAGGGTGTGATGTTGCCCACCCTGTGTCCAAGTGTTCTCATTGTTCAGTTCCCACCTATGAGTGAGAACATGAAGTGTTTGGTTTTCTGTCTTTGCAATAGTTTGCTCAGAATGATGGCTTCCAGCTTCATCCATGTCCCTACAAAGGACATGAACTCATCCTTTTTTATGGCTGCATAGTATTCCATGGTGTATATGTGCCACATTTTCTTAATCCAGTCTCTCATTGATGGACATTTGGGTTGGTTCCAAGTCTTTGCTATTGTGAATAGTGCCTCAATAAACACGTGTGGTGCATGTGTCTTTATAGTAGCATGATTTATAATCCTTTGGGTATATACCCAGTAATGGGATGGCTGGGTCAAATGGTAATTCTAGTTCTAGATCCTTGAGGAATCTCCACACTGTCTTCCACAATGGTCGAACTAGTTTACACTTGTGGGAGGGTTTTTAAATAACAAATTGATTTTTTTTTCTAATAAGTATAGAAGTGTTCAGTTTCTTTTTAAACAACATTCAGCAGTTTATACCTTTCAATAAATTTGTTCATTCCATCTAAATCACCAAATTTGTTGATAGGAAGCTGTTAATAGTATTTCTTTAATGTTCCTTTAATGCCTGTATGATCCGTTGTGATTCTCTCTCTCTCTTTCTCTCTCTCTCACACTTGTGATATTGCTAATTGTCTTTGTTGTCTTTCTTCCTGATTCAGGAGAAAAGACATCAGTTTTACTGACGTTTCATAGAGCCAATTGTGGGTTCATTGGTTTTCTGTGTTACATTTTTGTTCCGTGATGACAAAACTCTTGTGTTCTAGTTGATTGTATACTTCTGTTTTATCCTTTCATCTTCCAGCAAACATATGCTTTTGGGGACAGATTTATTATTTTTCTTCCACTGAGTCTTGAATTAAATTGTACTCAGTAATGGTGGATGAAGGTCTTGGAAACTGCCATAAGTTGATTTATTCTTATGTCTATCACAAATAGAATTCGATAGCTAAAATGACATAGAAAGATTTTTATTATCTGGGATGACAGACTTGCCTTTTTAATCTAAAAACTGTCTTTATAATGTTGTATAAATATTTGAACTTTATTCACATTCTTAATATACTTGAAATTAATTCTGGTCTCATTTCCTTTGGTATGTAAAGAGAGAATAGCCTTTTTAATGCATGCTATTGTTTGAATGTGTCCTCCAAAGTTATTGTGTTGGAAACTTGATCCCTGATGTGGAGGGAGGGGTTGGAGGTGGGACCTTTAAGAGGTGTTTCAGCGATGGGGGCACTGCCGTCATGAATGGATTAATGCTACTGTTGTGTGAGTGGGTTTCCTAAAAAAGGACAAGTTTGGCCTCTTCTTGCTCTCTGTTTCGTATGTGTGATGCCTTTCACGGTGTTATAATGCAGCAAGAAGGCCCTCATCAGATGTTGGCACCTTGATCTTGTACTTCCCAGTCTCTGGAAGTGTGAGGAAATAAACTTCTGTTGTTGTTGTTGTTCTTATTCTTCTCCCTCTTCTAATTTTTTTTTTTTTTAGACAAGATCTTGCTCTGTCGCCAGGCTGGAGTGCAGTGGCACGATCTTGGCTCACTGCAGCCTCTGCCTCCTGGGTTGAAGCAATTCTCCTGCCTCAGCCTCCTGAGTAGCTGAGACTACAGGTGCATGCCAGCATGCCCAGCTAATTTTTGTATTTTTAGTAGAGACGAGGTTTCACCATGTTGGCCAGGATGGTCTTCATCTCTTGACCTCATGATCCGTCTGCCTCGGCCTCCCAAAGTGTTGGGATTACAGGCGTGAGCCACCGCGCCCAGCCTAAACTTTTGTTCTTTATACATTAGTCTGTGGTATTCAATTACGGCAGCGCAAAATGGAGTAAAACAATATTTGCATCTGATTTAGGGCATTCTTTTAACCTTACTGCAACTCTTCCTCCCAAGCTGCAGTAGAGATGAATGCAAAGGAATCCACACTAAGATATAACAAAATAGATAAATGATTTATATTACAAAAAGACCGACTCCAGGAGATAGAGCTCTATTTAGTAAAGAGGGCTTACCTAGTACATTCAGCATATGACCAGAGTTATAATTTCATTTACAAATCTTTCAGAATTGCATCTATCATATAATTTGTAAGGAGAGCCATGTCTTTATCACAGCAGCTAAATTTCCAGGGAGTGTAAATACTTCTATTGTGCTTGGCCAACAGCAAGTAACACAACAGTGGTTATTTGCTGACCTTTTCAAATGTTTCCCAGATGAGGAAAGGTATAAATAAATAAAACAATTCTTTGATTTCTGACGAATGGCCTGGGGACTGAAGAGCAGTAAGCTGGGCCTCATTCTGCACCTTGTACAGTTTGTTGCCCCTTTATTTGCTTGTTCAGCCATTCCTCAGTAATGATCCCAAGGGAGCAGAGTGCAGGCTGCATCCTTCCTCTTACCCATGGTAGAAACCGCAGTCTCCTCTTCGAACTCAAACTTTTAATTCTCTTGTTTCTTTCCATTTTTCTAAAACTGTCACTTGACTCCCTATTTTCTGCTCTCACTTCCATTTATTTTCATATATTGCGTACACAGTAATCTTCCTTAATCAGCATTTTGATTGTATCATTTTGCCCCTAAACGTTCAATACTTACAGAAGAAAGGACTCTAAATGCCTAGTCTTCAATAAACATTCTTTTGGTTTTATCTTCTTGGGGCATGTGCTCATCCTCAGTTATTCACCATTTCGGTCTCAATGAATTTTTCTGATCTTTTCTGTTAAGTTTTGTAAAACACATGTAATATAAAATTTACCTTCTTAACCATCTTTAAGTGTATGATTCTATAGGTAAATATATTCATATTGTTGTACAACCAATCTCCAGAAATTTTTCGTCTTGCAAAACTGCAACTCTATACCTTTTAAACAGTAACTCTGTAATTCCTGGTTTTCTCCTCCCATCAGTCCTTGGCAGCCACCATTCTGCTTTCTGTTTCTATGAATTTGGCTACTCTAGATACCACATATAAAATGGAATGGTACAGTATTTGTCTTTTTGTGACTGGCTTGTTTCACTTAGCATCGTGTTCTCCCTCTTGTAGCATGTATCAGAATTTCTTCCCTTTTTAAGGTTGAATATCAAATCTTGTACGAGCGGTTTTGTTTGTTTTTATTTTTTGTTTTTAAGGGAAGAGGGTTGAGGATGTTAGTGTATTTGGTGTCTGAGAAGGATTACTACAGGTTGCAGGGTGGGGTAGGGGAGAAAAGATTTTGGGGCTTCTTAAGTTTTAACTTTGCATAGTGATTCAGTAACTTATTTTTGGAATCTTTTTTTTTTCCTTTACAGTCTTTGTGGTATCTATCTTTTCATTGAAAGCCTGTGGAAACTGTAATGTAAATATTGTTTGAAATCCTGATAACCCAGACAATATGAAAAATGTATCTTTTTGGAGTTCTGTTAATTATTGATAGAAATGTGAATGACAAAGTTTACTTTGATTATTTAATGAAACTTTTTTAATGTAATAAAGTTCAGGCTCTAATTTGGATAGAATATTTATTTTTCTATTTACTGAGTGGTAGATATGATAGTCTGCTGAAAGGGTTAGGTCTTGGCTTTTGTGATCTCAACCATCCAAAGAAGTTCTTTAGGAGAACTCTGATCACTTCACATCTACAAAGTGTTCTCCTTTTTCCTAAATGTGAATTCCGAAGTCCTTAGCATGCTTTATGATCTGATTCAAAACTAAATTTCTTATTCTCCCTTTCACCAGATTCTGGTTCACTCGTCACTCACTTTCACCCCTCCCTGCATCCCCATCAAATGACTGAGAATTTTCCAGATGTGGCATTTATATTTTGGCCTTGTCCTAACATAACAAACAATCTCTCTTCCTGTGATACCATATTCTTGTTTCTTTGTATCGAGTGGAATTTCACTAGTTGATTGCAGCCTTTGTCTGCCAGGGTTCTTCATCTGAACCTCACTCAGACAATGATTATTTGAGTGACTGTTTTCTTAGTTTTCCCAAGGTTGGTACATGAATGTTAACATTCTAGATGTGGAAGAAGTTAATTCATGACCTTCAATGGTTGCTTTAGGGCATTAAGTGTTCATTTTCTTGCAGACTTCCCATTGAGAAAGGTCTAGTCTGAGTTTGTTTCCTTCTTTTGACCTTGCGCAGATTTCATCCTCCTCTGGAATGTTTGTTTTATTGTTATTACTTGTTTGTATTATCAGCTTTTCCACCAGACTGGGCATCTGGAGAACTTTGTCTTATTTATTCTTACATCCCAGGATTCAGCACCATGCCTGAAACAGAGTTGATGTTCAGTAAATCTTAGTGGAATAGATTATGTTGACTTCCTAAAACTAGTTCAGCATGACATAGTTCTAGTTGTTCATTTCCCTTTTTTTGTTGTTGTTAAGAGATGGAGTCTGTCTCTCTCTGTTACCCAGGCTGAAGCGCAGTGGCACCATCATAGCTCACTGCAGCCTCCAAAGCTCACTATAGCCTCCAATTCCTGGGCTTAAGTGATTCTCCCACTTCAGCCTCCCGAGCAGCTGGGATTACAGGCATGCGCGCCACTGCTCCCAGCTTCAATTCCTTTCCTTACTTATTTTTACATTTATGTTCTTCCTTAAAATGAACATCTTGACCGAGCGCGGTGGCTCACTCTTGTAATCCCAGCACTTTGGGAGGCCGAGACAGGCGGATCACGAGGTCAGGAGATTGAGACCATGGTGAAACCCTGTCTTTACTAAAAATACAAAAAAAAAAAAAAAAAAAATTAGCCAGGCATGGTGGCGGGTGCCTGTAGTCCCAGCTACTTGGGAGGCTGAGTCAGGAGAATGGCATCAACCCGGGAGGCAGAGCTTGCAGTGAGCCGAGATCGCGCCACTGCTCTCCAGCCTGGGCGACAGAGCGAGACTCTTTCAAAAAAAAAAAAAAAAAAAAGAACATCTTAACATATACTGCCTTGTTCTCCATTTGGCTATGAATCTATCACACTCCAGCACTTGTTTCTTGTTACCTGTGTGGGTGCTTTACCTGCCTAGAATAGAGTTAAAGCTCCTAATGACAACCTATTGGTATGAACTTTTGGAACCTCCAGTGCCACATTTATAAGAAATCAAAATCTTGTTGATCAATTGACAATCAATATGGGAAACTATTGTTTCCCATCAATATGTGAGATTATGCTTTTGCTTAATTTTATTGGGCACAAATATTGTTGAACAATTTATTTGAATAGTATGTTGTTGCCTTTATAGATATCCATTTCCACTTTCTTAGTTGATGATTTTTCACTCTACATTATGATTTTCACTTATCCTTTGAGTGTTTGATCTACAAATGATTGCTTGCCCAGGTGATGAAGAATTTTCTTGTATTCCTATCTTTCCAGTATGTAGAGATGGAAATGCATATTGGTTGTTGTTTATTATCTGCCATTTTGTCAAGTATTAATATATGCTTAAATTCACAAAGAGGTAACTCTTTGAGTTGGCAGAACCAGACTACTCAGATACAATTGCCTCATTCTCAGACTCGGGAAGACGAGGATAGTGCATCTTGTCCTCATAGAAGAGGCCCTGTAGTTAGAATGTGTGCTTTGGAGTGTTAGAATGGGTATTCTGAATGCAAGAATATGATTGTTTCAGTTTTGTCAAGAAAATGCTTAACTGGACTGTGTATTCTAACAATATTAGAATATAACAAAAAAATCTATCATTATATGTCCTTACCTGCCTAACCTGTGACGAGAAATGACAGGTTTGATATTTTGTAAACTGCCATAGAATCAGCTAGTAGTTTTCTATTCTGTTGGCTTGTCTTTCTCCCCTCCTTAATGCTTGAGATAAGTGTACTTTTTGAGTATGTTTTGGAAACGTGTTTTCAAAGTTCTCAACTTATGAAATGTTAAACTATTCCAAGGTTGTAAGTAGCTTGTCATGTGTAAAGAAAAGTCTGCAAGATGAGAGGTCAGAAGACCTGTGAATCCTGACACTACACTATGTGCTATATCCTGATCATAAGCAAATTTCCTAACCTCTTACAGCCCCCAATTCCTTCCTACTTTCTTTTCACCACTTTATAATGCATCTATCCCCAGAAAGCAATGACCCCTTCCCCTGTTCTTCATAAAGAATTTGAGGATGGTTTTATGTGCTAGACACTGTGCTAAATAAAAACTAGTAAATAGTAAAGTTAGAATTCAAATCCAGGTTTGTTTTTTTTTTAAACACCGAAATCTATGCTCTTAACCAATGTATATACTATCAGCTACTAACTGTCTTTCACCACAATTAATGGTAGAATGATTATCTTGAGTATCTTCTTTAGGGATAACTATTAATTCAAAGGAAGCTCCTTTTTAAAATACAACATTGGAAAAAGAAAAATATAGAAATTCTCAACATAGCACTGTTCTAGTAAGCCTATTTGTAATTTTTTTTAAAAAAGTGGGGGGAGGGAGAAGGAAGGGGAGAGAAAGTGAGTGGGGTGTGTGTGTGTGTGTGTGTGTGTGTTTGTGTGTATGTCTTGTGGCTGATCAGGTGGAACCCATCACTACTTTGTCCAGAAAACTCAGGAGTATGTGTGGGTAGGTCTGGAACAGGATGTACAGGTTGACTAAACGTTATCCAATATGCATGGGACCAGAAGTGCTTTGGGTTTTGGATTTTTTTTTATTTTGGAATATTTGCATTATATTTACCAGTTCAGCATCCAAAATCCAAAAATCTGAAATCTGAAATGCATCAGTGAGCATTTCCTTCAAGTATCATGCAGATTTTGGAGACTTTTGGATTTGGGATTTGGGATGCTTAACCTTCAATAGTGAGTTTATGTAACTTAAAATGTACTAAATCCAACAAAAACTGACTGAAAATATGTCAGGTGGTTGGAATTTTTCTTTGAAGCAATCATTTATGTTTTTATTAGTCTTTTGTTTATGCATAAGAAAGGTGAGGCGTCTAATGTCTTTGACAAAATTTATGGTTGCAATAGAGCAGCCTATTATTTTCCCTCAGATACGTGCCATTTCTCTCTTCTGGTTCTATCATGTTTACAATAAGTTGCTGTTCTTTTGTAATTTTCTGAAACTTTTTTCTCTGAGACTGTGTTATCTAAAACAAACCCTACCAAAACAAAAAAGTTTCCCAGAGTGAGTTGTTTCCATTGCATGGAAAAAGACAGGTGTGTACTCTTATTTTTTTCTGTGTGCTTTGTGAAAATCCCCCCTCCCTCCTATTAACATAGTGAATTTTTGAATGAGAATGTCCTAATGCATGATATCTGTTTCATGAATTTATCTTTGTAGATTTGACCAAAACCAATTTTATATGTGGAAAGTAAATTTAATTATACCAATCCCCTAGACTTGGGTGTAGATACAACTCTTAAGAACTATCAGTCCAAGCAATCTATAAAACTAAATGTTTGCAGCCACCATTTTCTAAATCCAATGTAGGAAAAAGGAAAAAGCATAGTTTCCAGAGAAGGCAATTGGAATTGAATGTATCCTGCAGACCTTATACTCTACGATTACACATACATGCTGTCTCCAGCAGCTTTTGTTTTGCTTTTGGCTGCTTATTTCACAGTTTCTTTTTTTCTTACTTTTCAAATTAATGATTCTTTGCCAGCAGCATTCTTGCAATATATCAGACTTGATTCAATATTGCAAGCTCTCTGCTACCTTTCTTACTCGGTCATTTCCACCCAGGTGAATAATATTACCTAGTAGCAATTTTTTTTTTTTTTTAAAGAACCTTGGAACCTTTAAGAATCTTTGTTTTTCAGGCCAGCCACGGCGGCTCACGCCTGTAATCCAAGCACTTTGGGAGGCCGAGGTGGGCGGATCACCTGCGGTCGTGAGTTTGAGACCAGCCTGACCAACACGGAGAAACCCCATCTCTACTAAAAATAAAAAAATTAGCCGAGCGTGATGGCACATGCCTGTAATCCCAGCTACTCCGGAGGCTCAGGCAGGAGAATTGCTTGAACCCAGGAGGCAGAGGTTGCGGTGAGCTGAGATCACACCATTGCCCTCTAGCCTGGGCAACAAGAGCGAAAAAAAAAAAAAAAAAAAAGAAAAAAATCTTTGTTTTTCCTGATCTTTGCTGTTTTTCTTCATTATATCTCTGAGACATACATATGTAAATCTAATTAATCTATTGAATTCATGTGAAATATACTTAAAGTGTAATTTTATGTCCTTTTTTTAGATAAGTAAATTTCAGATACTACTTTTAGCAGAACACATTTTTTAATGTGTTGGTTATAAAGTGATCTGTAGGTAAAGGAATCTGAAAAAGCAAATGCTCATGTGTTAGAAATGAGTACCTTTAGTTGCCTCTGGACTGTTTTCTTTTTGCTATCCTATGAGGGTTACATGAAACAATCCCATTCCTTTGACATTTCCTCACTTTTGGGTTCTCTCATCCCTTTTAGAGTAAGGCACTGCTGATTAGGCCTGTTTCCAGGGCAATTTCTTGCTGCTCTCTTATTTTTAGTTTTGCTTGTTTTGTTATCATAGGTTTGAAATGTAAGTAAGCGGCTCAGAATGACCTGGTTCTTGTAGCTAATTCAGTAAGCATTTATTGAGGGCATTGTACATCAGTCCAACAAAGAAAGAACACATCAAACTAGAGAGCAGTTCCAAGTCAACTTACTGGTAACCTGTTGTATAAAAAGTTACTACAAGGCCAGGCATGTTGGCTGGTGCCTGTAATACTAGCACTTTGAGAGGCCGAGGAGGGAGGATTGCTTGAGCGTAGGGGCTTGCAGTCAGCCTGGTCAACATATTGAAACCCCATCTGTACAAAACAATAAAAAAAATTTGCCAGGTATGATGGTGTGTGTGTGTGGTCCCACTTAGTTTGGGAGGCTGAGGTGAGATGATCTCTTGAGCTTGGGAGGTTGAGGCTGCATTGAGCCGATTGCACAACTGCATTCCAGCCTGGGTGACAGAGTGAGACCCTGTCTCAAAAAAAAAAAAAAAAAAAACCCTCCAAAAGAAGTTGCCACAAAATTTTCAACTGAAAACACGTGTTTATTATCTCTTGTTTTCTTTGGATCAGAAGTCTGGGCACAGCTTAGCTGGGATCTCTGCTCAGGGTCTCATAAGGCTGCAATTAAGTGTTGGCCAGTTTGCTTTCCCATCTAGGAGCTTGACTGGAGCAGAATCCACTTTCAAGCTCATTCATATTATTGGCAGAATGCATTTCTTTTGACAGCTGTATGACCGAAGCCTTCACTTTTTGCTGGCTGTTGGCTGGAGGCCACCTCCTATGGACTAAATGGCCCCTGCACCAATTCTTATGTTGAAGCCCTAATCTTCAATATGATGGAATGTGGAAGAGGGGCCTTTAGGAGGTATTATATATTAATCAGCTTTCCATATAATGTTGCTTAATCATGGGAGTGACATCTAGTCATCATGACCATATTCTGTTTATTAGAAAATAGTTATAAGTGCTGCCCACACTGAGGCTGAGGGGATTACACAAGGGCATTAGCACAAGGAGGCAGGATCCTGGGGGCTGGGCATCACCTCAGGGTCATTCTCCCACAGGCAAGATGGAAATAAATGGATGGTAAATAAACCTCAAGTGATTACAAATGGTATATTTTATTGCTTATATATTGTGTTCATGCCAGGACTAGATTAAACAGTATGTTGCAGCATGACTGCTATTTCGACTGGACTGTGTACATGCCAAGAATGAGGTCTATCTCATGAGACTAAGCAGTTTCGGTGCCCTGCCACTCTGTGAGGCAGAACCACATATGTTTGAGCCTCCACACTGGAAGCCAGAACTTTCTTCACCACTATTCATTAAGATTTTCATAAAATTATTCATATAGTTGCTTTTGTTTAAAGTAGCAAGTGGTACAAAGATAAATTTCTGGTTAGAATAAAAGTCTCAATAAAAGAATAAGCATATACAGAAGATAATTATTTTTTCAGATTTGTATGTTATTAGCAACATCTTATATTTTCAGATTTCTCAATAAGTTTAACTTCAATTTGTTAAGACTGTTAGCTTATTTCCATTGAACATTTTCATTTTTTATTTTTCCTCCTGCTTTTAATACTAGGCCTTGTGTTACATTGCTGAGTTGATATCACAAATTTAATGACCTAGAGGAGTGATCTTTTTGGATCACTTTTTGGATATAGGTTAAAATCAGAGATAACAAATTTCTTGGGGTCTTGCTTCTACATCCTTCATTTGTTGATGTCAGTATGAACAACAATTGATAGATGCTTTAATTTTAAAGATTTCTGGGTTAAATTTACTTATATTCTTGAAATAAATGTACTTATTTAATAATGAAAGAAGAAAAACTTTGATACTCAGATATTTTTTGAATGTTAAGTTTTTATAATAAACTATAATCTTTCTAAAAATTGTTTACACATTTTAAACTTTTTTTAAAATTTATTTTATTTTATTTTTTTTGAGATGGAGTTTCGCTCTTGTTGCCTAGGCTAGAGTGCAATGGCATGATCTCGGCTCACTGCAACCTACGCCTCCTGGGTTCAAGCATTTCTCCTGCCTCAGCCTCCTGAGTAGCTGGAATTACAGGCGTCCACCACCACGCCCGGCTAGTTTTTTTTATTTTTAGTAGAGACGGGGTCTCTCCATGTTGGCTAGGCTGGTCTCGAACTCCTGGCCTCAGGTGATCCCTCCGCCTTGGCCTCCCAGAGTGCTGGGATTATAGGCGTGAGCCACCGTGCCTGGCCTAAACTTTTCTATTAAGAGCAATAAAAACAACAAAAAGTGGGATGGAAGGGGCTTTAACAGATACGTCTTTTCCCTTAGAAGTATGTTTGATACTGTGATAGAGACATGAGAGTGTGGTGTGTATGGCGAACTTTATGATACTCTGTTTGGTATGTAGGATATCCATACAATCGTTCAGGTAGTGAACGACATTGAGCTTTTATTATGTGCCAGACCCTCTGCTATAGAGCCAGAGAATGACAGTAATCCATACAGTAGTCATCAAGGCCATGTTAGCTGCAGAGCCACAAATAGTAAACAAGTAAGTAAATTAGGTAAATCACAGTACAGTGAGCACTGTGAAGGAAATAAGCAGTGTGCTGTAACTAAGAAAACCGTGGTGGGGAGGATCCTTTAAATGTGGTGGCCAGCAAGGGCCTCTCTCAGAGGGCGCGTTGGATCTGAGGCCTGAAGACTGGGAAGGAACCAGCTGAAGACTAGGGAGGAGCTAGCCATCTAAGAGGTGGGGAAGAATTCTAAATAGAGGGGGGACTGTGTGAAGGCCTTACAGTGGGAGAGAAATTGGTATGATCTAGCAATAGAAGGCCGATATGAAGAGATTAGAGACAGTGATGAGTGGTACAAGATGAGGTTGGAGAGGTAAGCAGTGGTCAGGCTATGTGCCTATGATAAGGAATTTGTGTTTTATTCTAATTTGGGAAGCCATTGAAGGATTCTGAACAGGTTAAAGATGTGATCTTGGTCTGTTTACCCTGGCTGCTGTTGGGGATAAGAGAAGCAGATGTCCTAGGTTAGGCAAGCAATAGCTTGGACTGGGGTGCTGGATATTGTGGATGTAACAGAAATATATTTCTGAGATAGAATTGATAGGATTTCCTAATGAATTAGAGATAGATGATGAGGGAAAGAGAGGAATCCAGTATGCCTCCTAAGTTTTGTACCTGAGCCTGGGAATTAAAGATTTGTAGAGTTTAGTGGAAGTCATTGAAGTGGAAAAGGTTGGCTGGGGGCAAACCTCATGAAGAGTTTGGGTTTTATTGCTTAGTGACAGGCAAACATAAGAAAGGATGTTATGGGTTCAAATTTATATTTTAAACTGTGACTGGTAGCAATGTCAAGCCAGGTGAGAGAGACTCGAGGAAGAGAAACCAGTTTAGACAGTACTGCAGTACTCTTTTTGTATTGGTTAAGAAGGATTGATTTGAGACTGATGCTGGGGGTGGGTTGTGAGGGGAAGTTTTGAGAGATAAGAAAATGAATTGACTAGATGTGGTGACAATGCCTCACGTGTGATAGATGTCTAATAAATATGTGAATGAAAGTAGCAGACTGTGGTGAACAGAAAAATCATATCAGGATATTTGTGGAGAAGATAGTGTGTTCCATTTTTTGGTAAGGTTGACATGCCTTCTAGGCCTCTAGGTGAAAATGCTTGGTAGGCACCTGGACTTTTCTGGGTCTGGAACACTAGAGAGTGTTTGGGATTTGAGAGTCATCTGTGTAGGTAATAGGTGAGGTCATATAAAAATATCTTCTACTAAAGTAGAATGTAGGACGAGAAGGCTGGAAATAGTACCTTCTGAAATACAAAATACAGGGTTTTCAGTAGGAATAGTATGAAGGAAAAGAGATGGATCCATAGTTACTGGCAAGGTGGAAGGTAAATTAGAAAAGTGTCACGTTCTGAAAACCCCATGGATGAAGCATTGAGGCACAGTGCGAAGCTGTAGATACGTCAGGTAACACAGTTTCACTCACAAATAGCCTTATGATGTATCCGCATGTGTGTGAGTATGGTGAAAGGCTAATTTCATAGAGTCATGAGAAGAAATTTTAATCAGTTTGAGTGAGTGAGGGGAGAAAACTATTTTTACAAAACGCTTAGTTAAAATGGGAAGGAGAAAGCATAGCAAGAGAAATGTTTCAATGATGGGAATTTGCGGAGTTTTTTTTACAAATTTTTTTTCCAGTAACTATTGTTGAAAACCATGTGTTGGGGGATACTTTGAGAATGTAATATGTAGACTACCTGTATAATTTGACCTCTAAGTCAAAAAATGCTGAGCAGTTTAGGATTGATTTTTTTTGGGGGTGGGGGGAAATATTGGATGATAGTAGCTTTTATACATTTATTTATGGATTTGTTTATGTTAGAATAATACCTACTTTTAGGATGATTAGACATAGTTTGGGCTACCAGATCAGAGCAATTTTAAGTACCATAAAGATGTTGGCCTTTGAGATCCTTTAGCCACATTGTAGAAATAGGGGTGAAATTTCCTGTCGTGGGAGTATGTAAATCCAGTTTTGCAAACCAGAAAATAAGTGATCAGTAGTCCTTAAGGTTGTTTCCATCTTTGTTTGATATCCCAGTGATAATGTACTATTTGGCAAAGCAACAGGCTACATTTTGAAAAAGATTTACTCATCTACCCAGCCAGCCATCCTGTCAGCCATGCTCATGTCTCTCAGCAGCAAAGGATTTGAGGTGGCCCACCTTTAAAAAAAAAAGTAACAAAATGGCAAAAATGTGAAAAGTGAAAATCTGGTATAGGGAAAATATATTTTATTGAATGTGAAGGCAAGGGAAAGCATGTATGCACACACAAAGAACGTCCATGTGCTTGCAATTAGGGCATGTACGTAGTTTTTATAATTGAACATAGTATTTAGAAGTTTGTCTGTAGTATTGATGTCTATATTGAAAAGGAATGCAAAGGTTTTGACTTCATTCTAACTGTAATAGTGGAAAATAACTTTTTTTTTTTCAGGAAATGCTAGTTTTTACTAGCACTGATCTTAAAATAATTATTTGGGGCAACTTTGAGTGATATATTGGTTGATCTATTAAAACAATGGAGAATACAAACTCTTATATAACCATTAACACCCGCTTCAATTGTCCAAGCATTCACTCAAACATTTAGTAGGCCACTGTACTGACTCAGTAGAGTAGTGGGGATCAGAAACCGTATCGCAGTGGATTGAGAGGTGAATAAGATGTTAAAATGCGAGACATTTTGGGTAGACTTTCAGAGGTAGTTTGGCTTGGATGATAAGGTAATAAAGGGAATGTGGTGTTAGGGACTCCGCCCCCTTCCTCCATGTGTGTTGGTTGACTTTTTGAGCATACGTATCCTTACAGTGAAAACAGGAAACAGAGAACAAGCTGCTCTGTAAAGCGTTTCTGCAAGTGTGAAACACTCCCAATTTCAGTGGCATCATCTTTGGGTAAGAAAGAGAAGGGAAGGAACAAAATTAAAGGATAGGAGTGAATACCAATAAAGGTGAAGGTAAGAATGGAAGAGTGGAGTCTGGGGGAGCTATCTCTCAATTTGCTTGATTCATTCAGAAAATATCGAGCTACCTGCTCATACCAGGCCGTATGTAAGGGCTGGAGACACAGACGTGATGAAGTCTGCCTTCATGGAACTCACATTCTAATGCATGTATCCTCCACAGTATTATGAGCCACTGGATAGCAGTTCTTATGTAGCAGTGTCTGGTATGGTGCTTGGCATACATAGTAGTCATCCAAAAAATGAATTAACAAATCTCTTTTGCATCTGTGTGTTCTACCCTTTTGGCTTAGTCTCATCTTTGGTATAGCAGGCATGTCAAAAATTGATAGAGTTTTATACACCAATAATGAACTTTGAAGAAGCGGTAATAAACATGTTTAAAAAAGCTACCATCAACATTATCCTGCAACCCTTCTTTTATATGTGGTTACTGTTAGAGGTTTTTGCAGCTCAGAATATATTGTTTCTTAGGTCATTCATAAATGTTTGAGTGTTCTTCATGTGGAAAGTACTTGTCTGGGAGCGTGAGTTAAGTAAGGCCGAGTTCCATCTGAATAGATGGACAATTTCACTACAAGTATAATATAATAAGTGTTCAAAATTGTATGGGCATGGAGAAGGAGATAGTTAGGACTGGTTATTTGTTTTCCTTCCTAATCGATAAACATCTGTTGTATTTGTAATGCAGTGGAACTTGCAAATTGTGTTAGCCTGAACTCTGGGCCCCAGGGGAGGGGCGGGTAAAGATGATTAGTTTTTACAGTATTCCTTTCGAACCTATTGGGTTTTTTTTAATTAGGTGTTATTTGATCTTATTATGTTTCATGAGAGCAGTGATGACAATCTGTGTGGAGAAGAATAGGAGATGCTGCACCCAATTGTATTTATAGATTATAAATTTGGTTTGGAGGACTAGGGTGTGTGTGTGTGAGAGAGAGAAAGATGCGGGGAAGAGGTTGACAAGTAGTGACAGTGTTGAGAGTGGTGCGAAATTTATTTACAACCTACTGATTGGGTTCACATTTCTAAAATGAGGTTGCTGGATTAAATCGACAAGCTTCATCCAAAGTATAAATGTTTATGTTTCAACGGAACCTGTGGTTTGCTTCGGATTAGTCCCCCAAGTCAGTGATAAGTGCATGTGTGCACACACAAACACACACACAACTAGAAATCCTGGGAATTTTAACTATCTTTTTCTCCAAAAAAACCCAGAAAACTCGTTGAACATAATGTTATAACCTTAGAGAGAGTTGTTTAAAAGTGAGCACCCAGCATGTTGCCTTTTTGGTGAGTAGGAAAGAATCTTCCAAACTCACCACCAACCCGTTTCGCACCTCCCCTAGATACACACCACACAATCACCATTCTTCTTTGCTATATACTTTTTCTCATAGTACTTAAACATTCTTATCATTTTTCCTTGTCTATCTCCAGTGGAATATAAACTCTCCAAGGGAGATGTTTGTTTTGTTTACCTTCCTTAGTGATCCCTGTAGGAGATCACTAGATTCTGTTGAATCAATCATAGCTGGCCACTTGATACACTGTGTGAGTATATATTGACTATCATTTTTTACTCAGCAGTGTACCCAGTACAGTGTGTGTGTATACTGGGGATGACTTTATTGGCTTTGGCTGTATATACATTCAATCATCACCTTATGGAGATAAATGGTATGTATAAAAATTAGGAAATGTGACAAGACCTGTAAAGTTAAGGGCTAAATTATATGGTAGGAATTGGTCCAAGGTCAGCATATTGGAATGGGCAAAAAATGGCTTCATGAAATAGGTGAAACTTGAACTAGACTTCTAAAAGGATCATGGGGCACAGGTAAGGAAGGATACTCCAGGAAAACAGCCTTCATGATACCTCCTCTCTGAACTTTCTGTCATCTTAATTCCATCTCTCAGGATTTATTTTTGAAAAGGAAACAAATTAAAAAGTTATTCACCATCCTCTGCCATGATCTGGCATATAGCACATAATTAAATATTATTTTTTAATGTAACTATTTGTATAATATCTTTTTTTCAAAAAAAATCAGAAAACTTGTTGAACATAATGTTATAACCTTAGACAGATTTGTTTAAAAGTGGTCATCCAACATGCTTGCCTTTTCACGGAGTAGGAAAGAATCTTCCAAACTCTGACTGTGGCTCTATGTCCAGTTATATTTTGTCATTAACTGCCTACCAGTTTCCCATTGCTTAATACTCTAGAAATGACAAGTGATTCTATTGAATTTTGGTTAGTTGGGTCAAATAGATCAAAGGACAATTATAAAAGGGAAACACAGGAAAGGGGAATTAATTATAAATATGGGGGGGGGAAGAGAGCTGAATAATTAGGCATGATAGGCATTAATTATTGTTAGACATTTGTTATATGTATTGCAGTTATACTTATGTGGAAGATCTTGATCTTTTTTTGTTAATGTTCACTTGAATTTTTTTTATCCTGGTACAGTTAGATATAAGCAAGTTACTGTGTTCCTGATTTTCTTCTAGGAAAAGTATTGATAACTTTGCTTTTGATAGCCTGCAACCAGTCTGCTCATTAATTTCCATATAGCTGTTGTTAGAGACTTTGCCCAGCAAACTAAATGCTATTTGTGGAATAGACAACAAAATCAATAACTAAGACATTTTTGGAAAATCTAGTTAACTTCTTGGATTTGTTAAACAAATCCTGAATACACTGAATACTATGCCTTTGAAATAAGCTTAATTTTTGCCACACAGCACCAGTGAATCTTGCTACAATTGATATATGTAGTAAGTTAATTAACTGCCTTTGTTTTCAGTTGACTTTTTTCGTTCTGAATTTTTTTTAATGGTATTATATCTCTCAAAAACGTACAATTGAAGGAGAGTATTAGTATTTCATAGATTTCTGATCAAACAATTAGATATGTCACCTCTCTGCCTGCACTAATTTATAAATATATTTAAGCTATAATAGTAAACACTGAATTGCAATTTTGTACTTCTTAGATATTATTACTCTTTATCAACTTATGCATGTTCTTCTGTAACTGTTGACTTGATTGATTATAGCATGTGCTAAAAGATGTAAAATGGAGATTTCTGAAATTGTAATAATAAAAAAGCCATAAAAAAATGCCATCAGCTGGCTGCGGTGGCTCATGCCTGTAATCCCAGCTCTTTGGGAGGCTGAGGTGGGTGGATCACGTGAAGTCCAGAGTTTGAGACCAGCCTGGCCAACATGGTGAAACCCCGTTTTTACTGAAACTACAAGAATTAGCCGGGCATGGTGGCACATGTCTGTAATCCCAGCTACTCAGGAGGCTGAGGCAGGAGAGTCTCTTGAACCCAGTAGGTGGAGGTTGCAGTGAGCAGAGATGGTGCCACTGCACTCCAGCCTGGATGACAGAGTGACTCCATCTTAAAAAAAAAAAAAAGAACAAACATTTACTTTTATGAACAGATTTGTACCAAGTTGTTCCTAAATTGGTACAGAATTCATGATGCATGTTTTTGAAAACAGAAACAAATACTATTTGTACTTTCTTTCTGATGTTGAAAAAATTTAAGAGCACATATTTCTTTAAGAAAAATACCTATAGAATAAATTCCTAGAAGTGAAATAACTAAGTCAAAGGGTACGTAAATTTTGAATTTCAGTAGATATTGTAAATTGCACTAATTCACATTTCTACTCATAATATCTGATGCCACTTTTTCTGCAAACACAGCATCTTTTCAAATACTTTATCTTTGCTGGTTAGGAAGGAATTCGTATCTTAGTGAAGTTTACCTTTACATGTCTTATTTTATGAGTGAGCTATTTATATTGGCTCTTCTGGGAACTGTCCAATTGGGCTGATGATCTTAATTTTCTTACTCTTTTTATTCACTCTCTCTATTGGGAAAATTTATCTTTTGCTTCCAACCTGATGACATGCAAATAACTTGATTTTGTTTTGTTTGTCTTTTGTTTTTCAGATTGTCATTTGTTTTGGGTCATATTTTTAAACCTTTTATATTGGTGAATTTGCCAGTTTTGTCTTTTATGGGTTCTAAATTTCATGTTAAAGTTGAACAGGGCCTTCACTACTCTAATGTTATAAAAGAATAAACCCTGGGAGAATTCTAGTACTTTTATGGTTTAATATTTTGCGTCTAAGCTTTTGATTCATTTGGAATTCTGTTGCAAGATGTGAAGTGTGGATCCAGCTTTATTTTGTTCTATATAACTACCCAATTATTCCAATATTGCTCATTAGTCAATCTTTTCTACTGATTTAACCTGTCACCTTTATCTGAAAACCTTATGTATTTTGGGTCTGTTTTTGGTCTTTCTGTTTCATTGATCTGTATATGTTTGTTTATAATGTTTAAATATATTAGAGTGTTACTTATTATTTCTTGTCAGAGTTTTCTGAAATTCTGAACTTAAACTGTTTTTATGTTTATTTCTTGACTTGGAGATATCTGGTGGTGTCAATTTGGGCAATCCACTGTAAGGGTTTATTTTATTCTGGAATTTTTTTGTCTCCTTCTCCCTATCCTTTACCTTCCACCCAAAGCTTTATTAGGAAGTATAGGGTAATATGTATTCCAGAAAGGTTACATTTCTCTAGTTACTCAGATGGCATAGACATAGGCTAAGAGATGGTAGGTCTTTGTATTGTAAATGAAACATGGCCTTGTCTAGTTTTAATTTTTTAGATAAAGATTATTTGCAGTCTAAAGGGTGAATTTTTCTTCCCCTTTCTCAGTCTCTATTTGTAACCATGCCATTTTTTTCATTTTTAATTAACATAATTTGTGAAATGTTGATTTTTGCTTTAGGTCCTAAATCAAATGTGATTATTAGTTTATAGCTTTACAACGTAATAAGCCCCAGGTGTAGGGAATTCACTCTCAGCTCTGATCTCCAGCAGTTTTGGATGACAAGCCATCACACCACTATCTGTACCTTTTTTATGCATCATAGATTACCATAGGAGACTGAATGCAATAAAAATGTAAAATGCTTTGTATAAAAATGAATATAGCATCAGAGATTTCCTGCTTCATACAATCTTGAGCTTAAAATCTTGAATCTTAGAGTAACAAAAAAAAACCTCTCAAACTTTTGGAATGACTCTATCTTCAAATATCACTTTAAAAAGAAAAATGATCCTTCGTAATTAAGTTAATGATCATTAGGGGGAAGATTATAATACATCAATATATTTGTTATAGGAATAAGTGAAATCAGCTAATATTTATCTGAATATCCACAATTTACCCATGTTTAGTGCCATTGATTAAATAATCTAGTGAATTATAAATCCCAAGAAACTGACAGTTTAATGATATAGTCTCTGGGAGCATAGATGAGGGCTCATTGCCCAGCTTGTTAGAGATGAGGCAGAAAAGCGGAATCAGGAAAGACTTATGTTATCGACATCAGAGCTAATCTGGAAGTATAAGTAGGAATGTTCTTTATTTTAAAATTTTTATCAGCAATTCTTATCTTATGAATAATAAATGTTGCCATTCATTTACTCTTCTGCTGAAAATTTGAAAAATAAATACATAACAAAGAAAACAAAAATCAAGCATATTCCTGTTATATACTTTGATGTAACATTACCTTTTGGTTTATATACTCCTGGGTCTTTTTTCCCTATGTACACAAACATACAGACTCCTTTTCCCAATACATTTTAAGTTACAGAGCAGACATGATATTATGATTTGTGGCCTTTTTTTCTTTTTTTTTAAATTATCAATACTAGGGAAAGCTGTCAAGTGAGTAAATACAGTCATCCCTTGGCATATGCAGGGGGTTGGTTCCAAATCTGTGCACACTCAAGTTCTGCAGTCCAGTCAGTGCTGAGAAACTGATGTAAGTGAAAGGTTGACCTTCTGTATACACAGGTTTTATATCCTGCAGATTCCGTATGATTTGGTTTGAAACAATCTGTGTATAAGTGGACCCTCAAAAGTCAAAACCATATTGTTCAAGGGTCAACTGTGTACTTGTATAATGTCATAATTAAGAGCTTAAATTTAATGCTATCATGTGTCCCATTTGTATAAATGGATATATAACATTCTATTCAGAGAACCCTTATTAAAATGCTTTGGATTTCTTTTGATTTTTTTTCTAATAAACACAGTGATAAGAATTCTTTATAATCCTTAAATTTCTGGAAAATGTAAAAATTGATGACTAGATATTCATTCTAGTATTTTAAAGTAACCCATTATATAGCTAAATTTTAGACTCAATAACACTAGATTGAAATCTGGACCTTCATCATGAAAGTCAGAGGATGAGGAAGAGAATTCCTTGAATGAGTAACTTAAACAGTTTTCACTGCCTCACCTTAAGTTTTCTTTTGAATCTATTCAGGTCAGGTTTTTGTCCCTGCCAATCTGTTGAAACTTTTCTTGCTATGGTCTGGAACAGTTCCCATTTTGCTAAACTCAAGGATGAACATCTTAACACTCCTAGCAACTTTTTTTTTTTTTGGAATTGCCCTCTTCCCTTAGCTTTTGGCATGCCATACTATTCCTGGATTTGTTCCAGCTTTCACTGGTTGTTCTTTCTTGGTTGTCTTTGCTGGTTCCTCCTCCTTTTCCCATCTTTAAATGATGGGGGAATACCCCCAAGGCTTTGCCTTATATTCTAATCTCCATCTACGTATGCTCCCTAGGCAAATTTAGTAAGACCTTTTCTTTAAAACTCATATGCTAATGAATCCAAATATATGTCCTGAGCCTGTTCTACTATTGTAAACTTCTTTTAACTAGTTGTTTAATATCTCTTGGATATTTAATACCATTTATTCAGTCACTTCGGACTCAGACCAAGAACCCGTGAGTTTTCTCTAAATCTTTTATCTCCCAGATCTACCCCTTTAAGGAGTCTTGTGTACTTCAAAATATATCCAGACTCTACCACATTGTTCACTTACTGCCCTAATTCAAACCCTCTATCTTGTGTGTAGACCAATAAAAATAGCCTTTTTTTTTTTTTTTGAGAGGGAGTCTCTCTCTGGCGCCCAGGCTGGAGTACAGTGGCACGATCTTGGCTCACTGCAACGTCTGCCTCCCAGGTTCAAGTGATTTTCCTGCCTCAGCCTCCCAAGTAGTGGAGATTACAGGTGCCCACCACCAGGCCCGGCTAATTTTTGTGTTTTTTAGTAGAGACAGAGTTTCACCATGTTGGCCAGGCTGGTCTTGAACTCCTGACCTCAGGTGATCCGCTCTCTTTGGCTTCCCAAAGTGCTGGGATTACAGGTGTGAGCCACCACACCCGGCCAATAAAATAACCTTCTAGTTGGTTTTCTTTTTCACTTTCCTTGCTCCTATTAAATCTTCATAGCAGGCAACCCCCACCTTCCAAAGTAAACAAGATTATGTCATGTATCTTGGTCAAAACTTGCACAGTAAAGTCCTCACTTAACATCATAAATGGATTACTGGAAACTTTGACTTTAAGAAAAATGGCATTCTTTATGCCTTAGGAACTGAACTCTTGTTTGTATCAATTAGCCTATGGCAAAATTGGTTTTGTTATATAGTAGTTGTTTCACTTAAATTTGCAGTTTCCAAGAACTTATCAACATAAACAGTGTTAAGTGAGGACTTGCTGTATTCTTTCTTTCATATTCAGGGTAAAATCTACCTCCTGACTCTGTCCTGTGAGGCCTTACATAATCCAGAATCTTCTTGTGTGACTTTTTCTCTTATTGCCTTCCACCCTGCTCACTCTAGTCCAGTCATCCTGAATTTTTTGTTTCTTGAAAACAACAAACTCATTTCCATTTATGTGCCTTTGCACTACTGTTTTCTCCACCTATAACTCTTTATGTAGATCATTGCATGAGTTCCTCCTTCTTTTCTTTTAGATCTTTGCACCTTCTTCAGAAAGGCCTTTCCTATTTTTCTAAAATTGTTACCTTCTGCCCAGTTACTCCCTAGCCCCTTACTCACCTTTGTCTCTAACACTTAAAAACTCCTTGACATACGTGCATATTTGTCTCCTCACTAGAATGCAAACTCTACTGTACCCCAGGTGCCTAGAATGTTACTTACAGTATGGTAGATAGCCAGTGTTTGTTGAATAAATGACCGAGCTTCTTTATTCTTTGTAGTTCGTATTTTATCCCTCCTAATCCTACAAGAAATTTGAAGTAGGCTTAAAAAGTGCTTTTAAATATATTAAAATAGAAAACAGGAGGGCATGCAAAGTACAGATAGAATAGGAATGACTGATGGGAAACTTAATATGCGGCTCATACAAGGTTTTACATAGTTCTTAAATGTGGATCAGGCATTTGCCTCTGAAGTCTTGACTGTGAAAACAAAAAGAACACCTTGTCTATAAGGAGACAACATGCTGCTACTTTGGAGAAGCACAGCTTTTCTTATTTCAACAACTGTCCTGTGAAACGCAAAATAGTGAATTTTATACAGCAGTGTTTTAATACCTGTCTTTAAAGTAAACTGAAGAAACAACGCCACGATATAGCTCAAGGAAAGCAACTCTGTGGAAACTGATTAGATATTCACACACATTCCTATTTCCTCCTGTCAGCGTTCCCTGCCCTCACCAGTGGACATGCATGCTTCTGAGTAAGGTAGAGCGTATTACAACACCATTATCAAGGTGAAGGTCTTTTCTAGTGACAGAACAGTGAGAGGCAGTTTGTTCATTATTCCTAAAATGTGAGGCTCATTCCAAAGCAGGTTGAAAATTAACTGTATAGTGTGCTTTTGTCAAATGAGGCTTCCTGGAGTTTCTCAAATAGCTGACCATAGTAACTATTGTGATCAGGCTATTCTTTGGTAGTTTGTGGTCTTTTTATAGGAAGTTTTGACATTTAGCATCTTAGATTTGGAATTAGCCAAATTATGGGTGAGTTTCATAACATAACTCCAGGAATCTTAATAGAATAGTAGAGTATTAATTGCATTTAATAGAAAATTTTAGTCAACTCAACCTGTTTACTTCATTTGATTGAAGTTGAATGTATTCAAAATTAGTTGAAGAAAATCTTTTATTAGTATCATAATTAAGTTATTTAATGTTTCATTTATTAGTGAGTCAACTGAATCTTTTAAATTATTGTACGGTACAAATAACCAAAGTGCTTGGAGAAGAAACAGTCTAGAATATGCTGTGAATGGTACCGGTTAGGAATAACATACTAACTTGGAAATGACCACACTGAATGCCAAAGATTGATTTTATGTTCCAATGTACCCTTTTTTGGGGGGACTTATCACTTTTAGTCTTGTATCTCAGACATTCTTTTGGTGTACTAGAGAATATATTTGGGAGATGGATGGCAATTATTTTGCATCTTGTTAGTATCTGTTTAAGAAATTCTCAAAGTTTACCATTGTTGGTGTAATTATTCTATTTTCCTAACTTAACGTTGATGGTTTGGGGTTCTGTTGGTGGGAAAAGTGGCTTGGCAGTATGGTGCAATGTTTTTGCAACACTTGAGAGGAGATTGTTTTCATAGAGTTTTTGCTCTTCCTTGTTCCTTCCCTTCTTGTGACTTTGTTTTCAAATTGCCTTTTTTTCATCACTGTAACTGTCTTAGCTCTGTACAGCTGCCCTTTTCCATGTCTGTTTTGTTATATACATGCTATCTTTTGGCCCAGAGTTATCACTGAAGCTTGTCACAGAACTCTTATTACCTTTCCTGTTTTTTCTCCCCAGCTTTATTTTACCTCTACTTGTAATTACTATTGTCTTTTTCCTAGAGTAACAGAAGAAAATGCAATTTGTCTTTACTTTCAGTACCAGCATAGCCCTCTTGAGGGTAATATTAGAACTTGAAGAAAACATTTAGATTAGCATTTTGACCAATATAAATTGCCTATTTCATTTGGAAATGACACATTTTTTCGAAAAAGTAAAAACAGTTTTCCGTTGATATAATTATTTTTAAAATATACAAGAAAAACAGGAATAGGTGTCCCAGTACAACATGTTTTATTTAGTGAATTTTCTGTCAAAGGGTTTGTTCAAGTAGAAACCATATGCCTATTTCTTTTTTTCTTTTTTTTTGAGACGGAGTCTTTCTCTGTCACCCAGGCTGGAGTGCAATGGTGCAATCTCAGCTCACTATAACCTCCGCCTCCCAGGTTCAAGCGATTCTCCTGCCTCAGCCTCCCAAGTAGCTGGGATTACAGGTGCCTGCCACCACGCCCAGCTGATCTTTGTATTTTTAGTAGAGACGAGGTTTCACCATGTTGGTCAGGCTGGTCTCGAACTCCTGACCTCAGGTGATCCACCCGCCTCGGCCTCCCAAAGTGCTGGAGATTACAGGCATGAGCCACCGCGCCCAGCCCCATACGCCTATTTCTGAGGGAGATTGTAGGGTCCAACATTTAGAGAGTAGACTTAATCTTCCTACAAGCAATGTTCCTAAAGTTTATTTCAATCAGTGGAATTGTGGAGGCCTGAGAAGAGTACAGCTTCAAAGCTCAAGAAGATAAATTTTGATGTTTGATAAACCTGAGTTTAGAGCATGCTTCTGTCCTTTTTAGCTGAATAATTATTTCATCATCTGTAAAATGCAGGCAGTTCCTCAAAAGGGTGGTTGTGCCGAGTAAATGAAATATAAAACATCTAGCGTGGTGTTTGGCACATGGCATCTGTTATTAACTACTCTTCACTAAATTCTGAAAGGTTTAGATTTGTCAGGTAGGTCCCATCTGGATTGGCACTTGTCATCAGAGATCCAGAGAAATTCCACAATGACATATGGCATGGATTAAGGAATACACTTTGTTGGGAAAAGGGAATATTTACAAAGCCAGGATCAGGTAGGGGAAGGAATTGATTTCTCTGTCTCCCTCTTATTCCACATAGGAGGTTCTCAGAGTTTTGCCAGTCTGCTAGACACAGCATAGATTTTCATTCCACTTGAGATATCCCTTCCGTTACTATTCTCCCTTCTTTTAGAATAAGTGGCCGGTCAAATGTATCAGTGTGTAATCATACAAACTACTAGGGAACCAGACATTATAGTTGTGGATGCCTGCAGTCATCTGAGAAATTAAGCCGTCAGGCACGTGGAGACTTTGAGGTTCATGGGAAGTTAGGTCTGCCTTGCTAAGGGAGGAAGCCATGGTCCTGTCAGAAGTTGAGCATGGTTTCAGACTCTTTTGCTGGGAAAGACGATGGGAATGGTTCCAGCTCATGGTCTAGGCTGCCCACAGTGACTCCCGGTGTTTTCAGACAGGTCTGCTTCTCACATCACGCTTTATTGCCTAGGGCCTGTGAATCAGTTTTCCCAACAAATAAGTGTCAAGTTAAATGTGAAATATGTTTATTTCTATGCTATTTAAGCAAACTGATATCAGAATAAGTAACAGTAGAATGCATGTCAGAGTCTTTGAGTGTTACTCTCAAAGAAAATTGATCTTGATTAGCCCAAGCTCAACTTAGTTCCACAAATAATTATTGATTTGTTTAAGCGTGATGTATGTGCTTGCTCAAGGAATTAGAAGATGAGTATGACAAAGCTCATTCCCTCAGGGAGTTGAGTGTTTCAGAGGGATGAAGTAAAAGAAGATTTTAAAACTACAAGTAGAGTGTAAGAAGTATCACGAGAAACATCAACAAAGGGCTGAGGATAGAAGGTGATAAGTCTCAAGTATCTCAAGATATTCAGCAGTGAATCTTAACATAAATTTGCTTTTAGGGGAAGAATTTCAAGCATATTGATAGGTCTTAAATTTTCTAGTCTCTCTGGGATAGTAGGAAGGAGAATGATTTTTAAAAAGTTGATTATGTAGCATGGAGTTTGGGGACTAGTAAAAATTTTATTGAAATTATTTGGGAATTGTTTTACAGTTGTTTTTAGTGGAGGTTGTATTTCTGAAAATATTGCATTTTAGTGTGATGATTTACTAAAGAAGTAGCAGGGACTTATTCTAAGGTAGGAGATAGAAAAACTAATAAGTAAAAATCTGCTAGCAACTTTAAATGGCTGTCAAACTTTTTTTAATGATTAAGTGCTAATGGGGGCAGATGGAAATTGTAAAGCAGTGCAGAGCATTGAGGTATAGAGTTTTTTTCTGTCAGTTGCTCTACTTTTGAAAGAGAAGAAATTAGAGGTCAAATTTAGTCATTTCTATGGTCCTTTTATGAACGTAAGAAAGCGCTTTTTTAAAAAAATGTGAGAATTGTTAAATAATCTTTATTTGATATTACACATAAACCACCCTAAAATGCCTTTCAGTAAGTAAAAGGAACCATTTTAGATAAAAGGAATCTAATTAGATTGGCATAGTTAAGGCCAAAAATATAAAGTAGACATTGCCACCTTATCTTCAACTCTTGCCTTTAAGAGGCAAGTGAACATGAAACACGGATGAATCTTGCTTGGTTCTGAGACAGTGTGAAGGAATTTCACCAGTATTTCAATATATTCACATAACCAGTTATATAAATCTAAAAATAAAACCAATTTCCATTAAGTTTTAAGATGGCATTCACCATCTTTGTGAAAAGTTGATGAAATCGAATCATATCTTTAGAAGGAGTAAACAGTGTTAGCATTTACTGAATTGGAATTGCTATTAAAATTCAAAAAAACAAACATATTCATCTAACCACAGGCCAGTCTTAGTTTTAAAATCAGGACTGCCCAACAAAATATTCTGTCATTCATTGATGATCTGAATTCTGGTATATGAGATCTATTAAATTATGGTACACATAAAAAAGTCATGAGACATTTCTGTTTTGTAATAAATAAGGCAGTGGCCAGTTATTACTGATGAGTAGCGTTTTTGAGATTAGCTATCAAGTCTGCCCTTTCTGCCTTCTTCTTAATGCTGGCAAAGATCATTTTTGTTCCAGGGATGTTCTTCTTGGGAGTCTCCAAATAGTGCATCAGTGTATCCTTTCCCCAGGTGATGCCTTTGTTCTTATTGGTGTCTGTGTAAGAGTATCCAACGGCCTCACCTGTCTCCTGCCTGGAGAGACTATGGAGATTAGGCCCAGTCTTGTGCTGGCCTCCCTTTTGCATTGTGTGGCACTGGGCACACTTCTGAACAAAAATCTTCTTGCCTTTCTCAGCAACACCCATATTTAATTCTCTTCCATCACTGGTGCTACGAAGGTTCCCTCTCTGAAGCTGGATGTCCCGCTCTTTTGAAAATTACACTTCTAAAAATGAATTCCTTCAAGGATTCTTTTCATTTTAAAGAGAACATTTGCTGTCAATCCACTCTTCTCATTTTATGAGGTCTCTCAGCATTGCTTAGGAAAATTATGATTCACAGAGGAAGGTCTAGCACTAAGATGTTTCCATTGGAGATACTATTATATATTGCTTCTCGGCTATTTGGCTAAGATGAAATATAAGATAGATATGGTGTCAAGGTAGGAGCACAGACTAGGTTTTTGGAGGGTTTGGAGTTCCAGCCCTGACTTTGCTGATACTGTCTATGTGATCTCGAAATTGTCTCTTGACTTTGGGAGTGAGTAGGTGATGTTTCTCTAGGTGATCCTGGAGGGTCCTTTTACCCTTCCAAGTTCTGTAATAATTCCAGTGTTTTTTTAAAATCACCACTATATGGCTTTGCACACCACAGTTTTACAAATGGTATGTATAAGAATATCCAATTTTGAATAATATTGGACATCATCCTGGCACATTTTGTCGAAACGTAGTACACATAGGCTAGCCTTTGACTTTTCATTTGGTACTTTCTGCTTAGCTAATATTTATATACAAGGTAGAACTTGGAAACTTTACTGCACATGGTAGTTGTAAACGTAGCTTGGTTGTGGTAGTGATGCTTGTTTCACTTTCTGTTAACATACAGCCCATGTATGTATTGGGATTTAATAATGTAAGCCATTATAGAAAAATGTCGGATGTAACAGTGATCTCCTCTTGGGCGGCTAAGTGGACAGCTTTAACATCTCTTAAATGTCTTAAAATATTGTGTCAAAAATGGTACAAAAAATGGTAACCAGGTACCAAACCCAGTTTGAATTTAGCATATATCTTTCTTCCATTATTGTAGTTCTTTGTGAAGGCTTTAAATCATAGAGAGATTCTCTCTCTATGCACATGCATGTGTGTGTTTTTGTTTGCTTGTAAAAATTGGTGGTTCACTGAATAGCTAGTGTTATATGGCATTTGTTTGTTTAGACTTTAATCATGAATGAATTTACAGAAACTCTGCTTTAAGCCGCACTAACCAGGCTGTCAAGTAATTTGCTTTTCTTATAGGTATTGGAGCCAACTGTGGAATTCTCAGTCAAATGTACAATGAAACATCTTGAATGTTATTTTGATGCTCTCCCATTTTGTTCAAACAAATTCTGATTAAATCTAGCTACTGGCACATTCTTGCTGAGTCTCTGGTATCACTTGGAAGGAAGGTAGTAGAGGTGTGGATCGCTGAGATACTCCCCTAAGAGAAGTATATCATAGTGTCGTATTGTTTGAAATAGTTTCGTGATTTCTGTCCCAGGATTTTTTTTTGAAACAGGGTCTTGCTCTGTGTCCCAGGCTGGAGTGCAATGGCGCAATCTTGGCTCACTGCAACCTCTGCCTGCCAGGTTCAAGCGATTCTCCTGCCTCAGCCTCCCCAGTAGCTGGGATTGCAGGTGCTCACCACCACGCATGGCTAATTTTTGTGTCTTTAGTAGAGATGGGGTTTCACTATGTTGGCCAGGCTCATCTCGAACTCGTGACCTCAAGCGATCCACCTACCTTGGCCTCGCAAAGTGGCATGAGCCACCGCACCTGTCCTGGGACTTTTAACTTAGCTCATTATCACCTTGTTGCCTCCCCTATGTGATCAGTTTCCCTTAACCCTGTTAGCCAAATGACCATGTGACACAAGTTATCTTTACTTTTAATGTTACTGCTTTTTATTTTTTATTTTTATTTTTTTGCTATGTAGCATATAAAATTTCTGAGTTCTAGAAGAATTCCAAAAGCTGTAGAGATGAGAAATTGATATAGCCAATTTGGACACAAGTTAAAAATGAAATCAATACTGTCATTTTTTTGGAAATCTAAAAAGAGAGGGAAAAATGTATCAGGCACCGTTTCTCTAAATTGCTTCCAGCTGCTTGCTTCCTAATATAGAAATATTTATTAAAAGTAGCAGGTTAAAAATTGGATTCCTACAGCAAAATATGAGTGGTTTCATAATTTTGTTAAACAGCAGGAAATAACTGAGATTTTTGTCACTATAGTGGCTTTGTTTTTTTCGAGGGTCATGGTGTAGAGCAAATACATATTTCCCAGCCAGGCGAACAGAACAGTAAATGGCCTGAACAATTTAAACAAACCAAGGAAAATGTCCTAAGGTAGTAAATAGGGAATTATGGGATTTTCCCTTAACTATTGTAACACTATAAATGTTCAAAGAGGTAGAAGGAACCATTTAAGACAATAAATAAATGAACATGATCATAAAACTTAGTTGGGAATGAGGCTTAAGTAAGGAAAATGGCATGAAAAGAAAGTCAGATAGGGGTTGGGTGAAGAACAGAAATTTACATGTTATCTAGACTAATTGCAGGCACAGTGAAAGATTTAAATAATTATTAGGCCAAAATGCTATAAAGAGGTGTCTTAAAATTAAGAAACTTATGTTAATTCTAACAAGAAATTGAGGAAAGGAAGACAAATATGTTGTAGGTGTTGGAATGAGGGCTTGAGGGAATGCATATCTGGAAAATGAGGGAAACAGTGGAGGGGAATAGAAACTGTGTAGGGGATATATATGAAAGTTGTTTTTCTTAAGATATTTAATTAAGGTGACAGGTACGCATGCTCGGGAAGTTAAAAAGCAATTTCTGGAAAGTGTTCCAAGTTAAACCTGAAGGAGGCACCAGAAATCCTGAAGGAGGAATGTAGCAATCAAAAACATTGTGTAGAATGTTCGTATTGGCAGTATCAATAGAGGTTTTGCCTTATGGTCCTCCTTAACCAGAAGGAAGTTTGAACACAGCTGAGATCACTGCATATCTATGTAGTATTGGTCTGGGGTGGGGAAGAAACAAGCAAGACATAATCATCCATTCTCATTCATGTTCACCTATTAAGATCACTTAAAAATGAATCATGGTTATTTCATAGTAAATAGTTGTCATTGTTGCTCAATATATCATTGTATTCATTGACCATTTTCATCACATTATAGATTAGGATTACAATTTATAAACTACAAGGAAAATAGTAGTGCATGGCCTTATTAATCATACAGAAAAAAGATTAACATTTACTGGTAGTTTGTGTCTTAATATAATAAGGACTAATCAAGCCTTGACAAATGAGTAACTTTGATAGGAAATGTAGGCAGTCATCTGTCGGACTTTGGAATAAATATGAATTATCTATATGATATACACATTTGGAAGGGTTTCTAAATGATTTTCTAGATATAATTCATGAAGTGTCAAGATAAAGAGTCAAGTATTTCATAAAAATTAATTTCATAATAGCTGTGATTCTTATCAGAAGAGAATTAGGGTTGGGGTCTTATAGTTTGAAATAGTACATTTAGTATTTAAAAAGGTTTTTTGATGCGAAAACAATTATTTTTAAAATGAAGCTATGTATAAAGTCTGAAAATCTTTTTTTTAAATTGGTACATTTATTAAAAACATAGACTAATGGTCTTATGCTTAAATGTCTTTGTGGTTGTGTGCTGACTTTCATCCAGTGTAACTAAGGGACTGTTCACAAATACACTCTGGATAGAAGTATAATAATAAACAGAAATGGCTGTCATAGAGACATAGTTCCGTTACAATTAATACTTGCCAGAAAATGGAGCTTGACATTGTTTACTATTATACTAACATTCACAAAAGGCCGGATATCACAGGCATAAGGGCACACCATGACCATGAGACATCCTTTCATACTTCCCAAATAGTTTTATATTTTAGCTATGGACCTCAGTTACCAGAGCCAAACTTGTTCTTAACAAGTAGAATTTTTATGTCCATTCAGTCGAAGAGTGTCTTACACCTTTCTGGGTCTCTTTATTTGCAGATAGGAGTAGAAACTGTAACCAACTTCTTCGCATCTTGCAGTCACATGTGATGCCCAATTTTCATATGCTGCCCAATTAGCGGTGACTTGCAGCAGGGCCACAAAGATGAGGAAGTTCTGTATGGAGGTGATCACATCCGCATGCATCTTCCATTTTGTGTCCTCTGGGTCCAACCTCATTGAGAGGCCCTTGATCCAGAACACTGAAGCTCTAATTCATTGGCTTTCAGCTGCCATGCTCTGCTCTCTGAAAATCTTTCTTAATGGGTCATGGATTTAAAGTTGAAAAAAAGCTATGGGAGTTTCTCAAATTAGCAATTCTCAAACATTCTTAAATTAATAGAAATTCGAAAGGCAAATATTGAGTCAAATTATGATGCTACAATCTTCTAAGGCAGTTTGAGCAGAAATGAAACTATGCATTGTAGAATATGAACAGGGTCAAATACTTTGAAGTTATGTAACTTTGAACAAACTGCTAAATTAATCTAAGCTTTAGTTTTCTAATTAAAAATTTGTAGGAACAAGATTTGACTCACAATTGTTCTGAACATTAAATGAGGTAGTCCATATGTAGTTTATTCACTAATTCTTCTTTCAATCATTATTGAATATTTCCTATATACTAGCCTATCTGTCATACATTGGGGATACAGATAGAATAAAAATTGTCTTAACTCTCATGGGAGTTACAGTCTATTAGGAAAAAGCACAGAAGTAAACAAGTGATTACAATAGGGCTTACTATAATGGGGATGAGAGTGAATGCAGAGTCTGTGTAACAGGCTAATGTAATAGCCATTGACTCAAGAAATTACAGTAACAGAGTTGGGTGGTGGAGGCAGATCTGATTTTCATTTTTCTCTTAATTTACGCATTCCCAAACTTATGCATATGGTCAAGGTTTACTATAGTGTGCTTTCTATTAAACCTTTAAACATAAGATTGGTAAATATGGATATTTTTTAGAAGAAAAATCCTACGAGACTTCTTAAACGATTATAAATTATTTCCATAATTCATAATTTATAAGCGTTGTTTCCTATAATTTTAGTTGATTTCTATTGTGGGCCTTTAATCCTCCTTGTATCTATTGTACCCTTCCCTTGCATTGCCCACCCTGCTCCCCATCCTCCAGCCGAAACTTCTTCTCCTTTAGTCTTGTGTAATTTTAGGACTGTTGCTATAGCCGGTATGTTTGTCTTAGCAAATTAATACTTGTGTAGGAATTCTGAAAAGACAAACTTTGTTCCTGTAATAACATTTTAAGTTGATGCCATATTTTCATTGGCTCTTAAATTTTAAAATTTCATCTTTATTTGTGGTAGAAGACACATAACATAAAATCTACTATTTTAACCATTTTAAAATGTGCAGTTCAGTAGTGTTAAGTGCATTCACATTGATGTACAACCAATCTCCAGAACTTTTCATTTTTCAGATCTGAAACTCTATACTTGTTATGTGGGTCTTAATTTTAAGACTACAGTTCTTACAAAAATTTCACAAACATAATATATTTGCTACTTGCTGGGGGTGGTATTAAGTTTATTATTTGTTTTTAATTTTTTTTTATTTCAACAGGTTTTTGGTGAACAGGCAGTGTTTATTTACATGAATAGGTTCTTTAGTGGTGCCTTCTGAGATTCTGGTGTACCCATCACTGAACAGTGTACACTGTACCCAATGTGTAGTCTTCTCCCTTGCCATCCCCAACCCTTTCCCCCGAGTCTCCAAAGTCCAATGTATAATTCTTAGGCCTTTGTGTCCTTATAAGTTAGCTCTCACATATGAGTGAGAACATTTGATGTTTGGTTTTCCATTACTGACTTACTTTACTTAGAATAATAATCTCCAGTTCCATCCAGGTTGCTGTGAATGCCATTATTTCATTCCTTTTTACGGCTGAATAGTATTCCATTTCTTTATCCACATTTTCTTTTTTTTTGTTTGTTTTTTGTTTTTTGAGACCGAAAAAAATATTTTTCATTTTTCAGATCTGAAACTCTATACCTGTTAGGTGGGTCTTAATTTTAAGACTACAGTTTAATTTTAAGACTATAGCTCCGTCGCCCAGGCTGGAGTGCAGTGGCACAATCCTGGCTCACTGCAACCTCTGCCTCTGGGCTCAAGCAATTCTCTTGTCTCAGCCTCCTGAGTAGCTGGGACTACAGGTGCCTGTCACTATGCCTGGCTAATTTTTGTATTTTTAGTAGAGACGAGGTTTCACCTTGTTGGTCAGGCTGGTCTTGAACTCCCGACGTCAGGTGATCCACCTGCCTTGGCCTCCCAAAGTGCTGGGATTATAGGTGTGAGCCACTGCAGCCTCCCAAAGTGCTGGGATTACAGGCATGAGCCACTGTGCCTGGCCTATCCACATTTCTTTATCCACTCATTGATTGATGGGCGTTTGGGTTGGTTCCATATTTTTGCAGTTGCAAATTGTGCTGCTATAAGCATGAGTATGCAAGTACCTTTTTCATATAATGACTTCTTTTCCTCTGGGTAGATACCTAATAGTGGGATGTCTGGATCAAAAGTACATCAAATGGATCTACTTTTAATTCTTTAAGGAATCTCCACACTGTTTTCTGTAGTGGTTGTACTAGTTTACATTCCCACCAACACTGTAAAAGTGTTCTCTTTTCACTGCATCCATGCCAACATCTATTATTTTTTATTTTTTGATTATGGCCATTGCTGCAGGAGTGAGGTGGTATTGCATTGTGGTTTTGATTTGGATTTCTCTGATAACTAGTGATGCTGAGCATTTTTCCACATGCTTATTGGCCATTTGTATGTCTTCTTTTGAGAATTAGCTATTCATGTCCTTAACTTTTTGATGGAATTTTTTTTTCTTGCCGATTTGTTTGAATTCTTTGTAGATTCTGGATATTAGGCTTTGTTAGATGTATAGATTGTGAAGATTTTCTCCCACTCTGTGGGTTGTCTGTTAACTCTGCTGATTTCTTTTGCTGTGCAGAAGCTTTTTAGCTTTAATTAAGTCCCATCTATTTATCTTTGTTTTTGCTGCATTTGCTTTTGGTTGGTCATAAAGTCTTTGCCTAAGCCAAGTCTAGAAGGGTTTTTCCGATGTTATCTTCTAGAATCTTTATGGTTTCAGATCGTATTTAAGTCTTTGATCCATCTTGAGTTGATTTTTGTGTAAGGTGAGAGATGAGGATCCAGTTTCATTCTCCTACATGTGGCTTGCCAGTTATACCAGCACTATTTGTCGAATAGTGTGTGCTTTCCTCACTTTATGTTTGTTATCTTTGTAAGCACTTGGCTTTATTTCTGGGTTCTCTATTCTGTTTAATTGGTCTATGTGCCTATTTTTATACCAGTACCATGCTGTTTTGGTGAATATGGCCTTATAGTATAGTTTGAAGTTGGATAATGTGATGCCTCCAGACCTGTTCTTTTTACTTAGTCTTGCTCTGGCCACACAGGATCGTTTTTGGTTCCATATTAATTTCAGGATTGTTTTTTCTAGTTCCATGAAGAATTATGGTGGTATTTTGATGGGAGTTGCATTGAATTTGTAGATTGCTTTTGACAGTATGGTCATTTAAAAATATTGATTCTACCCATTTATGGGCATGGGATATGTTTCCATTTGTGTCATCTGTGATTTCTTTCAGCAGCAGTGTTTTGTAGTTTTCCTTGTGGTTTTTCACATCCTTGTTTAGGTATATTTCTAAGTATTTTACGTTTTTTTGCAGCTATTCTGAAAGAGGTTGAGTTCTTGATTTGATTCTCAGCTTGGTCACTGTTGGTGTATAGCAGTGCTACTTTAATTTTGTATCCTGAAAGTTTGCTGAATTCATTTACCGGTTCTGGGAGCTTTTTGGATGAGTCTTTAGTGTTTTCTAGTTATACAATCATATCATCAGCAAACAGCGACAGTTTGATTTACTCTTTACTGATTTGGTTTCCCTTTATTTCTTTCTCTTGTCTCATTGCTCTGGCTAAGACTTCTAGTACTGTGTTGAATAGAAGTGGTAAAAGTGGGCATCCTTGTCTTGTTCCAGTTCTCAGGGGGGGAATGCTTTCAACTTTCTATGTTTAGTATAATGTTAGTTGTGGGTTTGTTGTAGATGGCTTTTATTACATAGATTGGCTATGTCCCTTCTTTGCTAACTGTGCTTAGGATTTTCATCATAAAGGGGTGATGGATTTTGTCAAATGCTTTTTCTGCATCTATTGAGATAATCATGTGATTTTTGTTTTTGATTCTATTTATAGTTTATTACAAAAAGATTTTGTAGATGGCTTTAAAACAAAATATCAAATAGTGTGTTCTTAATTTATACCATAAAGTTAGAGAATATTTGAATTACTGTAATTCATTTGATTTAGGGTGACTGAGGCATTATACTTTGATAGCAGCTGGGCTTGCTTTTTCTTTTTTAAATCATAAACAAGTTCTATTAGAGTTTGGTTATTTAGCCAATAGAAATGTGTATAGTTAAATATGTTTGGACTTTGGGGAAACAGTGTTTATCAATCTTAAGAAATACTCTTATCGGGCTGGGCATGGTGGCTTACGCCTGTAATCCCAGCACTTTGGGAGTCTGAGGTGGGTGGATCACGAGGTCAAGAGATTGAGACCATCCTGGCCAACATGGTGAAACCCCATCTCTACAAAAAATATAAAAATTAGCCAGGCGTGGTGGCAGGCACCTGTAGTCCCAGCTATTCGTGAGGCTGAGGCAGGAGAATCGCTTGAACCCAGGAAGCGGAGGTTGCAGTGAGCTGAGATCGAGCCACTGCACTCTTCCCTGGCGCCACTGCACCCCAGCCTGGTGACAGAGCGAGACTGTCTCAAAAAAAAAAAAAAAAAAAAAAAAGAAATGCTCTTATCTTTCATAGGAGTGGCTTCAGCTATAATAGGTAATCTTAAAGATTTTCTCCAGTGTTGACTCTTCTTTATTTTGTTGGTTTACTTCACTTTTAGATAAAATGGTTTTCATTATAAATTATTAGTTGGCCCAAATGGGAGCTACTTTAAGGAAACATAAAAATCTGATTTCTTTGGACTGTCTTTAATTCTAACTTTTATTTTCCTGTGATTTTTGCTTTTCATTTAAAATATCATTTTTTAACAATAGTTTTATTTTCTTTTGTAGGATATGTAGTAGTAATGCTTATATTAGTTTTTTTCATTGATTATATTTTGAATTTTCTTGTAGCCAATGTTAGCTAACATGGTCCTTATGATAAGAACCATTATTGGTTTTGTGACTGGTGGTGGCAGCAGTTCTTTTATCTTCCAGATTATTTCCAGTAACTTTCTACACCTATCATAGGACACTGAGAGTGACTACCAATTTTGTATTTTATGATACTTTCCTTTTAGCTTTTTAAAGTCTAGCATACGTGTTGTAGAAGAGGTGCAAATAGAAATGAAAGTCATATTTTGATGTTTTACATATTGTCAGCTAATCTTTCATTGTATTTCTTAGGGCTGCTATAAATTTCATTCTTGTACCAATAATACAAAATCTTGTCAAAAAATATAACTCCTATCTAATAATAGATATATTTTATATTTTTTGTTAATGAATTGAAGTATAAAAAGTAATAACACTCTATTTCTTGTCCAAGAGTCATTTTTTTAAAAATTCTAAAAAAGTAAAATCTGCACTTTAAGAAGTTAAATTTAGTTTTTAAAAATCTTCTAGTTGGAAAACTAAAGTTTGGTACACACCCAGAAAACATTTACTAAAATTGATTACATAAATTAAAAACTTCATCTTCACAAAAACCAAATCATAGCGAAATAACAAGATTACCTTGTATGGCAAAAGTCTAAATATAAATAATGAGATGTGGAAAACTACTGAAGCATTGTTAACAAATGAAGAGATTTCACAACTTGATAAATTAAATGCCAGGAATTCATTAGAAATACTGGCAGATAATACAAATGGTGCATAGAAAAATAATGCCTTTGAAAAGATGTTCTGTCATACGTAAAATAATACAACTGCAACTTAAAACTTCCCCGAGGTACTCTGTTTCACCTAGTTGATTGGCAACATAAAGCCTAATAATATACTTAGCTGCAGATGCAGTAAATCAATTCCTTATAAATCTTTGGTGGGAATATAAGTTTGTATAACTTTGGGAGGATTATTTGGAAATATATTTCAAAATTTAACTATACATACTCTTTGAGCACTTTCACTTTTAGAAACTTAACCTGGATATATAAAAGCACATGTGTATGAATAGATATAATCAAGGCTTTTAATTGCTGGAGGTAACTCTTTTAGTAACTTCATGTTTTTCCTGTGTACTTGAATATGAATGGAATCTCTCTGGAAGGATACAGAAGCTGCTAACAGCACCTGATCCTTAGGAGAGAAACCGAGGTTGCTGAAGAGGACATGAAAAACAACCTTTTAACTTAAGTACAATTTACAGAATACATGTGCATGTATTACCTGCTAAAGTTAATATTAAAAAGAATGACGTGGAACTAAGACTCTCTTGTCAGCCATGTGTAAAATACACCATCAGTGGACAGCACAGGTGTTTAGCACATCACTGATGTGCTGGTGATGCCACAGTGTGTTAGCGTTTGCCACTCAATTCAAACATCTCTCCCTCAAAAGGAAGTTCCTTGACATGCTCTTCTCACCCCTGACTACCTAGGACAGTCATATTCATTTATTCTGTGTATTTTTTCTAAGATTATATATATAATTAATGTTTTGTTCTAGTTGTTTCATATCTTTTTCCATAGATAGAGTTGGGCTCTGTGAAGGCTGGGAGTCCACCCCTCTTGCACTGCTGCGTCCTCACTATGTAGTATGATGCCTTGGATGGCGCTGACATTTGCAGCATCTTTGAATGAGTGAAGAATAATTCTAGAGTATCAGACAAAGCCAGAGCCTAACAGGAAAATATGATAAGCCTCTTCTCACCCATGTGGGCATTTCTGTTCCTTCTAACAGTGGCTTCCCTAAAACAAATAAAAAGTTTTACTTCTTCAGGGGGGCAGGACACAGAACTCTTTCAGAAACCAATATAAACCATAAAAGGCAGAGATGCAAATACCTCTACATTTTGTCATGTAATTTTAGTGGCTTCATGGATTTCCCTAAAGCTCTTCAACTTGACCACCTCACTTAAGGATCCACTCTGCAGGATTGTTTTTTTTGACCTTTATTCCACTGACAATTTTTGGTTTCATTTTTCTGATTTTTCCCCCTTCTTTCTAGACTGGGCTATTGTGTTTTATGAACATTTTCAAATGTACAGAAAAGTAGTAAGAAGTATACTTTTGGACACCCAAACGCCCAACATTCCACCATTCATATTCTACAGTTAACCTTTTACTGTATTTCTCTCTGTCTTTCTTTGCTTTTTTGAAACAGTATCTTGCTCTTTGATCCAAGCTAGATTGCAGTGGAGTGATCACAGCTCACTGTAGTCTTGACCTCCTGGGCTGAAGTGATCCTCCCACCTCAGCCTCTTGAGTAGCTAAGACTACAGGCCTGTGCCACCAAGCCTGGCTAATTTTTTTTTTTTTTTTTTTAATTTTTAGTAGAGACTGAGTGTCACCAAGTTGCCCAGGCTGGTCGTGAACTCCTGGGCCCAAGAGATTCTCCTGCCTTGGCCTCCCCAAATGCTGGTTACAGGCATGAGGCACCTACCTACCATATTTTCTTTATCACATAACTATCCATCTATCTCTCCATCCTTTTTTATTTAGTGCATTTGAGTAAGTTGCCAATATCATTACACTTTCCTCCATATACTTCAGCTTGTATGGCATTAACTACAGTTCAATATTGTTTATAGGACTCTTTTTTGAGACAGAAATTTATATACAATGAAATGCACAAATCTTACATGTAACATTTGATGAATTTTGACAAATACATACACCTGTGTAACTCAAACTTATCAAGATCTAGACCACTGCCATGACCCCAGAAGGTTTACTCATGTTCTTTCCTAGTACTTTTTGTTTACTGGTTTATGTGATTATAATTTACTATGTTACATTTATATTACAGTGATCCCTTAAGTTTATACTGTCTGATCAGCATTGCTTCTGTCTTTAGATGAGGTCTGATGGAGATCCAAGGTCCTTAAGAATTGTCCTAGCCAGATCGAGACCATCCTGGCTAACACAGTGAAACCCTGTCTCTACTAAAAATACAAAAAAATTAGCCGGGCGTGGTGGCGGGCGCCTGTAGTCCCAGCTACTCCGGAGGCTGAGGCAGGAGAATGATGTGAACCCGGGAGGTGGAGCTTGCAGTGAGCCGAGATCGCGCCACTGCACTCCAGCCTGGGCGACTGAGCAAGACTCCATCTCAAAAAAAAAAAAAAAAAAAAAAGAATTGTCTTAGCCCTAAAACAATTAAGATGTAGTAGGAGTCAGTAACAAAGTCACCAGCCCTGGTGGTTGTGTTGATGGTGGTCTCTAAGCCTTTGTGAGGAAAAGGAGGTGTAGGAATACTGACGAGGCTGACAGAAGTGGGGGTCTTATTAATCCCTTGTGTTCACAGGGGTCATACAGGTTATTTTTTAGGTGAACAGGTTTACTGCCACTGTATTTTTTTCCATTTTAGATGTTTTACCACCGCACAGCTTACTCAGTTACTCTCTGAAGTGAGATAAGGAAATGAGGATTATAGTAACTGAGGAAGAACAATAGTCACACATCTTAGAATAAGCATAGTGGTGGAGAGAGGGTAGGCACAGCAGTTTAGAGCCTTTTGCCACCAGTTGGTGATATTTGTGGAGTCACGGACCCCTGGGAGGTGGAGGAAGTGGAGAATGTCCAGTGGGAAGAAGAAATCTAAAACTTAATCTGTTGTCGTAGAAGTCTTGTGATGTGTATATAGTGATTATATTACCGGAAGGAGGGCCTTGAGTGAGTTGTCCAGGTTCTTGGCATTTTGAACAAAGAATTGGACAAAACGCACAAAATAACAAATGAATGAAACACAGGAAAGAAGCAGCGAAAGCAATAATTTATTAAGGCTAGAAAGCACTCCACAGGGTGGAAGTGGGCTCGAGCCAGTGGCTCAAGGGCCCGTTACAAAGTTTTCTGGGTTTTAAGTACTTCTTTTGAGGTGCCTATCAGTTAGCCCTTATCTGGATGAAGGATTTGGTCCGTGCCTAATTAAAGGCTGAGGTGAATTGGCACCCTGTGCAGATGAAGGGATAGTCCCTGCTTGGCCAATCCAGGGTACTTTTCCTTTCCATTTGAGGCGTGGTGGGGGGTGGGGGGATTGTAGGGAGAGTAGCCTTTGATCGTTTGTTACTCCATGTTGGGAGATGGGGGTTTTCCTTTGGTTTAGCTTTAGGAAGTTTCAGAAAGTTTGTGTTAATTGGCCTTACGGTCCCCGCCCCCAGACCCAGGTGTTTTCCTTTTGATCCAGGTTTAGGAAGTAGCAGAATTGGTCTCAGGTTCCCTGCCTCCAGACCTTGGTGTTTTTCTTGATTCAGCAGGAATTAGCCTTAAGTTTCCTGCCTCCAGACCCTATTCTCCAGCCTCAATTATAGCATATTAAATGTCTCTGATATAATAAAAGTTACCTCAGAGGCAATTAATCTTTTCATTAGCTTTATATGGGTTGGAGATGGTAGTAACTTCTTAAATATGACATAATTTGTGGTCTGAGAAATAAATGTAACTAGATACTATAGCTTTCATGTTGAATCGGAAATACAAAGTCAGTGTTTTAGTAATACCCACATAGTACAACCATCATTGTCAAAACAACTTTCTTGTAGTTAAATCATAATATTATTGCAGATGCACTAGCTATTTTCATAACCGTGACCATTATCTAAAAATATAATACATTGATAACTTGGCACAAGTCTTTATAGTAGGTTTGTTATTTTTAATTGCATGGTGGTTTTTTTGCTTATTTATTTATTGAGACAGAGTCTTGTTCTTTTGCCTAGGCTGGAGTGCACTGGCACAATCTCAGGTCACTGCAACCTCCGCCTGTCAGGTTTAAGCGATTGTCATGCCTCAGCCTCCTGAGTAGCTGGGATTACAGGGGTGCGCCACTATGCCCAGCTAATTTTTTTATATTTTTAGTAGATTCGGGGTTTTGCTGTGTTGGCTGGGCTGGTCTCGAACTCCTGACCTCAAGTGATCCATCTGCCTCTGCCTGCCAAAGTGCTGGGATTATAGGTGTGATTCACCACACCCGGCCTTGGTGGTTTATTTTTAAGCATTTATGTATTCATCATTGTTAATATCTCCTTATTAAATGATTTGCTCTTTTTTGTGTGTACTTACTACCATAATGTAACAGTTGTGACCAATGCGCTGCTTCCCAAAGCTTCTGGTAATTATAGATAAATGTTCTAGATTGGTCCCTCCTCTCTTTTCCTTGTGTGATTCCCTATGGTACAGAGTTAAAAATCAATCAACTAGGGAGACTGCAGTCGGGTATTTTGCAAAGTAAGCCTTTATGCAGTTGGCTTGATCTCTCTATGTAGCACAAAATCAATGTATAAAAGTGGTATTTGAGATTTATTGAATACTTTTTCATATGTTTTACATTTACTTTTTAATCCTCCCAATAACTGTATGAGGTAGATACCATTGGTGTCCTCAACTTACAACTAAACCCAGAGGTTAGGTAATGGTAACTAATCTCATATAGCTTATTAGTGATAGAGCTTGTGCTCAAATACATTTTCCTAACTACTACACCAAAGACTTCTTATTCTGTCTAATGGAAGCTGCATTGGGTTAAGTACCACCAATAGTAATACTAGCTGTAATTTGAGGAGGATAATCCAAATCCTCAGACCTGGGTTATGTCTTGTCACTTTCTCATCAAAGCAGGTTATGCTATGACCTCTTCCAACCCCCTATCTCAGGGGGTCTGCTCACCATTCACTTAGCATAAGTAAGCAGTGGCTTTGAATTTTTAGTATCTTGCTGTAGTGGTTTTAGGTTGTGAGCTAGGTCCTAATCAGTACTTCCTGTTAAGTGTTTTCTGCATCTCACCTTTGGATACAGCTTTTTTTTTTTTTTTTTTTTTTTTTTTTTTTTTTTAGGCAAAGCCTTGCTCTGTCCTCAGGCTGAGGTGGAATGGTGTGATCTTCACTCACTGCAGCCTCCACCTCCTGGGTTCAAGCAATTCCCCTGCCTCAGCCTCCTGAGTAGCTGGGATTACAGGCGCCCGCCACCACACCCAGCTAATTTTTTTATTTTTAGTAGAGATGGGGTTTCACCATGTTGGCCAGGCTGGTCTCGAACTCATGACCTCAGGTGATCCACCTGCCTTGGCCTACCAAAGTGTTGGGATTACAGGCGTGAGCCACCATGCTCGGCCTGGACACAGTTTAATTGTCATTGGATATTTTACTGTGTTCCTATGGTAAATTACTATAATTGGAAGAGGAATGTTGCAACGTTGCAAACAATGTATGGCAATCATTTTGCTTTCCAAGTATACATTTTCCTACTCTAAAAACTTAAGTTTGCAACTGCACATTTTAAGATATGTATGAAATTTTGACTGGAAGATAGCTTTATTTATCTTATGCCCATTTATTATATTATGTAATTTTTAGTCCTTAAATATTATCAAATAGCACAGTTCTAGTAATAGAGAAAATGTAAACGTTATTGGTTTACTAGCCCTCCTATTAATGCTTAAACTCTTTTAGGTTTTGGGAGGAGTTCTTAGTTAATAAGTCAAATAATGTTATTCCTGGACAGTGTTTTCAATGCTTCTCATTAGCCAATGAGTAATAAATGTACCCAGTTTTGAGAAGTATATTGCCAGAGTTGGATTGTTAATATAAAGCAACCATTTTCCTAATCATCTGTGTTTTTTGTATGTTCTCACACAGAAGAAAGAACCTTCTAAATCCAGCATCAAGAAAAAAATGACCAAAGTTGCAGAAGCAAAAAAAGTAATGAAGAGAAATTTTAAAGTGAATAAGAAGATAACATTTACTGATGAAGGGGAGGTAAGATTCTAGAAGTGTTTCATTTCTGAGGTGCATTTGGAGTATTAGAAGAGATCGACTCTCTCTTACTTAGCACTCATTAATGATAGAGTAAATGTTTCTCTACAGCATGCTGGGCCATTCCTTTCACTGTTACTGTAGGCTGTACATCAGCTCTACTGCTGTGAACAAGGATGCCTTACTGCCAATAAGCCGAGATACTTCTTGGTAATACTGACACAGAGTTGGTTTTGAACTTTCTAGATTATGTTTTTATAGATAAGGTTTTCTCTTCATGGTATTGAACATTATGTTCTATGGAACAGACATGAGAATGCTAATACATCTACTTGCCACAGCTTCTTTTGCTTCACTCAGAAAAGCTTCTGCTTTGCACTTCCTCAATTTTAAATGCTGTACTTGCATATATCTTGCTGGACTGGCTATGGGAGGGAATTCTCTGCTTTATAAAGTAGTCTCAGACACAGAGGTGCCTTGTTTAAATTCACCTTTCCCTTAGCCGTATTGTAAATACATACCCATAGTATAGGGAAGGGATTACCACTCACAGGTTACTCATGAAAGTTCATGCTATTATGTAACAGTTGTCTTCATTTTAAAATGATGAAATAGATCCAGTATGTCAAGTGACTTACCTAAGGAGTGGTTACAGTAGGTAGGGTCTTTTGAATATCATCTCATGGCCTCATTCTCACCAGCGCAGGTTTTCCTGACTATCCTCATATTAGCACAGAGCACCTTACCTCCATCATAGCCTCATTTCTCTCACCCTGCCTCACTTTTCTTGACAGCACTTACTTTGTGACTTCAGTCTATATTTGACTATTGTCAGTTTCTTCCACTCCACTTCTTCTTGAGAGGAAGGTATTTTGTTGATTTTGTTTACTATTCTGTCCCCAGCACCTAGAAAGGTACCTAACATAATAAGCCCTCACAAAAATTTATTGATTGAATGAAACATCTATTTCAATAAAATAACAGCTTTTCATATTAACTAATGTAGCACATCATATATTTCATCATCATTAACATAAAGACTGCTTAAGCAGCCTCTCCAGTGGAGTATGATTCCTTTTAATTTTGGAGTTAAAGTTTTGGATGTTATTTTGGGATGTATAAATCAGACGAAAAGTCACAAAATCGTGTGCCATTCAAAGGTGGTGGAAGTTGAAGAGGAAGCGTATCTAAATGACAGATAATGAGTCTTTATGAAGTTACGAAAAAGAGGTCAGCACCTGAGAAACAGACTAAACTAGAATAGTCATATGACATCTGATGTTCACTGTAAAATGAGATGAGTGCTGTTGGTGTAATGAGGTTCCTTAGTATGCTACTAAGTTTAACTGCATAAATTATACCAATTAGCTCCAAAATGAATGTAAATCCTCAACTATAAAATGTTTCAATGTGTACTTAGTGCTAATAGGAAATGTTTGTGGCTGTGAGCCATCCTGAAACTTCTGACTTAAAGCTCTGAAAGAAATGCCACTATATATATTTTTCTAGCCCATAGAAGGATAAACTTTTTGCCCTCTGATTGCAGTGGGGATGAGGAGTCCAAGTAACATGATATTCATATTGTTAAAACTGATCCCTCGCATTGCCTCTTTAGGGTCAGTGACTGCTAGCATGGCTGCTCAGTGATATTTATCAACCCCATTGGTTGCTAAAAGTTGAGGCTCCATAGGAATCTCATCTTGAAGAATGGTTATGGTGGCCACAGAGTGAGAGAGGAGACATTAATACCTGCGATGTGTGTGCTTGCAGTTTCCATTTGCTGGCAGGTTAATTAGCAGTCTTTCAAAACAATGGTAGTTATTTAAATCTTTCTGGCAACTAATTATTAGATAAAACAAGAGTTATTGTTGTCTGAATTGTCTATAGAGTTTTGTGGTGTTAGACTTAGAAATTACTGAGTCAAATAAACCTCTGTTTTTCTGGAAGGGACACAGATATCCAGAGATTAATTTATTTCGCATTACATAGTAATGAAAAAGCCAGGACATTTAGACAGGTCCCCTCATTAGCAGATCAGTGCCCCATCTTCTAGGTCACCTTGTTCCTTACCCTAAACTGTATGTGTAAAATATGTGGATTTGAGCAAGCCTGTGAAACCCAAACTGATTTTCTCCTTTTCAGTTAGTTATTTCAGTCATTATGTAATGTTAGTTGGTATGTGATTCATTGATCCATTTTGAGCACCTGTTTAATATGTGCCAGATACTATGTTGGGCTCCAAGGATAAATGAACAAGACATACAACTGCCCTCAAGGAGATTAATTCTAGTAAGAGAAACAGGAACATAAAACAACGCAGTGCAATGAACTTTGTGTGACAGTAACACACTGGGTACCATGGAAGCCCAAAGGAGGTACAGCCTGTGTCCTACTCAGCCCGACTCCTACTGTGTGCAGATAATTTTGAGCTGAGTTGTGTGGAGAATAGGATACTAAGAATGCTGTTTGGAAAGATGCTGGAGCATCTCTATTTTGTGACTGCCTTCTCTTCCAAATTATTTGGTGAAATTTTCTTTTAATCCTGTTCTCATTGGGTATGGCAGTGTTACTTTACTCTGACTAGGGCAGTCTCTTCTATGGCTTGAAGTTGATTAGAAGATTAAATAATACAGATTAGATTGTAAGGCAGAAAATGGGTATCTGCACCTTTTCAGAATCATCAGACAAAATGAAGTGTCTTTCTGGGGTATTCCCTACTTCCTGTTGACACTGACCTTTTTTTTACCTGTAGTTGGTTCAGCAGTGGCCACAAATGCAGAAATCTGCCATCAAGGATGCTGAGGAAGATGATGACACAGGTGGTATCAACTTACATAAAGCAAAGGAAAGACTTCAGGAAGAGGACAAATTTGACAAAGAAGAATATAGGAAAAAAATTAAGGCAAAGCATCGGGTAAGCTTTCCATCTTGAATTCATACTGAGTAAAATTTAGTGTCCCGAAGTATATCTAAATATTCATTAGCTATTCATTAATAAGTGTATTATTTTCTTCATTGTTTTCTCTGACACTTCTTTTTCTGTGGCTACTCTTTTTTCTGTTTATTTGTTCCTTTGCTGGGGGAGTCTGTATATTGACTCGTTTCTGAGAATGCCACTTAAATCTGTCTTTGGTCTGAGGTGATCTAAATAATATTAGTGGATTTGTTGTTATTATTACAGTTTTTATTTTGAGATAATTGTGGTTTCACTTGTAGTTGATAGAGATATCCCAAGCTCTCCATTTCAATAATTTTGTCATTACTGGAATGTTTTATATAAAACTATGCAGTATGTAGCTTTTTGGAATTGGCTTTTTTCACTCAGCATTATTCTATGGAGACAGAGCCAAGTTGTGTGCATCAGTGCTTTGTTCCTTTTATTACTAAGTAATGTCCCATCGTATGGATGTACTGAGGTTTGTTTCACCATTCAACCATTGGAAAAGATTGATGGTGTTTCCAGATTCAACTTAATAAATTTCCATATCAATTACTTGATAATACATTAAATTTATTATATTAAAATTGGAGACTTTGTAAAACTTCTATAAAAATAAGCATGTGCCCTTGTGGTCTTGAACTTGGCAGTTTTCTGTTATCCTTGATATAGTGGTCACACATGATATTGTTATACCATTATACTACTTAATTCCCTAGAAGTGAACATTTCACTAGATAAAAAAATGAATTAATGAAATAAAGCAGATTGACATTTTTTAAAGAACTTTCTTTAGCGTGCTTTTGATACAGTGATTTCAGGGTGACACAGTGAGAAACACCTGAGAAACACTGCTATATAATATTAAATTTTGTATTAAGAACAAAATACCTTTGGATGTGAACATTGTTAAGTACATTCTGAGAAGGATTCTTAGAGCTTTTCACTCCTATTTGACCTTTCATGGACCAGTACACACTTTTTTATAAAAATAGAACAGCAATTCTCATTTCTTTATTTTAATATTTGATGCAGCTTCAGAGTAGCATTTGATGAAAAAGTAGATATTGGAGATAGCTTTAGGGATGGAAAATGAATGTTGAGAAAAGCATTCCAAAAATATGGAGAACAGATGAACCTGAAACGTACTGGTTGTAATTGTTGGATATTTATGTTAATGAGAGAACTAAGCATTTCTTGCATTGCTGCTCTTAGTGCAGCAATTAAATTGAAATTTGATATTAGCAATTTGTTAAAATCTTTAATATTAAGAGTATCAGGAGCTTGTCATGTTTCAGCTTGCAATCTACTTAGAGTATTTATCCAGGGGACAACTGGGCAAGAATGTACTGCATTTCTAAGTTGTAGCCAGCAGTAAAAGAAATATGAAGGATTTACATAAAATAATGTTCACCCTCTTCCCCTTCCTTGCCATCTCTTTTCTCCCATGTGGAAGTTGTTACTATATCCATGTCATTGAATATTGTTCTGGAAACCTTTAGAAAGTTAATTTCAAATTGGCAAATTGTACTTGTTTTATACAGTGTTAATGTTTGCTAGGCTCTGCCATAGGCTGTGAACATAGAATATTTAAAATATGTGGGTGCTGCTGAGTGGGTGCAGTAGTTTGCACCTGTAGTTCTGGCTACTTAAGAGGCTGAGGCAGGAGGATAACTTGAGTCTAGGAACTTGAGGCAGTAGTGTGCTATAACTGCACCTGTGAATAGCCACTCATTAATAAAAGGCAATATAGCAAGATTCTGTCTCTTTAAAAAACAAAAACAAGAAAAAACTAACATATGTACGTGGGTCCCTCCATCTTCAGGAAGATTATAATTAAGTCTTAGTTAACTGGATATGCTGTTACTGCACAAAAGCTGCTTGCACATCCTTTTTTTTTTTTTTTTTACATAAAATGTTTTGGAATGAATAATATATTCACATGGCTCAAAAATCAAGATAAAAAAATTGCACATTGGCTGGGCGCGGTGGCTCACACCTGTAATCCCAGCACTTTGGGAGGCTGAGGTGAGTGGATCACGAGGTCAGGAGTTCAAGACCAGCCTGACCAACATAGTGAAACCCCATCTACTAAAAATACAAAAATTAGCTGTGCATGGTGGCACACACCTGTAATCCCAGCTACTCAGGAGGCTGAGGCAGGAGAATTGCTTGAACCTGGGAGGTGGAGGTTGCAGTGAGCCGAGGTCGTGCCACTGCACTCCAGCCTGGGCAACAGGAGTGAGACTCCATCGAAAAAAAAAAAAATTGCACATTGAGAATTCATGCTTCTGCCTATATCTGTCTGTCTTATTCATACCTACACCCTTATAGCTAACTACTTTTAATTTTAAACATGTCCTTTCACTTTCTTTATGCAGATAGAAATAAATAGGAATACATATTTTTTCTTCTTTTCTTATATGAAAGGTGTATCGTTGTGCACTTTTCCATTTTCGCTTAGCTTTGAGCTTGTAAATGATTTTCTTTGCATCATTATTAGAACACAGCATGTGATTTTTTAGACTGTCTCCATGACTATCTCATAGCAAGGTTGAACAGAACAGTTTTGGGCTGACGAAGTTGTGAGAGAAATCACTTGAACTTTACATATAGCTGGTTTTGAAACCAGTACTTCTGTGACTACAAGAGTCACAGTATTTTTTTTTTTAAAGTGACAACTTTCTATTTTAAGGAAAATAGGTGTATTCTGCACAAGACATACCTTCCAAATAGGATTTTGAAAATCTTACCTGGAAAAAAAGCACAAAGAAACAAAGAAATAATTAGAATAGTTTTCTCTATTCGACTGATATAAATGTTACCTGACACATGATTGATTTTATAGTATTTTCATTGGTAAACACACATATGTATTTGTGTGTATTAGAGAAAACTTTGCAGTCGTGAGTACTGTAGCATTAGCATGTTTACTACAATAGCATACATAAGGCACAAATATGGGCACTCAAATCATTTATGCACCAAGCTGTCATAGAGTGGATTTCTACCCAGGAAATAAGGAATGTTTTCTTAAGTGGCACATCTTCACATGTGGGAAAGTGAAGCAGTGATGTTTGTTGGGAAGAATACTGTGCTGTACTGTGGAATAACCTGTACTTGAGTCCTCAGTGTGGAATTAGTAGGTTGGTGAAAAAGTAATTACAGTTTGTACCCAGTCCAGTTTGGATTACTAGTCACTGACTGGGACTTTGCTTTCCTAATCTGAAAAATTAGGGAGTAGGAGTGGGACTTAGTGCCAGATGTCAGTGAGATCCTCTGGCTCCATAGATCTAGTTAAGACATGGGAATAAAATCATCCTTAACTGTTTGGAAAATAAAATTTTGATTTGTAATTTTTTTCTCCCTGACAAGTCAGGTTGCTTGCTTTACTTGATGAAAAGAGTTTCTTCCTGCCGGGCACGGTGGCTCACGCCTGTAATCCCAGCACTTTGGGAGGCCGAGGTGGGCAGATCACAAGGTCAGGAGATCGAGACCATCCTGGCTAACACAGTGAAACCCCATCTCTACTAAAAAAATACAGAAAAAAAACCAAAATTAGCCAGTCGTGATGGCGGGCGCCTGTAGTCCCAGCTACTCCGGAGGCTGAGGCAGGAGAATGGCATGAACCCGGGAGGCGGAGCTTGCAGTGAGCCGAGATCGCGCCACTGTACTCCAGCCTGGGCGACAGAGCCAGACTCTGTCTCAAAAACAAACAAACAAACAAACAAACAAACAAAGACTTTCTTCTTTACTTATTTCCAGTAACTTTTAAAACTTTACTTTAAAAACTAAATATATTATTAATCCTGCACAAATTACTTTGCTTTAATTAATTGCTTTACTTGAACACATTGTTGGTTTTTGAAGTCACATTTTTTTCCTAACTGAGTATACTACTACTATAATGACAATTCTTAGTTCTTTTAGTGTAGGGTTTTGCCTTGGGCAAATATAATTCTGTTTCCCTTTGAGGCTGTCACTCATAATTTTGTTACTTCTATGAAAGTATATTGAGAAGAACTGTATGTCCCCAAAGAATATTGAAAATACTGACAACAGGGTCTAGGGGAAGCTTTACTTCAGGAAGACAGAAAAAGGTGACGAAACTTTTGACCCAAAGTTGTGAATAAGGGATGTGCCTGAATGAATTTTGCATATGAAAAAAAAACTTCGTAAAACCTATCACATGCTTCTGTATTTGACACATTTCTTTTAATGTATATTAATTGTAAAAGATTTTGTAAGCCTTGGCATTTTTTTTCAGCATGTTCAAAATATTTTATTATATATTTGGTTTAAAGGATAGGATATTTAATATGTAAGTGAATTTAGTCTTAATGATTCTGTTTGGAAGTAGTTGTTTGCTCTTGCGTTTAAAAGTTGACAGCCTTGAATCATAGCTTTGCATGTGCACTCATTCTTAGTATAGTAGGATTCAACTACTCATTTTGTCCTACTTGTTTTTCCCTCATACTATTACACCTGTCTTTGAATCACATTTTTCATCTACCAAGTTCTGAAAGCTATATAATTTCTAATGTGATTCAAGTAAATCTTTGTCTTAAAGATTTAGAAAACTGAATTATAACAATTTTTTACATTTATTGTTTATTTTAAAATTTTATGTTATCTTTAATTGACACATAATAATTGTATGTATGGGGTACAATGAGATATGTCATTACATGTATATGTTGTGCAATAATCAAATCAGGCTAATTAACATAACCATCACTTCAAATATTTATCATTACTTTGTGGTGAGAACATTTAAAATCCATTCTTTTAGCTATTTTGAAGTATATAATACATTATTATTAACATGGTCACCAAGCTGTGCAATAGATCATCAGAACTTATTCCTCCTGTCTGATGGAAACTTTATACACTATAACCAACATCTTCCCTTTGCCCATCTCCCCTGCAAGCCTTCCACCCAGTCCTTTGGTAACCACCATTCTACGCTCTACTTCTGTGAGCTCTTACGAAGTCTGCTTCTATGAACTGGATTCCACAGATAAGTGAGATTGTGTATTATTTACCCCTCTGCCTGGCTTATTTCACTCTGCTAAATGTCTTCTTGTTGCAAATGATGGAATTCTGTATTTTCCTTAAGGCTGAATAGTATTCCATTGTACATATATATGCTACATTTATTTAATCCATTGTTTGTTGATGGGCACTTCAGTTTTTCCACATCTTGACTATTGTGAATAACGTTGCAATAAACATGAGAGTGCAGACATCTATTTGACATACGAATTTCAATTCCCTTATATATAAGAGATCTAAAGGTTCTAACTGGTTTAGAGTACAAACCAGACCAGACCAGACCAGACCAGACCAGACCATATAGTTTAATGGCATCACTGGGAGTAGAACTCAAGCTGCCTGCTTGCCAAAATTCATAGCTGCTACTCTGGACTTCAGGTATCCTTCTGTAACTGCTTTGGATCATTTAGCAGCTTTAGTTGCTCTTCATGAGTTGTCGTTGTAGCCTTTAAGCACCGCTTTCTTATGAGACCACCCCAGCCTTCAGCTTTGTCTGGCACTTATAGGTAGCTGTGCTTAAATAGGTCTGTTATTTTTATTTTCTCTTTAGAACCTCTGGAATCAATCATTGGAAATAAAAATACAGCAAAAGCTGTAACATTTGCATATGAAACCATTAGTAAACTAGTAAACTGTAAAGACAAAATGCCACTCTTACATACAAGCAATGTGTTTTCTAATAATTCAGTCAGAACTGTTGAAAGATAGGCCATGGATCCTATTTTTGAATGATTTTTACTTCAATGGAGTGAAAATCTGCTCTGTGTTGTGTCATCATTCTTAGTTCTGAAAGATGACTTGTACTGAAGGTGATAATATTTGCTATCACAGCTGAGAATAGAGAAAAACAATTCATTATGAAGCTCTTTCATTCCCTTGAAATTCGAGTGCTTTATCTATATCGGATTATGAATTTAGATAACATAAACATGTCAAGATGTGGCTCTGGACTACTTCCAGAGATGGTACAGCATTACTCTAGGTTCCATTTACTACCAGCATGAACATTAGAAAGTTAAGAAAGAATTAAAGGAAGACTTTAGAAAATCTATCTTGTTTTATTGTTGTTGACACATAATTAAGTTGGCATGGAATCCAGATGACTTAACCATAAATTTTTGTGATAGTTAAGAAAGAGGGAAACTGTAATCAGGCATCTGAGGAATAGTAGCCACAAGAATATTAACAAGTAACACTTGCTTAACTGGACCCTGCAGTAAGTTTACATGTATCGTCATATTATATGCTAATAATTAACTTCTGAAATCAGTGAGCTAGCATCATTTTTACAGATTACAAAACTAAGACTTAGAAGGGTCAAGTAATGTGTCCAGAACCCTGCAGCTTGCAAACAGCAGCCCTGGGACTCTTACCCCAAGGTCTTTGTTACTCTTTAAACTTTATGCTTTTTAACTATTCAGCTGTGTTGCTACCTATTTCAAGCCATCAGACGTTCTTTTACAGGAGGGTAACTCTGAAGCAGTGAATTAAAACGTGGAGGATGATCACAAGAGTAAAGGGTTTTGAAGAACAGATGACAAATAATGGAGATTTTTCATGTTTCCAGAACAAGGTCATTGATCTCTAATAAATTAAGAATAAATTAAATGTTGTGGTTAGTAGTATAGTTTAAGACTCCATACTAATACCACTTATTCCTGAATGTTCATTGCATAGCTAGATATGTACATATACTAGTGCCAGAATCCATTTTTCCATAGCTATGGCCATTTAAGAGTCTAAAGTAAGAGCCAGAGACTGGTCTGGCTCACATGGTCCTTAATGAAATTTTACTAAGATCAGAAGTGTCATCTTGAGGACAAGGGACTCAGTATCTGGTGCCTAATTCTGAAATGGATGTTGTGAATGAAGCTTATTTATATGAGAGGATAAAAGATCCTTTTCATGACAACCCTTTTTCCTTCTAGTTTCAGCCCTTCTACTGTCACAACCAGGTTTATTATTAAAATGGAAGCCAACCTGTTGCTATAGAACATTTGCCTATCATTTGGAGATGTCTGCCTGGGGAGGTGTCTGTTCTTACTCTCATGAGCTTATAACATCTAGTGACATTTAGCTCAATATCTTGGTGTTTGGGCTCTCTTTATATCCAGCATCGAAAATGAGACAAGTATTCAGAATTACATAAATCTGATCTATTTTCATGCTTCCTTTTGGGGATTTTTTTAAAAACCATATGGTGTTGGAGAGGTGGGTTGGTTATTAGGTTGATGGTGAGTAGGTAGAGATTGGGGTTGAGGAGCAGGGAGCAGTTTGGTGCCAGTGGAATCAGGGAGTCTGATAGGATTAAGTTATAAACTGCAAAGGGCAATGGTCTATATCTCTTTTGCCCATTATATGTATGCAGAGCCTACCATGTGGCTCGGTAAATATTCAAAGGATTTAACTAGTGAATCAGTGTTTCCACATCAATTTGTTTTTCTCATTCTTTGTATCCTTGTTATAGTTGTTACAGATTTATACATAGAAGTCCACTTTTTAATGTCGTTCAAGCAAAACTCTGTAAAATAGGTAACAGATTGGAGAACCTTGTTGTGTTAAGTTCCTGGGAAGGATTTAGGTTTACTGGAATTTTGTTCTTGGAGGGCAGGGGATATCTTTGGGACTTAACCATTCTCATGATCTTTCTCTTGCTTACTTTTGTTAAGCCAGTTTTCTTTTTTGAAAAATAGGTTATTCTAACACTGAAGTAAAGATGCATGTCCCCTTCTTCCTTATGTGATAGCTGGGGAGTCAATTCCTTACCAAACTGACACAGTTGCCTGAGAATCACGCAAAGGAATATACTTTCATAACCTCCCAAAAATGAGTCTTATTTTCAAATTACAAATTTTCAAGTATCACCCTAGAATGAAAAAGTTTAAATTAGTAGTCATGACTGCTCATGAAATTCATGTTTCATGGTAGTTTCTTTTCTGGAAGCTAAGGACCTATAGTGTGTGAGAATCCAAAAGAAGTATAATATCTATAAAGGTAGTATTTTATACCTTGAAATTTGATTTTCTGTTTTTCTGTCCCTTGTGAATTTGATTTTCATTATTGAATTTCGTGCTCCCCTTATACTTAATCATTTGTAGCATGGCAGAACTAAAGATAACATTTTGCCTTCTTTTTTTGTAGCATAAAATAGTTTTTGGTACCAGTATGTCCTCAAAAATAAAATAGGAAAAATAAAGCATTTAAGGCATTTGAGCCACACCTAATTAAAAGGGGAGGAGGACTTCAATTACTGAATCTAATAAGATTCACTTATACTTTTCTCCTGAAGTAATTGTACTCCAGCCTTTTATCTTTGTTTTGTCATATGTCATAAACCGTCTTTAGAAAATTATTTTTTTCCTACTCCCACAAAGAATATATTCATTTTCTAACTTTTGAATTATGATAAATCTACTTCCAGTTCTTTCGCTTCTGTCTTGATGTTTACTCTTGGCTCTTTTCAGAGTACTAATAAAGCTTTTTCAGATAAGAAAGAAACGTTTTCTAATGATTCACTTCAAATTATTTTCTTTTAGTTTCACTCAGTATTAAAAGTTTGTCATTAGTGCATTTGTTTCATGTCTTGGTAACATTCACTTCATGTTGTAAAAGTCTTTGGATGTCTCTTGTCCGTCTGAAAATTTTGGTAGAAAATTTAAAAGGGAAAATTATCTCATTTGCATGCACATGTAAATTCTGATAGCCAATTTAAAGCTGAAATTTAAAATATCTTTTAATGACTATAATGAATTAATATTGGAATTCAGTAAAAGTAGAAAATTGTCCATTTTTTTCTGCTGTGATTAAAATGACTAAATGGAAAACCCCAGCATGGTTATGTTTGCTTTAGTAGAAAGGATTTTTCTGATGTGAATATGTCGAAGTTATTCTTTGCAACTTTGAAGTGCCATTTTCAGACACTGATGTGTTGGAGGAAGATCAGTTGTTGAATAATTACAACAAAAATTTGCATGGCTTTTAAATATGGTCAATTATCTGTTTCTTCTGCACAGAAGACTGGCAAAATTAATTGAGTAATGTTGTAAAATGCTGTCAGAAAAAAAAATGCTATCAGGATGAAAAGACCTGTATGGTAGCAGATTATAATGATGAAAGAATTGGCAACATTTGTCTAAAACATATTGATACGGATACAAATACTATGTACGAACCTACAAAGTGAAGTCAATGTTCCAGTGGAGGAGTATGAAGTGTAGTGGTGTGCTAGATTTGAGAGAGTGAGGACTTCGGCTCCCCAGGCCCAGTTTAGTCCCAAGTCCATCACTTACTATGTGTGACATCAGGCAAGTTACTTAGTTACTTTGATCTTCCATTTTTCATCTATAGAATGGGAATAGTAATACCTTTATAAGTTCTGTTACATAGATTTAAAAAGATAACCAAATTGTTATATGAAATGCATAGCACATTGTTGATACTTAATAATTCTGAACTACTTCTGTTGGTAAGAAAATAACAGTAATGTGCTAATGGACAAAGAAATTTTTATGAAAGTACAATTTTATTCCTCTCTGTAGTTCCTTGATATATAGCTATAGTCTTAATGTAAGCAACAAAACACTCAAAAGTCATTGTGATCTTCGTAGAATAACATAAAATATAGTTATATTCCATTTTAGTGTCTAACACAGGAAAACTGCATGGGGGGTGGGGTGGAAAGAGAAGGGAGATAAAGCTACAAATACATGTATCCACAAGCTAAAGCCAGCTCAAATGAAGTGTTAGTTATGATCAGTTATATCATATTTTTTCTTTAATCTTGTTTTGCTTCTTTCATATATTTTGTAGTCTGCTAATCCTCAAAATCAGTAATTGGTGCCAACTTAATTTAGGCACAGATTGTTTAGAAACTGCCATCCATTAACTTATTTTTCCCCAAAAGTTGGGGAAGCATTGAGATTATTTTAATTTCGTGGCAGAACGTCTCTTATAATCTCATTAGAGAACCAATTCAGGGATAAAGTTTGATAATCACTATTGCATTAATTGGCTGCTTGCTAAAATAATACTAGTTATTATTTTCTTCTGTTTTTAAAGTCACATCTGTTAATGTTTAACCCCTGAATGTTAACATTTTTATTTTTATTAGAATGTATCGCAAAAAGCACTAGATTTGGCACATGAAGACCCGGGTTTGAGATCAGTCATTTTCTAAAGAAGCTCTTTGATAATAAGCAAGCCAAAAGCTTTCTGAGTTTTTCTTTTTTCTCCTTTCCATTTCCTTCCATTGAACTTGTTTCTAGAAATTCCAAGTAATCTCTAGAATGTGTCTCTTGTATAATTGTACATTATGTTTTACCTGTCCTGTTAGTGTGTGTTTTATTTGAAAGTCAGTACTAACCATTGCATAGCCAGAGTAAGTGATATAGAACTGGGATTTGATTCCAGATCTGTCTGACACATTCTTAATGATTCATGAATACTTGTGCCAATCCCATAGTAGTAGTCAGTAAATATTTGTTGAAAAATGAATGTCATATATTAGTTAGCTTTAGGAAATAAAACTGTAATGAATGTGTAGTCTGTTTTATACCTAATTATATGCTGCTAATTTTTCTCCTCTTCCTTGTCTCCAGGAGAAAAGACTGAAAGAAAGGGAAGCCAGAAGAGAAGCCAACAAGAGACAAGCAAAGGTAAGGGTTTATATACATTTATTTTTCCAAGCTCTATTAAGGTAGAATGGACAAAAGCATTTTATATTTTGGCAAGAACAATGCTTATAATGTTAAAATGGAATTTAAATCCTCTTCTTTTCAACATGGATTTTATATATTATTTGTATATCATGATATTCCAATTGGATTCAAGCCCATGTGGCCTTCTATTCACTTTCTTGTATTCCTCTGGTGCAGGACGAAAAATCCCTAAGATAATTTGTTACTGGGCTTGGCCCCATTTACTCCACCACTTTTTTCCATATATTTTGCATCTATTAAATACAAAAGGCAGTTGACTCTGTGGGCCAGGCCTGATAGGATTTTCATCTGTATCATCTTCAGGTAGACAGCCTGTGTGAACCCAACCTCATAACAGGTAACTCTGAAAGCATCAGTTCAGCTCTTAGAATCTAGGAGAAAAGCATTCTGTATCTCCCACTTTTACTATATTCTGTAACAGATACTTTTCAGCAAATACATATGTACAGTTTTCCTCAAGTATGTATGTACAATTATAAACACTGTCCATGTGCAGCCATGATTTTTATCTAATGTGTTTGTCACTGAGAAGTGTTCAGCTTCTGCATTCTGAGAACATTTAGTAGAAATGATTTCCTAGAACTAGGGCCCAATAACATATGTCATTTCTCATGCTGTATCTCATTGTGCTGTTTCTGACTAGCCATGATTTCTTCTTGGCAGTTAGCAAAGCTCCAACTCCCTTGAGGAAGCCTATAATATTCTTCGTCATTTTTTTTCCATGCTGGCCATAGCACTTAAGAGAGCAAGTCAGAGATGATAACTCATGCTATAGTTCTGAAGTGGGAAGCAATTATTTAATACTGAATATAAGCAGAAAAGACTGCTTATATTAAATATAAGCAGTATTAAATATCACTCTGTCTTCAAAGGTGCCCAAAAACGAGAGCTCCAGTGTGTGCAGCCTGACTGCTAAATAAGGTGGAGGCTTCTGCATATGCTTTAACGTGCAGGCGTGAAACACCATGGCAGAACCACCACTAGATCTCAGAGGCTGTAGTGGGAAAGATTTAAATTTAACAAGAAAATCTTAAATCTAATAAAAGCATTTGATATTTATGAATATTGCATGTTCAGCATAAAATAAGCCCATTTTATTTCACTAAGAAGCTCTCATTTCTGCATATATAAATGTAAAATGAAAGATATAATCTAGAGCCAAAGAAAGCCCTGTTACTGTATTTCCTTTGTGTTTATTCATGCATATTTGTATATATATTACTAAATATGGTTTATTTTTTATACTTATTGATGGTGTATGCTCGATTTTTTTTTTTCATAATGGTTTAAGCTGTAAGAAGTTGCTATCACCCTTGAGCTATCCTCCTGGAAACCTCTTCTTTTATTCCCCCATAAATTGGTGTGTATATTTGGTTTTAATACTGTGTCTGCTGGGGAAATGAAAAAATGATAAAGTTGTCACAATCAGGCATTTTCACTGGGGGTTGATCTCTGAAGTGAACTCCTTATGCCAAACTCTTCCTTCCATTTCCCACTCCCCTTCTGTGTTTGTCCTGTGTGTTTGTTTCCTGACATCTAAAAAAGGAGGAAGATTTTTCTTGTCAAGGGAAGGTCTCATTTCTATGTAACCACTAAGCATCGGACTAAGAACAGAAAGAAGAGCTGACATGGCTTTGCAGCTCAGCCAGGAGCTTTAAATAGACAGAGGCTGTGTTTTATTATTGCTCTGAATAGTTTAGCTACCTCCATTTCACAGCCCTTTTCTGAGTGCTCAGAGATGGTAGCCCTTTTGTAAGAGTGATATTACCAGAGGGATCAGTGGCTGGTCTGCAGCCAGGACTCAAACATTCCTCAAGACACTGAGGACTGCCTGCAGTGACAGGTTCAGGCTGACTGACAGAGCCCAAGGAATGAGCTCAAACCAACCTTTTGCACCCAACTTCCTTTCAAATGAAAGTGACAGGGGTTGAAGGCTCTCATGGCTTTTGAGGTACCTTTTGGAAGCAGACCCAGAAGAGATTATTTGGAAACACTTGGTAAAGGGGTGATGGCACAAATTTCTGTGATATGTAAGGAGAAATATTATGTAAATTATCAGGTTTCTCTCAGTGCATGTGCTTTAAATGACAGATGTGACTTAGTTTTTGAGTAAACTTTGTCTTCTCGTTGATCCTCTTATGTAAACCTAATCATTGTGTTACTTAGGATATTGCCTTCTGAATCACTTTAGTCAGATTCCAGGTAGAGCTTCCCTTTGATCCCTGAACCTACAAGCTATCCAGAAGATATTTTAATGGTCAAAGAAGGTGGTACTTGCAGACTTAATTTACCAGGAAATGTAGTCATAGCTGTTTATAGCTATTTTAAGCAATCACTGCATAGAAACTGAAAGTGTAAGAAAGGGAGGACTCACGTAGCTGTCTTTCTACCTTGTTTTGTGTTTCATGCAGCAAACATCATTTTATTATACAAGGAAGGATATAAAGGACACAGTATTTTTTTTTTAATTTTGGGGAAAGTGCTTGAATGAAGTTTCATGGAATTATCTTTATTTCCCAGAAAAGAGAAAACTTAATGATAATGTGAATTTTCAATTTTAGAAATGAATCTTCTCTGGCATATTGAAAGTACTTCTAAGAAAAATTGCTTTAAAGTGTGAGTAGGATAAACTAAAGTTGGAATGGACCTCTCAGGAATCTGATATGACTTTTTGTTAAAAGATAGATCTAAGTTCTGCCTAGTTATATTATGTGCAGAATTGGGAATGGAAGATAAATACGAAGCTGAAACTGTTACGAAGGTTTGCTGGGTACCTAATAGTGGTTTGGGAAATATAGGTCTTTTGGGTATCAAAACTTTCTTTAGCAGAGAAGTACTTGAATTGCACAATAGAATTGTTTTTACTTTAGCTAACAAGATGTCGTATATTCTTATGACCTACAGATTTTAAACTAAGATCTAGAAAAATACTTGTAGCAATGATCAATAGACCACATTGCTTTTTGAGTTCAGGTAGGTTACATAATCCTGGAATACAGCTTTACCTCATTATCTAGCTAAATTTCCTTTTGCTTTGAGGGTCACAAGTGCTAGTAGGAATCCCTGGTCGCTGGAATGATTTTGTATAAATGTAAGGAAAAGGAACAACAGTGCTGAAACTTGAGGAAATAGATCCTCAGCAATATCTCACTACTGTGCTGCTTTTGAAAAGAAAGTGTGATTTTTATTTATTTATTTATTTTTTAAGATGGAGTCTCGCTCTGTCACCGAGGCTGGAGTGCAGTGACGCGATCTTGGCCCACTGCAACCTCCGCCTCCCAGGTTCAAGCGATTCTCCTGCCTCAGCCTCCCGAGTAGCTGGGACTACACGCATGTGCCACCACGCCCAGCTAATTTTTTGTATTTTTAGTAGAGACAGAGTTTCACTGCATTAGCCAGGATGGTCTTGATCTCCTGACCCCGTGATCCACCCTCCTCGGCCTCCCAAAGTGCTGGGATTATGGATGTGAGCCACTGCAACTGGCCAAAAGTATGATTTATTAAACAAAAGTCTGAGGCTGATGAAATTGAACACTGACTATGAAGGAACAAAGAGTAGGAAAGAGCTCAAACACTTAAAATAGTTAAAAGTTGCTTTGACTATATTAAAAATGATGATTATAGTTCGTATTTTTAAGGTGTGGGGAAAATATGTCATACATTTTGAGGTTGAAGTTTTATAGATGTACATTTTCACTTGTTTTTATTTTTTGGTTTGTACTGTGTTTTTATTTATACTTAACAAATAGTGGTTTTAGGTAATAGTTTCTTGAATACCTAAGGTAATCTCTGTACAACAGAAAAGTAGTGTTGAAGTTAGAGCTCTCAGAATAGGAGGTCTGAAGAAGTAGTAGTTAATTAATTTTAAAACTCTAGGCCGGGCATGGTGGCTCATGCGTGTAATCCCAGCACTTTGGGAGGCCGAGATGGGTGGATCACCTGCGGTGAGGGGTTCAAGACCAGCCTGGCCAACATGGCAAAACCCTGTCTCTACTAAAAATACAGAAATTAGCCAGGCATGGTGGTACCCGTCTATAATCCCAGCATACTCGGGAGGGTGAGGCAGAAGAATCACTTTAACCTGGGAGGTGGAGGCTGCAGTGAGCCGAGATTACGCCACTGCAGTCCAGCCTGGGTGACAGAGCGAGACTCTGTCTCAAACAAAACAAACAAACAAAAAAAACCACCAAAAAAAACAAAAAACAAAAAACAAAACAAAAAAAAAACCTTAAAAAACTAATGGACTTGAGAGATGCCCTGGACTGACTTTTTAATCTACTGGTCTTCAATGACTTTTTCTCTGACTCAACAGTAGTTTCATAAAGCAAAGCTAACTTTATTCATTTGATATTTTGTTCTTCCTACTTTTTTGGTGCTAAAATATCCTTTCATTTATGAAATAATACTGATAATTTTTTAAAAAGTCTTATTATTTGACAAAGTAAAAACCCATTTCACCACTTTAAAATCTTTTTTGAGCTTTTTCTGATCCATGAAATTGAAGAGCGAGTGTGGCAGCCACTGATCTACTCCAATGGTTTTCAGTATTATATTGAGTGACCTATGGACTCTCCTCTCCACCCCCCACCACCCCCGCGTGAGAATATTATTTGGGCAAGGCTCTAGGGTTCCATTTAGTCCTCATCCAGACCAGCTCAACTTTATTTTCCTCTTTACATTTTGAACTTCCAGGGAATATTTTATTTGAAATATTGTTTTCCTTAAATGTATACATACATAGCTACATAGCTAATACTTTTAAAGTACCCAAATAAGTTAGGGCTGAAAGCAAGTGAATGACTTGCCTAATGTCATAGCTTCTTTGGTGGCAGAACTGGTATATGCCCCCAGGTTTCCTGAATCTTCATTCCCTGTTATTGTTTATTGTCCTATGCCCTTTCTGTATGTTGCTTTTTTTTCTTTTTCTATGTAAAAACAAATCGCATCCATGATACATGATCTAACGACTAGTCATGGAAAATTACTAATAGCAAATACCTTTAGTAAGGAAAGAACTCTGGGCTGAGATCTAGAAGGCAGGCTATGTCTTAAAGTTTCTGGGTGGCTGGGGACAAGCCATTTATCTTTCTGGGCCTGTTCTCAGCATGTGTAAAAGGTTACCCCTTTCATGAAGATTTTTCTGACTCTCTCACATATTATGGGCTCCTGCTTTTGGAACTACTCCCGTGGTCCCCTGTCTAGAGCACCGCCAATAATTACAGTGCTGATGTGGTTGCACTTCTCTCTCTCTTTGGCTCTGGCTCTTGTTTTCCTTTGTGTGCCTATCTCTCATCACAGTGCTTTGTTGGCTGAGGGCAGGCTTTCTGGCTCACAGTTGGCCATCTCCTCGCAAACAGTGCTGAGGTCACTCATATTATGATTTCTTATTTTGTAGACAAGGAAATTGAAGCTTAGGAAGTTGAAGTAACTTTCCCAATAACATACAGCTAGGAAATGGCAGAGCCAGGATGCAAATCTGCTTTATATGACGCTGAAGCGTTGACTCTTAAGCATTAGGCCATAGGTCATTTCCGAGGTAGTCAAGAATATTCAATTTGAGAGTCTTAAAAACTGAAGCAGAAGTTGCAAGTAAATATTTCTTCTCCTGAAATTGCTTTCCTTATCCACAATTAGTTCTCTTTTATAGGTGGCTGCATTGAGAAACAGAATATTAAGAAGCAGAACAGAACCATAGGCGGATACAGAATATTGTGCATCTCCTATTAGTTACTATAAAATCTCACTGGAATCCCAGCAGCTTAATTTTTTCTTACAAATGAAAAATTAGGAAACATTTACCATTATTTCCAGCCCAGGAAGACCTGTTAAACATACCATATTCTCATATCTTCTTGATTTTTAAATTTTATACATGTTTTCCCTCTGCCTAGGATATCTTCTCCTTCATTGCTTTTTCCTCTGAACTGTTTCCGTTTTGAAGCCTTTTCTGCCTCCTTCAGGCCGACTCATGACGTTCTTCCTTTCTGGACCACCGGACTTCGTGTACATTATTCTGCCGTGTTACTTGGTGATTGTCTCTCATCACTAGACTATAAACTCCTTGAGAGCAGCAGCTGAGTTTTTTTCATGGATGGCACATAATAAATGCTCTGTAGATATTTGAATCAGTGAAATGCAACTATATTCATTCTTAAAGTTAACACTTTACATGTTAATGCTATGTCAGTTATAAGATCCTTGAGGTCTAGCACCGGGGCCTGCAGAATACAGTGAATTTCCATTCTGCCAGACTGGATGTATCTAACACACTCAGCCCTTTCCAAGTTCCTACTTCCCTTCTACCCCATCTTGTGTTAAACAAATCCGTGAATTTGTATTAAGATGATAGATTCTTAATATTAAAACAATGTAGTAAACTCTGTAGGCAATCAGAATCCCATTAGAATCCTTCACGCATGCCTTATTTGCGAAGAATTTAATAAATTCTTAAAGGATGAGTTGTCCTAAGATGTGCATATTGATTTTGCCTTTCTTCCTTCTTTTTATCTAACTTCGAGCTCCTCAAGTTGCATATGGAAAACTTGAGTGTATGGTACTGTATGGGTGGTAAAAGGGATACTCTAGGGTAATTTGATATGTTGATTTTCACCTTGCCTGTCAGCTTTGGAACTGAATGCCCATGGAAGTTGTGACTTCATTCTGTGATGCAGTTCCTTGCTCATAAATATTTGTTGATTGACCAAAAAAGTGGATCCTGCTAAAATGTCTTCATTGGCAGTATCATGGTGAATGTTGCATTTGATGCCATTGAACGTGAGTAGCCTGAATAATTGTGACCTTATTCAAATGTGGTTAGATTGTAGGAGAGCTAGCACTCAGATCCAGGTCGGATTGCACTCCTTGACTCTGACCACTGATGACTCTGCAGTGGGTGTTAAGGATGATCTTAAACCTGTTCAGGGCAGCCATTAACTCTGAGAATAAGAGGAAATTTTTCAGGAAACAAGTCAAACCTTTTACACTTGGAGTATTAGACCAGATTAATTTAAGGCAGAATTTTAATGACTATGTCAGAATGTGTTTATTCTAATACTTCTTAGAGAATTAATGTTTGGTGTTAGAGTCAGAATACTGTTTCTTTTATTAAACTTGCAAAATGTACTAACCAGATAAAACTTGAGGAAAACAGATTCCTAATAAATTTGAGTAAGGTGTAAAAAAAAAGGGCTGTGTGTGTACATATCCCTTTGTTTATGTTGTAGAAAATAGTTGTATTATTAAGTGGTCTGATAGTCTGTTCAGTTGGGTGGTCATTTAGATCCTTTCCAATGAAACAGCCTAAACAGTAAATAAATCCAGGTGATGCCCTTTATACTTCATCATGGTTGATTCAGCTTAGGTGAAGTTAGAGATAATTTGACATTTATATGCTTGAGTTAGGGATTTATAGGCACATCTAGCAGAACAAATTAACTGTATTTGAATCATTGTGGTCAGTTTCATTATGTGGCTGAGTCTGTGTTATTCCAGTGGTTACATGCTCTACTTTGTAGAGAACTGTGCCTGTGGGTATGTGTGGATGTGACCATCGTGATTGTGGAGACTGATACTTAGGATCATTTGCCTATATTTTTGTATGTATTAGCATTCATTAATGGTCTAAATGATGGTTATTCTTTTGACTGTTAGTAGTCATTACTGGCTGTTGTAAGATTATACCATCATAATTTCTGATATAGTATACAAAAGTCTCTAAGTTGAAAAAAACATGTAGATTCTTTCCTCCTTTCTTCTTCTTCTTGTTTTGTTTCATAACTCAGAATCCTGTTGCTTATGTGAAGAAAAAGAGGCAGGGCTAGAGAACTATTATAAGACTTGATTTTAGTAATTCTCAGCCTATGGTACAAGAATCTGTGTGGGTTTTCCATGTTATTACTAGGAAATTCTAAAATTCTCAGCATTGACTATACAGTGAATAAGTTATCTATACCATACATATATATTATCATAGCTTAAAAGTATGTAAAGGCTATATTAAGATTAACAAAATATGAACTTATTTGTTTTGCTAAATTCAGAGTACTTTTTTGTCTTGTATTTTCTTAAATGACATATACCACTGTAGAATTATCATCTTGTAAATAGTTTGATGTTAAACGTCTTCCTATACTGAAAAAGATTGAGAACACTGCCATATGGTATGTAAGCAGAAACAGCCATACTCCTAACACTTAGTCAAAATTGAAGACAGTCAGTCGTAGGGAGGAAGAAAAGAGGAGGAAGATGGGGAGGAGGAAGCCACTATTTTTTTTTTCTTTTTTCTTTTTTTTGTGAGACAGTCTCACTTCATCACCCAGGCTGGAGTGCAGTGGTGCGACCTCAGCTTACTGCAACCTCCGCCTCCCAGACTGAAGTGATTCTTGTGCCTTACCCTCCCAAGTAGCTGGGACTACAGGCACACGCCACCTTGCCCAGCTAATTTTTCTATTTTTAGTAGAGACAGAGTTTTGCAATGTTGGCCAGGGTGGTCTTAAACTCCTGACCTCAAGTGATCTGCCCACCTTGGCCTATCAAAGTACTGGGATTGCAGGCATCAGCCACTGTGCCCGGCCGCCACTATTTCTTAAAAGGAAGGGAAGGCTCCATTTCCTCCATATCTTAAAGGAGAAAAAAAGCCAGTGGGAAAAGGAAATAACAGAGATGGAACACAGAAAAAGAACAGACGTAAGTTTCCTACTGTGCTAGTTGATACTACTGAGTGTCAACTTGATTGGATTGAAGGATACAAAGTATTGATCCTGGGTGTGTCTGTGAGGGTGTTACCAAGAGAGATTAACATTTGAGTCAGTGGGCTAGGGAAGGCAAATTCACCCTTAATCTAGTAGGCGCAATCTAATCAGCTGCCAGCGAATATAAAGCAGGCAGAAAAATGTGTAAAGGAGAGACTGGCCTAGCCTCCCAGGCTACATCTCTCTCCCTTGCTGGATGCTTCCTGCCCAGATAAATTACCTGTTGTGACTGCCCTGGACGTGCCTGCCTACCAGACACCTGATCTTGCAAGACCATTATTAAAGTCTCACATTTGCTGTTCTTTGCACCTCTAAGTCCATTCTTGGCGTTTGGACGGGTGAGTGTGTTTCTCACAGCAGCACTAAGTATCACTGTCAGAGACTAGAAATAACCTGAATTGTAGGGTAGATAAATTGTGGCATAGTCATATGATGAAATGTTATATATGAAGGAATTACTGCTACATCCAATAATGGGCAAATTTTGAAAACATGATATTGAGCAAAAGATGCCAGACAGAAGAGTAAATACTATGATACTCTATTTACATAAAGGTTTTTTTGTAAAAGCAAAACTAATATTTTCGGTTAGAGTTTACCTTTGAGGAAAAAAGGGAGTCATTACTGGGAAGGAGTGTGAAGGGGGCTCCTGGAGAACTTGAGAGTGTTCTAATTTCTTAAACTGGGTGGTAGTTACATGGGGTGTATTTACTTTGTGAAAACTCATCAAGCTATAAGCCTATGGTTTGTGCAGTTTTTTGGAGGTATGCCATACTTCAATTAAAGCTCAGGAGTTTGAGACCAGCCTGGGCAACATGGTTAAACCCTGTCTCTACTAAAAAATACAAAAGAAATTAGCTGGGCATTGCGGTGCATGCCTGTAGTCCCAGCTACTTGGGAAGGCTGAGGCAGGAGAATTGCTTGAACTCGGGAGGCGGAGGTTGCAGTGAGCAAAGATTGCACCACCGCACTCCAGCCAAAAAATCTCTCTCTCTCTCCCTTTCATCAATCTAATCAACAAGGTCTCACTCTGTTGCCCAGGTTGTGGTGTAGTGGCACTATCATAGCTCACTGTAACCTTGACCGCCTGAGCTCAAGCAGTCCTCCCGCCTTAGCCTCCTGAGTAGCGAGGACTACGAGAATGTACCACCAAATCTGGCTAATTTTCTATTTTTATTTTTGATAGAAACAGGATCTCTCTATGTTGACTAGGCTGGTCATGAACTTCTGGCACCAAGTGATCCTCCCGCCTCAGCCTCCCAATGTGCTGGGATTACAGGCATGAGACAATGAGCCTGGCCAAAGATTACTTTTAAAAAATGATGCGGGTAGACGAGATCTCTTTATATGCTTTCAGCCTAGATATTTTAATCTGTAGATTCAGAAATAAAAGATATTATGGATAACTCTTGTAATTCTAGAAGCATTAGGAGCCTTAGTCCCTGGAGTCATTCATATTTTATGAAAGCTATGAAAGACAATTAATAATTTATGTTATTCAAATACACATTTCTTTTAAAATCCCCTTGTTCCAAGAAGTGTGATGTTTTACCTCCTAAAACTTACAAAACAATTTCCTCTAAATGAGAAAATGAGCTTTATTTTGACTCTGGTGTAAATTAAAATGAAGAAATTGTATTTTTTAAATAAGGAGGAGCGTAGTCGTCATTCTGCTGTTCAGAGACATTTAACCTCCTCCCCACCCCAGTGAGTTTTAGTTTCTACTATAAACTTATGAGGTGGTTTGGTGGCCTTGGAATGTTGTGGAGATCTCTACTCTTCATGCTATCTGATAGGACACTAAGAGCTATTGAATTGGCATTTATTTAGAATAAAGGAACACAAGGGTGATGAAAGGGACATTGGTCTGAGTGATCATTATATGTGACTACTGTAACTTTATAAATTGAAATAGATGAATAGTAACTGACCATAGAAATTCAGAAACATACAAAGCTTGAAAGATCATCTAATAAAGAAGTGACTATCTTCCCATGAGGAGGCATATTCATTTGACTTACCTCATTCTTACCATAGATTCTGGTTATTTATTTATTTTTCCATGCGCATCTTATGTGAATTAAATATTTATTTATTTCCTTTCACCATCTACAGTCTAAAGGTACTTAGCCTCTGTAACGTACCTGGACTGTGTCTGGTCCAGTACTAAGAGTTTACGATCTTATTAAGGGGGAAGTAGGCACTTTTTGTTAATGTAGCCTCATTTTTATCTTTACTTGAGGAAATAAATCTTTTATGATTCCAGATAAAATGTTAAACTTGGAAAATGCTGCAGAAATGGTATATACGTGATCTAAAAGTTCTTTTATCAAGAATTCTATCATTTATCTTCTTTGGATTATGAGATGATTACTGTTAGAATTAAGTGCAGTTGTTTTATTTTACCTATCTTGATTTTCAGCTATGTACATTAGTTTTCCCCCTTACTACAGATACATTTGATTTTTATTTCATAAAATTATCTCATTTCCTTCAGTTGGAAATGATATATATTCTCAAGCTCATCCATTTATTTATATTAGCACAGCTTTCTTTGGAAAGTATATTATCGGAAGGCTTCAGCCTCATTTAATTGCTTTTAACATGAGTTGTGCATGTCTGAATTCTAAACACAACTGCTATTGATCCCAGCCTCCTGGCATCCATCCAACCCTAAGATTTTTGCCCCACTCAGTAGAGCTAGTACATGATGTTTTTGTGGTTGGTACTTTGAGGAGAACAGAAAGTGAGAGAAGAAAAAAAATATTGTCCTCTCTAAGCAAAAGAGAAAAATGAGAGTGGATGGGTCTGTAAGTCCATATTGTGAGTTCATCAGTAATGCTAGATCAGATTTTGGGCTTCAGTTCATTCAGCCTTTATCATTTACTGCCAGGTTGTTAGAGCTCTCCTAAAAGAGCATTAGATTTGAAAAATACGAGGTCCAAATTCAGTTCTTGCCAGTAAGCTTTGGAATCCAAGGCAGTCATGTTTCCTCCGAGCCTCAGTTTCCTCTTTAGAATAACAGTAGTGGTGTTGCCTGCATTGCCAACCTTCCAGGGTTCTTGTGAAGATAATACATGTGTTAGGGCTTTGTGAACTATGAATCACATTAAAAAATGTGAGCCATGATTAATTAGCATTAGTATACGTTGCCTTTTTAGGCAGGTTCGTTCTCAGATACTTAGGATTTAACCAGTGGTTCAATCGCGGCTGGAAATCACTGAAAGATGTCTCAAAATGCCCATATCTAGCTTCCTCCATCCTTACCCTTCTCCCATCAGAATCATTGGGGTAGGGGACTTACTTACATGTGTTCATGCAGTATATATGTATAATTATGATACTACTACTGCCCCATTAAGAACCAGTGGTCTATATCCATATATAGAATAAACTTTATATATATAGAATAGATAGAATAAACTTTATATGTATAGAATATGTAGAATAAACTTCTATACTTTTTTGGTGACAGGGTCTTACTCTGTTGCCCAGGCTGGAGTACAGTGGCGTGATCTTGGCTCACTGCAGCCTTGACTTCCCAGTCCTCAAGCGATTCTCCTGCCTCAGCCTCCTGAGTAGCTGGAACCACACCTGGATAATTTTGTTTATTTTTTTGTAGAGATGAGGTCTTCCTGTGTTGCCCAGGCTGGTCTCGAACTCCTGGACTCACGTGATCCTCTCACCTCAGCCTTCCAAAGTACTGGGATTACAGGTGTGAGCCACCGTGCCTGGCAACTTTTATACTTCTTACAACCCTGAGGTGCTAGGCCTTTTCCACTTTTGGTTTGGCTACACCCCCATGGCAGAATGTATACTAGAAGATATGAGGGTAAATGTAAGCCCAGTCTCTTAAATTAGTTACAAACTCAGCATGCCCAAACTCTAGTTGTCTTTCAGTGTGCCTGATTGCAGTCAGTCTGTCACCTGTTGTTCTTAGCCTGACCCCTTTTCAACACCATCTAAAACCAATGCTGGGATATAAGGGCATCAGAATATGAGAGGTATGTTGCCAAGAGCCTTGTAAAACACAAGGAGCAGCAGGATTTGGTTTCTCCTTGACGGGTATACCTGTAAATCCTGTTGTGTGTTCAGCTCAGTGTTGGAGGAAGGAGAGAGTGCTTCGAGTGATCACACTGGGAGAGAGTGGCCCTGGTGTGTTAGGTGGAACCATTGCTGACTTAGAGGGTCCGACAGCCTGGGACCCTGATTTCTCATCCTGGTGATAGCAGTAGATCACTGTGTGGCCTTGAGCAAATATCTTAACTATGCTGCTTGAAGTGTCCAGGACTATATATCCTGTGGGGCCTCTTTTAGCTCTACAATTCTGATTTCTGTTTTTCAGGAGCCGATGAACTATTATCTGTCATTTTTATATGCTTTCTAACCTTCCCATGTAATATTTTTGAGGTGTGTCACTTATTCTGTATAGTATGTTTGCCAGTGGTTGAAATACAGCAGGAGACTAACCATTTCGGTAGAAAGGATTTGACTGGCCTCCTTGGGGCTTTTGGAAGGCGTCAGATTTGGGAGGGTCTTATCAGGTTTTTTTTACTGGCACACAAGAAGAATAACAGGAGCTGGAGAAATTGGTGAATCATAGAGGATCTCGAATACCAAGTTGAAGATTTGGGCTGACTCAGGAGAGTGTGGGGGATGCAGCGAGATTTTGAGGGGGAATGAAGCATAAGTGGTAGGATGATCCTAGAAGGATTCATTTGTTTACTCTACGCATATTTCTTGAGTGCCCTACTATGTGTTACCCCTCATAATGCCATGATAGAATTAACCTGCTCTAAGGAACCCACAGTCTAGTGGAGGAAATTTGTAAGTAGTGCAATATAATTAATACCATGATAGAGAAGTTTTGGGAGTTGTCTACATATGTAATGATTGAATCCAAAGAAAAAAAATAATAAAATGTCTATTTGGTATTTTCCATGTGTCGGGTAGTATTCTAAGTGCTAATTCCATGGGGAGTTTAAGTAATGTATTTTAAGTGTACAAACTTCAGCTCTTGAAGTTGTAGGTAATAATGTTATTCCCATTTAACAGAAGAAGAAATTTTAGTATAGAAGGTTGCATACCTGCTTGTGTGTAGTGGATTCAGAATTCCATTTTGGTAGTTGGACTCTGGAGAGTGAATGAGAGAAAGAGCCAGGTCACAAATCCTGGGGAACAGCAACAGTTAAGGAACAGGCAGATGAAAAGCAGCTAGGAAAACTGGTATATTTTTCAGGGAAGTATGAAAAGGGAATTTAAAGGAGGACTTGGACAGGAGTGCCAAATGCCACAAGGAGATGAAGTAGGTTGAGAGGATTCGGCAATGAGAGTATTATTTTTATGTTAATAGGATCAATTTTGTTTGCACTGTGTGGTTTAATGGGGCGGGCTGGAGCAGCTTGGAAGGTCACTTTGGAGACCATTTCAGTAGTTGAGATATTAAGTCCTGGGCAGGACTGTGGATAGGTGAAAAGGGCATTTTATTCAAGAAGTATACCTGTAAGATACCAGTAACTGAATGGAACATGGAGATATTAGGAGAGATGAGCCAAAGATCACCCTAAGGTTTCCAAAACTTGGCATATATCATGTGCTGACTACTTTAGGAAGAACTAAGATCTGTAATAGAGGACAATTTTTAATAGCTGCCAGTATTGAACTATTGCATACCATATACTGTGCTAAGGCATGTCATTTAGTCCTCACATGTAGGTATTATCAATACATTTTGACAGATGAGGGACCTGGGGCTTAAGTAAATTAAATGTACTCAAGGACTGACATTTAGTAAGTGACTCCAAAATCTTAACATTTAGCTTCTGTTCTGTAAGGCAGGTCAGTAAAAGATAAAATAATGGACATAATTATAGAAGCACCACTTATGACTGGTATAAAGAACAGTTCAGAAGTTGGAGAGATTATTTTTGACTTGTAGGATTCACAAAAGAAAGCATCCCGGGGAGGGCATTTGAGTCAGGCCCTGAAGCATCAATCAAGATGAGTGTTTGTGAAAGTTCTTTCATAATAATGAACCGTGGAAATATTATAATAACAATAAGTGGGGTCAAATGTGCTAGGTTGACATCAAACAAAAGGAAACATTAAGTCACAGGTTATTACCAGCAGAATTTTACCTGGAAAGTAGAGATTCTTAAAGTGGAGCAGTACAAGTTAAAATAGAGGGTTTTGAATATTAATAATTATAATAAGTAGTTTGAGCTATATATAGTAAGCAGTAGTCACTGAAGAGTTGAGAGAAGTAGGAATGTGTGCTTATGTACCCAGCTCATGTTTAAGTATTTTTGCATATGCATTTATTTAGTAGTTTGAGTAGAAAGTTTGAACTTTGAAGAGTAAGCCAGAGCTTCATTTGACACTCTACCTTGGGAAATGTTGGTTGTTCAATTTAGGCCAATAATTTTTAAAATTGAGATCTAGTCTCATCCATGATAAAATACCACACTGTTTTGAAAATTAGCTACCATAGTCAAGAACCTGGAAGTGAACAAAATGCTTCTGTCAGTCAACATAGAAGTCATGACACCTGTGTGTATGGAGTACATTCATTCTGCCTCTGAGCAAGGCCCACACCCATACACACTAATTTTCATTTTAGTCATTCCTAACTAACATGGTTTTGTGAGTTATAACACTGCGGAAGATAAATAGCAAATTAGAACATGTAGTCTGTTAAAGGCCAGTCCCTTATCAGAAAGTGATGAAACATGATAATGGACAGCAAGGAAAATGTATAGGAAAATTATTAACAAAACAGATATCATGACTTTAAAACACAGTGGCAGGGGCACAGAGCCCCCAGAAATCTCTCTGGACCCAGAGGGCACTACTTTATTATAACACTGATAGTTATAATGCTTTTCCTCAGACATCAAGGAAATAATAACTTATAATCTGTCTTCAGGCAGCCCTCCATATATGGTCTGACTTAAAGATCTCTTTCATTTGAATGGTAGCTTGAGGAAACTCCTAGTTTTCTAGATATTGTAGCTTTGCATATACTGAACCAGGTTCATTTTTCTTTTGCCTGCAGTTCTTAAGACTACTGACTATATTTCTTTACCTTGTCATAGAGGTTTGCAGTTAGGAAGAAGGGGCAGAAAAAAATTTTGGGGGGCCTCATGTCATTTAATACCTAATAACAAAGGACTTTCATAGCAGCATTGTGAAATACTGTTTGTGTTATCTCCATTTTTCAGATGAGGAAAGGAGACTCAAAGTTTAGGTAGAAGGGCATTCTGGGTGCAAGGAACATTATCAGTATGGCTGGATGATTGAAGACCATGAAGGTATGGCTGTGGAAGAGTGAGGAGTTCAGTGTAGGGATTTCTACTTTTTTTTTTTTTGGCCTACACTTTAGAGTAAGAAATACATTTTCCATCCCTTCCCGCTAACATGTACATACAACATTAAAAGAAAAATTTCACAAAATGATAACTTACCTTATTATTTGCCACATGCTCAGAATTTTCCATTTCATTCTATTTTCTTTTTATAAAATGATGGTCACAATCCACTGATGGCTTCATGATACACTGAGTTGATACTCTAATGAGTTTGATGGCACTGGTCTAATGTTAGTTGAAAGTGGATTATTTTATGGAGAGGCAAAGCTAAAGGGGTATGTTGTGGTTATATTCCAAATGTTTTCCTATGCCAATGTTCTCTGATATGGGCAACAAAAGTCCTTGAATTTGTGTCGGTTGCTAACATAACTATGTCTTTGTGGCAGTGCTGTAATATGACAATAATACCCTATCAGAGCTCCCTAGCAGTTTGTGAATAACTTTCACGTATGTTATTTAATTCATTACCCATAATAACCTTGAGATGAAGGTAAGAGGAGCTTTCTATTGAGTTTATACAGATGAAAAAACTGAGGGTTAAAGAGGTAAATCCCCTAGCCACAATTAAGAATTAAGCTTTTTTTTTTTTTTTTCCTGACTGCTTGACAGTGAGTAGGAGAAAAAGCTAAGGTAAACTCTCCTTTTTGAAAGTCTGGGCAGGAAATAATGATAAGGATGGACATGGAAGCGGGAGAAGTTAGATGAAGAATTAAAGGAAAACCCAAATAATGGCTTGATGAATTTACTTGTATATTAAAAGCCATGCACACAATTCTAAACTCTGGTTCTTTCATTTTTAAACCCGTTGTTTTTTTTTTTGTTTGTTTGTTTGTTTTAGTTATCTTGTAAAATTCCAGCCCATTTACCTGGCAAGGCCAGGGCATAAGATTGCCATTATGCTCTGTCATGGCTTATGCTCGTTTTCATCACTCATCTTCTCTTTGAAAGGAGCTGAATTGAGAAAGCATTTTTCATTGTTTAACGTTGAAATCTAAAAATACTGATATTTGAACTTCAGAAACATATTTGAAATAAGACATGTCAGCAGGTCTTTTGTCAATTGTGAATTGTTACAGATGTGACTGAGTCTTCCATTTTGATGCAGATTATTCTGCATTTTTATTGATAAGCTTTCATTAACATTTTATTTTGGGGGAATTTCTTACCCTTCTAAAATTCATTAAATGCATAAGTCTTGCTGTAAATTTCAGTCTGAGCAGACTGTGGATTATTCATGTTTACAAGTAAACTTCAAAATCTTTTTTTTGACAAGCAAAGTTTGATATGTTCAAACTTTTATGAGTCAGTATATCGATACTGACTCAAAATAATGCTTTCTGCAATGTGTTCATTTTTTAAGATTTTAACTGAAATTTTGGCAGTAGAGATTTTTACTTTCATTATAGAAAATTATGGTAAAATGTGGATATGAATTAGGAGAAGGCTGAAATGGAAGAACTTCATTCTTTCACTTGCTCAGGAGAAACCCTAGAGATAGCCTTCACTTCTTTCATTCTTATACTCCACCACAATTTATTAGTAAATCCTATTTGACTTTATCTTAAAAGTAGATGAGAAAATTTGGTGAAGTCCATATAACATCTGGAGTTTAGTTAATAGTAATATACCAGTGTTGGTTTCTTGGTTGGGAGAAATGGACTATAAAATTACAATAGGAGAAATCTGCGTAAGGGGTATATGGGAATTCTGTACTATCTTTGAAAGTTTCTTGTAAATCTACAGTTATTTAAAAATAAAAACTTTATTAAAAATAGATCCAGAGTTTAACCACTTTTTAACACTCCTGCTATCCCTATCATCCAAGTCACCATAATCTGTAACATGAATTACTAATTGTAACAGTCTTCTAACTAGTCTGCTAGTCTTCTTTCTCTTATCCTCCCACTCTTCTATCCCCAGTTTATTCTGAATTATAGTGGCCAGAATGAGCCTTTAAAAGTAAGTCGCATATTATAATTCTGTTCAGACCCCCATCCTTTAAGAGTTTCCCTGTCTACTTTGTCACAAAAGCTACAAAGTTCACATGTGATCTAGCTTCCAGCTCCTTCTCTGGTCTTATTTCCCACTGTTCTGTCACTAACTCTCTTAACTTTAGACTGTCTAATTACTCCTCAAATGCACTAAGCAGATTCTGGCCTTCGCTCTTGGTATCACCACATAGCTATGTGATTTGTTTCCTTACTGTCTCCAGATTTCTGCTAAAACATAACTTTACTAGAGAAGCATTCACTGATTTCCTGATGCAAAATAGCAACCTCCTCTTATCCTGTATTCTCTTACCTTGATATATTTTTCTCCATAGTACTTCTCTCTACCAGGCAATATATAAATACATACTAGTTTGTTGTTGCTTGTTTTTACTGTCACTAGAATGGGAAACTCAGAACAGGGACTTTGTTCTGTTCACTGCTGAATCACCAGTGCCTAGACCGATACGAACAAACAGTAGGTACTGAGTATTTATCGAGTGAAAGAAGCAGTAACTCTTTAATACAGTTTCTTGTTTTCACTGTGACACTTCCAAAATAGTGTCAAAATTGAAGAATTATAGCATATTGTTTATTGAAAGGCATAATAACTCTAGGGATGTTTCAGAATCCTTTCAGAGGCAGAACAGTAAAACAAAATAAAGAGGGGGAGGGCTAGAAAGCAATGTTACTGGACCCAGATAGATATTAGCACACATGGACAATCTCTAATTATACACTTTGTGTCCAAGTTCATATGTAAACTGGAGCATTTTTTTTTTCTCCATAGAAAAGATGTTCTATACTGTGGTTGATTTCCATTATCACTTAGGCTGCCCATGTACCATACAAGCATGACACTTAGGTGAGTGAAAGGGGTTGCAGTGACTAATTGTACCAAAACAACTGTCCTGGGCAAACCCAGGTATGATCACTTTAATTATAACTCAAAGATGCCTTCAGCTTCTATGGGAAAGGGCATCCTGCCCTCTGCTGGGGGCTTGGAACTCTGGAACACATAAGCTCCTGCTGGTAGAAAAATCTGAATTATAATGTAATGCCTCATTGCATTTGATTCATCCCCTTTTCTTTCCAGCATACTCTACTGGTCACCCTAGCAGTGAGAAAAGAAAGAAATATCTTTTCCTTCCACTGCTCTAGAATTAAAAACAAATTTCAGCTCTGCTTCCTTTGTACCCATCCATTTGCCCACACCCCAACTCCATCCTCCTCCTTACCAGTCCCACGAATTTAAGAAATTGAGCTTTGGGCTGGGCGCGTTGGCTCACGCCTCAATCCCAGCACTTTGGCAGGCCGAGGTGGGTGTATCACCTGAGGTAGGGGGTTCTGAGACCAGCCTGACCAACATGGAGAAACCCCATCTCTACTAAAAATACAAAACTAGCCGGGAGTGGTGTCACATGCCTGTAATGCCAGATACTCGGGAGGCTGAGGCAGGAGAATCGCTTGAACCGTGGAGGTGGAGGTTGTGGTGAGCCAAGTTCATGCCATTGCACTCCAGCCTGGGCCACAAGAGCGAAATTCTGCCTCAAAAAAAAAAAATTAAGCTTTGATAGGGTGAATGCCTCCACCTTGTTTATGTATAAAGGAGTTTCAGTGAGTTACAAAGAAATTTAAGTTAACAAATGATTGCATTGCTAGTAGCAATTTACAAAAATGACATTCATTGCGACATTCTGAATTTGCCTTATGAGTTAACTATCTTGCAGTAATCTTGATTCTTACTTTTGTTCTGTATGTTTTTAAACTCATCTTCTCAGTTGTTTCTGTGGATACCAAACAATGGTACAATATTATATCAAGATAAATCACAAATACATAGAAGAGATTGATGACTAATTGTATTCAAAGTCAATTTTACATAATTAATTTTCCATTAAGTCGTTATTTGCATTGAATATCCTTTAAGATCATTGTGTTCTATCTTCCTGTCTATAAAACAAGCATTTTCTTTACTATGTTTGGCTATTTCAGAGAAAAGCAAATTGATACAAGCATAAAATACTTAAGAAAACAGCCCTCATTCCCTTGAAATTAGCACTTATGTAAGTTTGTGTAGGGGGGTGGAAGGATGCGGGTGTAGTTTATAAAAAGTATTTTAAGTTCCACAAAATCAGGGATACTTTGAGATAATATTCTCCCCAGGTTTAGACAGCTTTGGTTTGCAAAACAAACTTGTTTTAACAGCAAAAATAGGAGTCCATTTTGGTTCAGTGTGCTAGCTTCTCAACTGACTTTTATTATTTCTGGCACTAGTATCATTTGTTTCTTTTAGAAGAGTTTGTAAGTGAATTGTGGCACCCAGTGGGATGTGTGTTTGTGTTTGAATTTGTGAAAATATTTGATAATATTTCTCTATAGCAGTGTTTTTTGGTGCAGATACAAATATGTTTTCTTAAAAATATGGATGCTAATTTCCGTTCCCCCCCCCTCCCATTTCCCTTTCTCTCACGGTCATTCTCTTTCCCTTCCATTCTTTCACTTTCCCACTCCTCCCACCTCTTCTGCTCTCATCTTATAAAGACTTCTGAAAACTAGGAATTACCCTCGTTAAATATGGGCTGTGTTGTGACTTGAGATCAGGAGCCACTGCTCAGGAGGAGGCCTGGAATAAAATCTGTGAGTGTTTATAGAATAAACATCATGGGCATAATTCATATTTAAATCATCCTGAGTGCTCACACAATTGTGTATGACTGTCACATGAATCAGTGCAAGATCAGCAAATTTTGCATTGTCATCTTGTGTTAGGGTAATATGGTATTTAAATTTGGACTAAGTGGCCCTTTTATTAGAGTAAAAAATTGAGTCATGGTATATTGTTTTTCCAGGTGGGTAGACAAGGATGTCTTAATTGTCTGAAGGTCAAGTTTGAGAAAAACTTGACATTTTGTCCATAAGTAGGATGATATTTATCAAAAATGAGTATGTTGCCTCTGTCCCCTTGGGAACAAAAGTTACAATCTATTCTCTTTCTTCCTTTTCACTGTCAGCTTTAGATCTACAGACGTGTTATGCCTGATAGTTCAGAGAAAGATGTTTTTGAATGACTAAACAACCCCTTTATTATATGAGTAAGCCATTATAGGATTGTTTTCCCCTCCTAATCTGTGGTTATCTTTGTCTTGTAACATTGTTCTGCCTGTCCCAAGCAAGAAACCTTTTATCCTTCCGAGAACACCTTCTTTTGGACAAATTCTTTTGTGGTTTGCATCTTCTCTTTTTTCCTTATAAAGAATCTCAAATTTCTTTCATAAAACCTCTTCCCAGAGAGGTTAAATGACTGATTGTCCAAGAAGGAGAATTCAGACTTAAGGCCCTCTGACATACATGTACACTGTCTAGGCATTTTGTTTGAACCAGAACATCCCTCAAATGTTTTATTTGCAATACAAAGCTACTTATGAGAAAGTTTAGATGTCATTATAGTTTTTTTACAGCACAGACTGTAAATCACCAATCCCAAGTAAATTACTCTATTAATCTTTCATTCTTCTAGGTATTGGACTAAATTGGATCAAACAGTACATGAACTTGTTTCATTCAAATAATTGCAAAGAGTCTATTTCTGTTAGGTGTTGTCGCTAACCAAGTAGCTACCTACTTGACCTAAGGGAAGATGCATTCTATTTAATCTGCAAGATTGCCGTGAGTCAGAAGGTATATTGCTTTGTGTTATGTTTTCACAAAAGTAGAAAAAACAATAATTCTGCAGTGTTTTACAGCCACAGGATATGCAGTAAAATCAGTGGTTCACCAAAGATGACTGGACTTACGGGAAAAAAAATACCGTGTGTGATGATGATTAAAAGTTGCTTAAAATAAATTTTTTTTGAAAAGTTGCTTAGTGGAAAAATTGCATGACAATTAGAACTGTTGAGAAACAGAATGAGCCCCCTCATGAGGGAAGTGTGCTGCACACTCTCTCTACTTTAGATGCCATTCTCATTGAAGCAAGGGATTTCTCCCCTTAGTGGAAGCTTGGGTGAAACAGATCCCAAGGCCTTTCAAGACACTCAGAAGCTCATAATTCTGTTGATTACTCTACATTGGAAAGTAATCAGAAGCAGAAAACAACATATTATTTAGCAGAGAGTTATCCGTTAGCATGACAGTTACTTTTTAACCATTTTTATTTTATTAATTTTTTTTTTTTTAAGTTGAGGTATTGCTTTGTTGCCCAGTCTGTTCTTGAACTTCTGGCCTTAAGCCATCCTCCCACCTCAGTCTCCCAAAATGCTGGGACTACAAGTGACAGTTGCTTTTAGAGTGGGTGCTCTGAGATATTTGAAGGTCCTTGAGAATAGTTGTATCTCTTTAGTAGCTCTAAAACCTTTCTAACCTCCTAACAAATCCAGCCTTACTTGACATCTCAAAAGCTCATTTCAGCCAGACTTGTTTTTTTTTAAACTGTCAATGCCAGAATAACGGGGTTTGAATTAGTGAAATGCTGCATTACTTCAGCTGAGTTCCTTTATTGGTGAAAAAGAGGCTCTGGAATCAGAATGTCTGGGTTTGAATTCTTGTGCCAGTTATTTAAACCCTTAGAGCAATTTCCCCATTTATATAATGAAGGTAAAAATAGTACCTATTTCATAGCACTGTTTGGGGGATTAAATGAAGTAACGCATGTAAAGGTACCACAGCTAAAGTTAAACAACCAATAAAATGGGATTATGGAGCCAGGAAGAGGTTTTGCCTATTTCAAGAAAACCCTAACCCAAGAAACCATAGAACCATAAAGTTTCTATGAAGCCTGCGTTACTGTGTATGACATTTTAATTCTGATTTAAAGGAAAAGAGACTGGCTGCGTTTAGTCAATCTAAGCTGGTTGTCTGACACACACATTTCCAAAGTTCTAATACATGTATTTTTTAAATTAGACTTGTTGTATCTTAGCTCTTTATCTCTATTGAGAACTTAATGAGTCATGATTTGAAAGTGCAGATCCTGGTAGGAACCAGAAGGTTTGATGGGTCACAAGCTTGTGAAAAATTGCAGGTACTTCTAATCCCATTTTTAGAACTCCCTGTAGCCTTTTTTTCTGTCATTATAGAAGAACAGTTTCAGGGGTTGTAAACTTAGAAGGGTCTCTCAGCAAGAGATTTGTTGTTGAATCTTTAAGCTCTCATCAGAATGCCTTTTGTGGCTGCTGATGTGTTAAGTGCAAAGATGAAGAGTAGTGCCTGTAATGTACTAATGTTCATCCACAACAAATGACCAGGTGTCCAGGAGAGCAGTTAGAAAAAGAGAGGATCTTTGTTTCCACAGAAAGAATCTAAAGCTAACATCTAATATAATAACTAAGGTCTGCGTTGGCTTTCCAGTTCATGAAGCACTTTCACGTTTCGCGGTCCTGTTGATTAGCTTCTTACTACTGCCCTTTATAAGGAGGTGGTTACCGTTGCACTAGCAGGAACTGGAGATACTCAGTGAGGTTGGAAAGGCCAAATAATGAAACTCCGGGAAGTATCTGTGGGTTTCACTGTTTTCATACAGATGATGCCTAGCTTATAAGACTGTGGGAACCTAACTTAGAGTGACTAAGGTCGTTATGTACACTAGAGCATGTGATGTTCTTCCAGGTTTGCACGTGAAGAAAATAGAACCTTGGAGAATATTATATGTTCTCCGAGAATGTTAGGTTGAATCTTTGAAAAGTATTAGGTTGAATCTTTAAGAAATATTAGGTCGAATCTTTAAAACATTACTGATAATTGACTATTTCTTGATAAAAACAGTAATATCACATGATAGGTTGAATCTAATAACTATTTGTGTATTTCTGATTTGGTGTTGATTTTTGTGATTTGACTCTTAGAGGATAGTCTTTTTTTCACTCATTTTTAGGTCCATTGGGATTACCTTCCTCTTACCATGTTATATATGACATTTGTTATTTTCTGTCATCAAATGAGGAGACAGAAGGTCAGACAGCTTAAGTGACTCGTCTAAAGTTGTACATAAGTTATGTACCAGGAAAAACCTCAGACTTCAAACCTTTTTTCCCTCTATGCCACATCAGCAGACAAAATGGCGAGGGGCCTTTGGAGCCATGAGGTATGAGGAACAGTTACAGAGGAACTATGGATATTTAATTAATTTGGCTCAGAAAATACTTAGGAAGGGAAACATTGACTTTTGAGACACATAGACCTGGATTAAAACCCAGTGTATTGACTAGTTCTGTGATCTTGAACAAGTTTCTTAAACTCTCTGAGCCTAAGTTTTTTCCTTTGTAAAGTGGAGCTATATTAGTACCTCAACTCTAAATTTACTAAGAAGTAAGTGAGATAACACTTGTGCATCACCTGTTAGTACACGGCACTTACAGACTTGTCCACAAATTATTTCCCTCTCTTACCACGCTTTTCTAGAAGAGAGAAATCACATCCTTTTTTTGATTATCTTAGAAGTCATATCAAAGACCAGCATATGGGTGTTAAAATGTGGTAGCTTTCCTTGAAGTTTTTAGAGAGATTTTAGTGTTGTCTTGCCACTACTACTAGTAGTGTCCAGATAAAAGTCAAAAACCTCCCCTATAAAGGAGATTCTTGGTTTGATAGTGGTTAGTCCAGCTGACCTCCCAAACCTTTACTACTTCTTGGGTTCTTTGAAGAAATGGCTAGAAACACAGAGAACAAAAGGCCAAAGCTTGGCATGTTGTCTTCATAAACAATCAAAAATATTCTGGAAAATTCAAAACTCTGAATATATAGCCCCCATTGTGAAAAGCAAAAATGGATGAAATCCTCGTTGTCTTGTGGCTGTTTTTATAGACTATATTTAACTTTTCAAAAGAATGTTTTCAGATTAAAGCTTGGTACAAACTTGAATATAAATTTATGTGGTTGCTTCATATTTATGATTCTTTGAAAGTCATCAGCACCATTTGTCTTTTATTTTCCATGATCTAGACATTATTCTGGGAAAGTAAAACATCTAGTAAGTTGTGTATATTTATAGTTCTTTAAATTTATGTAATACTTTTGGTTATAGACAGCACGAGTGGAATCTCATTTTAACGACCAAATGAGATTCCAGAAGTGTTATATCCAAATCTCAATCACACTTAGAAGCCTATTGTTACAGCATAGTTGCTGTAAAGAACTTCATTGAATTTCTAAAATATTTGTACAAATCAAGCTTGTGTTAGATATTTATTGTGTTACCAATAACAGAGCGATGTCGGTTATGCATGATGGATTTGGAGGATGCGGGGTGCCTTTTGAAGATAATTTACACTGTCTACATTTGATATGTAAAAGATCTATATTTCCTAATCTAAACTTGTGGATCTGAGTAGATACAGACTTCACTATGGGAATCCTGTGGAAGGCACTTAAATAGCTCCCTGGCTTGGAGAATTTTGTCTTGGTAAGGAGAGGGTAGAAACGCACAGTTCCCATTTGCTTTGCCATTTGTTGTAGCTTTCCAAATCTGGCAGAGTTTATCTCATCATTTGAAGTGAAACAGTCTAGGCTGAGGAAAATAAGTTTACATCAAGAAGGCTTATTAAGGCACAGCTGGATGGGGCTAGCAAATGTGTCTTTTTCCTTTTCTTTATCTTGCTTCTGTTTGTACCTTAGTGATTTCTTTTTCCCTCCCTCCTTCCTTTTCTTTCAGACGAAGGAAGACATTTAAAGGAAAGGTTTTTTTACATCTACTTATTTGAAAATAATTTTCATGACAAAATACCAAATTTGACTGTCATTGAATGTTATACAAAGATAGGCATATTGGATTTATATACAGGACAAGATATTTCAGTGTAATGACTTTCCATTTCCAAATATGGAAAGGTTTTTAAAAAGAAAAGATAGATTGGACCAAAATTTTTGTTTGTTCATGTGTTTCTCCCTGGAAGAAAAGGCAACTCAGCTGAGATGCACTGAAGTATCCTCTTGTGAAGAACGAGTTGCCTCAGTGAACTGGAGATTACATGTCAAAAGTTTATTTGTGGATATAGATGTGTACCACACCATCACTACAGCAACAGAAAGTTTTCGTGTCTTTTTTCACCTATTTTTTGTGGCCAGCTACTGTTATTTCCACTGAATTATGATTTTTATATTGGTTTTCTTTTCTTGTTTTCTTTCCCTAATGTGGCAATTTAATTTTCCTTTTGAAATTAAATTATGATTATTTAAAAAATAATTCTCCTTGTTTTTGCCACAATAACCCATCAAGTCTTATGACAAAGACTTCCTATAATGTTTCACTTGGTTCTTTCTTTTTTTGACATGTTATCATGGGATTCTCTATATTAAAGACTTCTTAGATTTATTCCAGCATGAACTGCTGTGGTGAATACTTGCCTTCCTTTGTCATTTGGTTGCCAAGGCCATATGTTAGTGCAAAGAACTTGTGCATTAGAGATTAACATAGTTGTTTTTTTTTTCTCAGTTTGAAAACTTACTATGTATGTGAACTTAGAAAGATTATTTAACTGCTCAACTGTAATTTAGTGGCCTATGGTAGTGAATAGCCACTAAATGCAACTGAAATACTTTTGCTTTCGTTAGCTTCCATAGTGTTCCACATTTGGCACTAACTAGAATTGAGGATAGAACACTTTTTTTTTACCGTGGAAATTTTCTAAGTCTTTTTTTGTTTTGTTTTGGAGACGGAGTCTTGCTCTGTCGCCAGGCTGGAGTGCAGTGGCGCGATCTCGGCTCACTGCAACCTCCGCCTCCCAGGTTCAAGCGATTCCCGTGTCAGCCTTCCAGGTAGCTGGGACTACAGGTGCACGCCACCACACCCGGCTAATTTTTTGTAATTTAGTAGAGACCGGGTTTCACCATGTTGGCCAGGATGATCTCGATCTTCTGACCTCGTGATCTGCCTGCCTCGGCCTCCCAAAGTGCTGAGATTACAGGCATGAGCCATCACATCCGGCCGAAATTTTCTAAGTCTTCTAAACATTTGGATTCATTATTGTGTAGATAATAAGATTAGCTGTATTCTTACAAAGATAAACAGGTAGCTTCCTATTTATATAAATAGTGTATACTATAGTTTAGATCCTTCTTCAAATTTCTGTAGTGAAATTAATATAGGTATAATATAATTTTCCTAAAATGGTAATTTCTACATTGCTCCCACTGATAAAATATAATGGATAAGATTTGCAGCAGATTTGGGAGCACTTAGTAACACATGGTTATGGTATTTGGCCTGGCTATTTTGATACAGAGGCAATGTTGAAGGCCCCAAAAGACAAAGGTCCTTTATTTCACCTGTTCTTATTATCAAGTTACTTCAATAAGTAACCTTGGCCCTAATCTGATGACTCTCACCAGCTCTGGATGGGTGACATTAGAAATAGAATAAGAGTGCTATCTGTGCACAAAATTTTACTAATAAAAAATGAATTATACATTCTAATGGGGTTATTATGACATGGCTTCTTTAAACAAGCCTTGTCAGAATGTCCCTTATTACCAGGTGGCCATATCAAAATGTTCTGTTGCTTCTTAAACCTATCAAGACCAGGTTTTTATAGATATTACTGCATATTTTTTCAGCTTTAAGACATGATGTTAAAAAAAATTGCTAGTAACTAAAGGCAATTTCCTAACTTTTGGATCCTTGAAGACTAGTTTTGAATAACACTCCATTTGACAAAATACTTTCTTAGCATTTGTATTGGTCAGTTTAGGCTGTCATAAAAATATACTTCAGACTGGATGGCTTAAATAACACATTTATTTTCTCAGAGTTTTGTAAGCCAGAAGTCCAAGTTCAAGGTGCTGTCAAGATTGGTTTCTGAGGAGGACTCTGTTTCACCCTCTTACTGTGTTCTGACATGGCCTTTCCTTTGTGCTTGTGCAGTGGGGGGTGTAGAATGATACTGATCTGGTGTGTCTTCCTCTTCTTCTAAGTGTACTAAACCTATTGGATTAGGGTCCTACCCTTATAACCTTATTATCTGTTTTAAAGGCCCTGTCTCCAAATACAGCCACATTGGGGGTTAGGGCTTCAATAAGTTAATTTGGTGGTGGGAGTTGGGGGACAGAAAATTTAATCCATAACAGCATTGCCTTATGTGTTGGATATGTAAAAATTAATTAGACATCATCTTAATCTCTGAAGGGCCCACTTTCTAGCTCAGAAGCCCGCTGTGTAAACAGATTATCAGAGTATAATCTGGTAAATATGATAGCAGATATATTCAAATGACAGTCTCATTTTAGCTGGGTATTGAAAAAAATTGTAGGAGTTGATGTGTACAAGGAAAACGTAGGCACTTCGGCAAAAGGAAGTAACATCGTATACCCTAGGGTTGCTCTGTAGCTAACAGGGAACCTCAAGGAGCATTTAAACAGGAAAGTAACATAATCCGGGTCATTTGGCCCAGACTTGAGACAGATGTGGAATTTCCTATTTCCTTAAGTATGTAATCAAAGCTATTATTACCAAGTGGTACTTAAAGCTGTATTTCTAGAAAAGCTTTCTTCTGTGCTATTTTGAAGTCTTGCTGCTATTGACCATGAATTTTTTATTTTGTAGCCTAAGGCATTTTTACATTGTTCTCTCTTTTGACTGACCTGAAAAAAGCCTTATTTTTATAAGTACCACATATTTATAGACAGACTCTTATGCATCTTTTTGCTTTCTCTGAACCAAACCATACGTATTGTTTAAAACTTCTCCTTAATCATTTTTAAAATACTCTTTAAACCGTTTCTTAATGCGTCACATGCATTGTGAGCACAAAATTTTACAGTATTAAAAAGGATTCAGTATTTTATCCTCTAGAAACCTTTGTAAATAGTCAAAAGCTTGTAGCTTAATGGTAATATTCCCCCTCCCCTCCAAGATGGGGAGGCTGTTAAGTTTTATGACTGCCCTCCATAGGATGATTGCCTTTGTGCAAGTTTTTCTCATAGATCTACTTAGTGATGTGGAAGTCCTGGATGTAAATTAAAGATGAGTAAGCACAGTGTGATCATAATGGCAAGCCTGCTATTTGAGGTAAAGCAATCTGGGAAAATAAGCCTTATAAAACAAGGTCTGTCTATTTCATAACAGGATTATAGTTTGGAGAGTGTTAATCCTTTCAATTCAGTAATATATAGATGGTTCCCAACTTAAAGATGGTTTGACTTAGAATTTTCTGACTTTATGATGGTGTGAAAGTGATCCACATTCAGTAGAAGCCATGCTTTGAGTACCCATACAACCCTTCTGTTTTTCACTTTCAGTATTCAGTGAATTACATGAGCTATTCAACACTCTATTATAAAATAGGCTTTATGTTAGATGATTTCGCTCAATGATAGGCTAATGAAAGCATTCTGCACATGTTTAGGGTAGGGTGGGCTAAGTATGATGTTTGGTAGGTTAGATGTGTTAAATGCATTTTCAATTTGTGATAGGTTTATCAGGATGCAACCCCTTTGTAAGTCAAGGAGTATCTGTATACAGTAGTCCTTTTGTGATAATAAGGGACATATTTTAGATAAATAGTCTATATAGAGTTCCTAAATGTAATTTAATTAAAAAAATTTTTTTTGCCACCACTCTATATGGTGCTGACCAATGTTGCTTTATCTTATGGTAGAATATCCTTCAAGAGCAAACCAGTAGGAGATCCCTAACAAATAGTTGAATTGTCAGGTCTAAATACTTTTGTATTTTTAAACTCTGTTTACTTCCTATTGGAGAAGTGAATAGCATCAGGGTTGCTTTACCATGAGGTAATTATGAACTGTGGGGAAAAAAGAAAATTAGAAAAGCATCCCATCCTCCATAAAATAGATTAGATAATCACTCCAAGTAACTTAAGAGTTCTCTGAAGTCATTTTCTTGCTTTCCTATACCATAAAACCTACATGAAATGGTGTTTGTTCAAAATATGCCCCCACACCTTTACATCTGGGAACAGGCAGAAGCATTCACATTTTCTGTGCTCATTTGAAAAGATAACTCTCGACGCCAGGGCATTCCATTCATGTTATAATCCTAGACTGCTTTATTCATGCTTTAATTCCACATCTGTCTCAGAAATGGAGGCAGTGGTTAGAAAAGATTGAGCACCTAGTCAATGAATGTTGGGCTGAAATGAGCTCAGCAATCTGTTTGACTAAAGAAGACTCGTGTTTAATTCCACCTTGTGAAGAAACATGTTTTAAAACCCCATAACAACTTCATGGTGACATCTATAATGTAAGCAGTTAATCCTCTATTGTGTAGATAATAAGGTAATTTGAAACATGCTCTTAAGTTGTTATATGTAAATAGAGAGTCAAATTTATTTATTTTCATTGATGGATGGGAAGTGAGACTTAACAAGTTTCTTGTCTGTGTTAACTTTTGTTTCTATTTCTGTTAGTACTTTAGGAAATTACAGAGAAGTGCGTTTCAGTAATGTGCAAAAATGCTCTTGGAAGAAAGGACATTAAACTATACACGATACTATGCTTTTTGCTTTTGCTGGGCCAATGATATGACCTTGAGCAAATCATTTAAAATCTCTGGGTCTTCAACATTTCCTCATTTATTCTTAAAATGTTGCGTCCATATCCAAAGTTCTGTTATTCAATAATGTCTTTGTCCATTCGTTCCTCTTTTTTGCTCCTATCATTTCAAATAATGATTATCATTAAAATCATTAAGTATTGGCTTTAAAGGAGCAGGAAAGGGATATGTTACGGGGTTTTTCCCCCCTCTCTTGACATGCTTTCTCTGCTTAAGGACACTTTGTACTAATTTTCACTAAAACTTGAGATGAGAGACTTGACTGGTGTTATTTAGGTGGCAAACTGGCAGAACCAGATCTAGAACCCACTTCCTGGTTCGTCCTATATTCAGTAGACCATATTACCTATGATGATTGCTTTTGAAGTTATATTAAAAAAATCACTGACAGAATCTCTGAAATTACTACTGAGAAAACAGTAGTAATTCAAGATATTATTTTTTGTTATATCATATTCTTTCCTGCATCTGTGCCTTTCCATCTGTTACCACGAATGAATCGTCCCAACTGCAGTTTAAGGCCAGCCTCTCTATTTGGTTGCTGGATCCCATCCTCTCGTTTCTCCTTGGGGATTTTGTTCCAGGATTATACCATGTCTCTTTTGTATTAGCAATTTCTCCGTCTTTACCAGATCTTCTTATTAGTATGCAAACATGTTATCTCTCTAATAAGGGGGGAAGTCTCTTTCTAGAGTCTGCATTCATCCTCAGTTTTGTCACATTGATTTCCCTTTATAGTAAAATGCCACAGAATTCTGTATGCTGTTATTACCACTTCCTCATCTCTCATCTCTTCAGGCTACTTACTCAGCATGTTATACCTCCACTTGACCAAAACCTGTCTTTTCACAATCAGCAGCAACTTCTGTCTTATCAAATACAGTGGTCAATTCTGTCTTTATTTTACTGGACCTCTCAGCCTTTGACACAGTTGTCTGTTCTCTCCTTGAAGCCCTTCTTCAGTAAACTTCAGGATATAAAGTTCTCCTGATTTTTCCATTTACCTCCCTGGGAACTCTTTTTCCATCTTCTTTCCTAACTTCTCTTCTACTTCCAGACTTGAAGTTGTTGGAATGCTTCTGAGCTTAGTCCTTGGACTTCTTTTCCTCTCTGTCTTCACTTGCTCCTGGATGATCTCATCCATTTTCAGCCTTTAAATATCTTTCCAATGTTGATGAACCCTAAATTTCTATCTCTAGCTGTGACCTCTCTCCTGAGCCCCTGGTTCATATATTTAACTGCCTACTTAATATTTCCACTTGGGTGTCTATTAGGCATTTCAAATTTATCACAACTAGACAAATTTTTTATTTACATATCTTCATCCTGATTTCTGCTAAATCAGTACCTCTCCAAGTCTTCTCCATCATGGTATATGCCATCATTACTCACCAGGTTGATTAGGCACAAACCTTCCTTTAACATACCAGGCACATGGCTACCTCTGGGCCTTCACACTTGATGATCCCTATTCTAGAAAGCTTGTTCTCCCCCAGTCTACATATGGACCATCCGCACTCTGCCTGCTTCCCTCCTCCCTCCTTCGTTTCTCACCTTCTGCCTCTTCCCCTCCTCCCGTAACTATTGATGGCTACCTACCAATTACCTGCTAATTAATATTTTTCCAGCCTTGATGTAGGTCTCTGTCTTCATTCATCTCTGCTCTTTCTGCCCTTCTGTAACTCAGAAGTCACAGCACTGGATCGTATCTCAGCTTTTATCCTACTCTACATTCTCCTCTTTTATGAAACTCTTCTTCCTTGGTTTCTCTAACTCTCTATCCCCACCCATTTCAGAATTATTGATCTTATTGGTTCAGTTATCTAATGTTTTGTTTTCTCTTTTGCTGCTTGAGAATTAAATAAAGTTTGCCATCACAGTTCTTTACTTCTTATTGTACTTTTCAAAGATTTTCCCCCTTAACTTCAGTTATGATCTCTTCAGAGCTGACTTCCAAGTCTTATGAATGGAGCCCCACCTTTCTTTTGAGTCTTTCTCAACTTCTACACACGAATGTTTTGATAAGCTTCACACATTAAACATATTTATAATATGACTCATTTTTCCTCTACAGGTGGTCTTTCCATCATGATTTTGTGAAATTTAATGAAATTACCAAAAACACGAATCAAGCTTTTTTGAGTCTTCCCCCTCCCTCCCTTTTTATGTCCAAATTCCATTTACAGACATTCTAATCTCCACTGCTTTAGTTTAATACTCTTTGTCACATTGTTTGTTTTTGTTGTTGTTGGTTTCATTTGTTTGTTAATGTGACTAATGACAGTAAGCTTCCAAATGGCCTTCAGTGTATCTTAATGCCCCCATGTCACTACCAGTTTTTTCTCAAACTCATATCTAATCTTGTCATTCTCCTGGTACCTCTAGTAGCTCCTCATTGCACAGTGAATACAATACATGTAACCTCACAGTGTGGTATCATAGGCCTTCCGTGATTCCATCTCCATTCATTGTCACTTTTTTTTTTTTTTTTTTGAGATGGAGTCTCGCACTCTCACCCAGGCTGGAGTGTAGTGGCGTGATCTCAGCTCACTGCAACCTCTGCCTCCTGGGTTCAAGCAATTCTCCTGCCTCAGACTCTCGAGTAGCTGGGATTACAGGTGCCCGCCAGCACGCCTGGTTAATTTTTGTATTTTTAGTAGGGACAGGGTTTCGGGTTTCACAGGGTTTCACCACGTTGGCCAGGCTGGTCTAGAATTCCTGACCTTGGGTGATCCACCCTCCTCTGCCTCCCAAAGTGCTGGGATTACAGGTGTGAGCCACTGCGTCCGGCCCATTTTCACAATTTTAATGGCTCATTAAATTTCCCCTGCCTCTGCCCCCATTTTCCCATACTCTGCTTTGCAGGTAGTAAGATAAAATGCTTTTTAATTGAGTTAAAACTAACAGCATGGAAAAATTTAGGGATGTACATGATAACAAGTGTAATACTCCCAAGGATAACCTCTGGGGCCAAAATTTAAGAATAATCAGGCAATTCAGCTAAGTCACTTTGAGGTAGAAAATCTTCTATTTATTACACATAGAGGTGTAGAGAATTAAGGGAAAAGATTTTACTGGGAAACTGAGACTTGAGCTGATCCATAAAGGAATAATTGGATTTGGACATGTCAAGGGAAGAAGGCAAAATTCAAGTGAAGATACAGCAGTGGGAATAGCTTTCAGTGAACTAAAAATTAATTTACCCATGTATAATACCAGGTTTTTGGCATTTTATTTTGAGAAGGGGAGGGGATAAGGGGAAGGGTATATGATTCATTCTCCTCTGATATCTGCATACCACTTGTTGGCTTCTGTAGGTGGGAAGTAGCATTTGTTAATTTCTTGTATTTGCCAGGCGCTGTGAAAGATATTTAAGCCTCAGAACTCTAAAAAGCAGGTTGTTAAATCCCCATTTGCAGATGAGAAGATAAATTCAGAAAGCTTAGGTAAAATACATAAAGCAGTACCAGAGCTAGGGTTCAAACTCAGAGCTTTTAGCTCTACAGTCTGTCTTCTTCCTCTGAAAAATTATGTGCAAATGCATTTTTTTCCATAGGTCATTGTCAGTGGCCTGTGAAAATTCATTCTTCATACCAGATTTTTGGATAATAGAATGTAAAAAGCCTCCTATACCCCCTGGAAATCTGAGTTCTTCTAAAAGGCCTTTTGAATTTTGCCGTTGAAAATCCATCCTCATTTGAATGCTGCCTGTATCATTGCTTTACTTATCAGTCAAATTCAGGATATAAGATACCAGAAACAAAGTAGCTTTTATTTATTTGGAATGAAACAAATCAAAACCACTAGACAGGAGATAAGAAAGATGTTTCTTCAAGACAAACAAGCATTTTTCAGTTATTTAACCACCAAGTTAAGTTTGAATCTGTGTTCTTGTGTCGTTGTTTTCCAGCAAACATTATTCCATGAGTCATATAAAACTAATCTCATTCATGACTGATCTCACCCATTGCTAATCTCATTCAAAACTGGTTTCATCAGGCGAAAATTCATGTGCTATTCTGGACATTTGTAGGTTATCCATTACTTTTATGACCATTGTTTTAGTGTAATGAAACATTACTGTATTTTGTCTTCTGGGCTGCCTTAGTCACCATCCTTCTCTATTCTTCCTCAACTAAATATGTAACTCTTGGAAAATGGTATATTATATGAAAACACTAGAAATGGAATAATTAACTCCTTATTTCCATGTTGTAGAGTTTGGAAATACCTACAAATTAGAATATTTTTAATAGAGAAAAGGAAAATTGGGGTGTTTATCTATAATTTCAATCTTCTGAATGGGAATACTTTATTGCCATGTTGTACGTGGCCCATTTAGGTATCATGTAATATTTTCCTTTATCCAATGTGATAGTCAAGGCTATTAATAATAGAATAGAGATAATTAATTGATATTTAGAAATAAGTACCTATTTCCAAAACAGAAAAGTAAGCATTCTTTTTTTAAAAAACCTTAGAAATACTTTTTTCTTTTATATTTGTCTGTATGTAGAAAATTAGTTGCTTGGGAAAGAGTTGTTTTTATTTTTGCTTTGTTCTAGTTCTGTCATTTTTTTTTCTTAAAAAAAAAGAAAAAACTGTGGTACAGCAAGTTTGTTAACGCTCTGAGCAGATTGCTAGTGAATTCTCTTGATGTAAGAATAAACCCACACTAACCGGAAACTCATAGTCTGCTTAAAAAAAAAAAAACAAACCAGAAACACCACTGGTTAGAAATACAGCTTTTGGCCAGATGCAGTGGCTCATTCCTATAATTCCAGCTCTTTGGGAGGCCAAGGCGGGTGGTTCACTTGATGACAGGAGTTCCAGACCAGCCTGGTCAACATGGTGAAACCTCCTCTCTACTAAAAATACAAAAAATTAGCTGGTTGTGGTAGTGGGTGCCTGTAGTCCCAGCTAGTCCTCAGGAAGACTGAGACAGGAAAATCGCTTAAACCTGGGCAGTAGAGATTGCGGTGAGCCGCGATCACACCACTCTCCAGCCTGGGTGACAGAGCAAGACTCTCTGAAAAAAAGAAAAAAAAAGAAAAAAGAAAAGAAATACAGCTTTTTTCCCCCCCACTTTCTAGTTACTAAATTGCCCTTGGTTTTTATAGTGTTTTCAATCAGAGGAAATGGGTATTACTTGTCTGAGATAGTGTTCTTAATGCTTATGAGCCGTATTTTTTAGGTTAGATGATTCATGGATTTTAATAGCCTGCCAGTCACTTCATAGACAAGTCTTCTTAGGAGAGGAATAATGACTATAATGAAAATAAAGATATCAAACCATTTATATTATTTTTCTGGAGGCCATAAACCATAAAAAAAACCTCTCTGTATTGAATGTCAAATTAAATTTGAATAAGGGGTGGCAATACTATTCTAACATGAATTTATTGGTAGCATGTCTGCACATACCATGGGTGGCTCCAATTATCTTAATACTTATACTTGTTCAATATATATTCCCCCCTTCCATTAGCATTGTAGTTATGTTGGCCAAAGAGTCCCCTAAACTTCTTTCTTTACTATACAGAAGCCCAATGATGATCTAAGTAAGTAAAATATACTCTCTTCTGGTTGTAAAGGTCATATGCCATTTGCTTCCTATAGTCAGATATAGTTGTTAATATTACTTGTCTTGACTATTTCTATATATTCCCTGCCTAACTTCTCTGCGCACACAGACTCCTGAAAGACTGTACAGCTGTACCTGTATTTTTGACTAGGGATTATGCTGCAGAATACCTATGTCCTTTCCTAATTGGATGAGATTGGCTTAAACTAAAGCATTTTACTAAGGATGCTGCATGGATGTGCTGCTGCACTGGTAATAGACTAGACGTGGGATATACATATTGATGTGTCTGACAAGATTTATCAAATTCTATCGTTTAAAAAAAAAAAACCACTTTTTTTGAAAGCTAACCAATAGACCCTGGTGTTCATCTCCATGGTTGAAATCTATTTTTCTGCACTACAAGGTAGTATGATTTAGTGATAAGAACATAGTTTGTAGCTAGAAGACTTGATTCTAGTCCAGACCTTGCCCTTTTACCAACAGCATGGCCAAGGTATTTAATATCTGAGCCCTAGTTTCCTTTTTTATAAAATAGAAATAAAGGCCCATCAAATAGGTTTGTTTGAGAATTAAGGGTCAGTTTAGTGAAAGTGCTTTGTAAACTGTATTGATTATACAGATGTCAGAATTCTTATTTCAGGATCTTACAGTGTTTCCAGGTTATCTTTTTCAGCTTTTATTATTACATAATTTGTAGATGTCATAATCACAGGAGAATAAAGCTGAAATCTGTAGTGATTCATAACACATATTGCTTCTTTCATCTAAAATTTTAATGTCCCCAAATTTTAACTTAATTGACAATTCCAGTTCCTTATGTTTGAATAATGGAAATTTTATTTTATTTATGACCTAGAAGTACTGTCACTGTATAAAACTCTAGTGAGGGATTCCCACAATGGATGAAAGGTATTATTCTTTTAAACATTATTCTTTTTTTGTTGATATTTAAGGTTTTTGAAATTTTAAATAATAAAACCTTTAAAACTAATTGAAAAGGTACAAAATAAAATTATCATCTGTGTTCCCACTAATATCAAATGTTAACTTTTTTTTGCTTCAGATTACTTTTTATTAAGGAAACAAAATATTACTGAAAAAAACTTTTGCCAAAGTACGGATGACCATAATAAATGTCAAATTCTGTAGCTCACATTGTAAGTTGAATTACAGCAATATATGGAGAAACTTTAAAAGGTTATTTAATCATAGAATAGCCATTTACCTGTGTGCTTTTATGGTTGCTATGAGACAAGTAGACCAGAATTACAAAGCAAACTCACAATTTTAGAAGACAGAGCCAAGAATGAAAAACAAGCATGAGAATGAGAAAATGTTTTTGCTTTGAAGTTTGGCTTGAATAGCCACATCATAAGTATAAATGATTGTTCTGGCACTTTGAAGCATTATAAAGAAAATGCAATGCAACATACCAATTCTTTAATAGTTTTCAATACTTAAACAGGTTAAGGAATTTCATTTCTTTTGTAGCAGAGATTCAAAAAATGTGTGTTGAATATCCTTATAAAGATAAAAAAGCATATAGAACTTGATATAGGACCAGATAATACGGAATAAACCAACAGATCTTGGGTATTTGTTATGGTATAGATGCATGGATTGCCTTAGTCAAAGGCTTTCCCTGAGAATTTCACTATTCTGAGTATTTGGTAGTTTTACTGTGTCTCCTATAAGGATAAATGCAGGTTCATAGAAATGTCTTAGATAATCATTATCGATTGTAAAAATGAGGAAAAAATATGAAATATGGAACCCACATTCTGTGCCTATACGATAATAGCCTATAAGTAGGCTATTAGTTGAGGAATTCATCTATGATAAGCTGTAGCTCCCAACCGTAGCTGAGAGAGAGACTTCTGCTCTCTAGTTACTTCTTGGGAATAACAAATGGTGTCTGTGTAGTAGGATTTATCAGTGGTATGTTGCAAATGCCCTCGGCTATTCCTATTCCAGAGCCGCTACTTTGCTCTCAAGTCCTCTGAGTGTTACCTGGTTCCTGTAGTGCTGCAGCATCCTCTTTTTCCCCCATTGCTTCAACATGGTACTTGCTGCTAGAATGAGTTTTTCAAATGCCACTTAAAAAAAAAAAAAAGGCCTCTACCCTGCATAGGGGTAGGTTCAGAAACCCGTGGAGAGCTCCTCATTCATTAAACTACTTTTTTCAACGTAATATGATCTTACCCTACAATCCTGCCAGAAATTTACTTGTTTATTACACTGAGTTCTATTCCACAGAGAATTGGGGGAGCATGTGAGAACATTTATAATAAAATAATGGGTAAATATATTTAGAAATGAGGGAGGAACCGTGGAAATACTGACATAAAGAGCTGAAGGTTGAGACTAAGGAAGAAATCCCACCTGTACATGCCATGCCTGTAGCAGCTGAGGTTAAGGTTTAGCTCTGAACTGCTAGATGTGACCTGATTTTCTGCTTCCCCTCCCAGCAGGCTTCTGCTCTAGTGCATGCAGCCTTTCTCCCTGCTCTCCCTCTGTGTTCGAGACCATTTTTGTGTGTGTCTACTGACTATCTTTCCATCTACCACTTAGTTTTTAAATTTTGTCTCAAATCCACGTCCTGCCTCTTATGAAGCCCTTGTGGAACTCCTTTGACCGCTATAGCAGTTACACTGACTGTGCAGCAATGTGGGGTCTTCATTAAGCATTTTGGTGACAGGAATTATGTTTTAGGCCAGCATTCTCAAAAAGATTTTAAGCATTTTGAGGAATTTTTACATTTTTAAAAAACTAATCTTTTGGTTTTTCCTTCATTCTCATCATCCTGCAGTGGTTCCTGTGCTCCCAACTTTCTTCCAGACCCTTGAAAGATCATGTTTCACTCTCCTCCTGAGCCCTTCACAGGCGCTGTGCAGGGCTGAGGTTATAACCTAGCCAATGAAATCATGATTGGCTGGCAGATAATTAAGTCTGTCTATCCAGTTGACTCTTACATGTGCAGAAAGCATTTATGAATGAACAACACATTCTTTCAATAATTAGAACTTTCCATCGTGGACCTTCTCAAATTATATATGACTCTGTGGATAACTTAGCCAATATGCAAAGAAAAAGAAGACTTCTCAAAAAAGTGTTCCAATTCTGCACTTTCTTGCCTCAAAGTATAATTGTAAATCAGTCCCCACCATAATGCCGTTACTCTTGACATTATATTACATATTGTGGTTCAGGAATGAATCTCAAGTCAGCACGAACCCGGTCCTCTAAAGTATGCTACACGTATAAAATTGGCTGTCTGATCACCCATTGTTGTCATAATTTACACTCAGGATTGTGCTAGTTGAATTTGTGAGCAGCAGGCATGGAGCCAGAATTCTCCAGAACACTTTGTGGGGAGGGCACCGGGAAGAGTGAAGAGCTAACAGGGTAGTATAAAAATCCCCCTAAAATTAGCAAAGATGAGTTTCTCAGACCTAACAGCAGTATCCTCAATTTGTTAGTATTATCGATAGCTTCTTAATGTCTCCAACCAGAAAACTGAGAGACCTGGAAAGCCTGCACATGGATCTGGGAATATGCTGCATTGTCTTATGCTTTATGTAGTAGTCAGAACAGGTGTTGCTGTAGTTCGGATATTTGACCCTTCAATCCTCATGTTGAAATTTGATCGCCCCCGAGTGTTGGAAGTGAGGCCTAGTGGGAGGTGTTTGGGTCTTGGGAGTGGATCCCTCATGAAAGGCTTGGTGCCATCCTGGTGGTAACGAGTGAATTCTGAGTTCTTGCTCTATTAGTTGTCAAGAGAGCTGGTGAAAAGAGCTGGCACCTCCCTCCCTCTTTCTCTGGCCTCCTCTCTTACCATGTAATCTCTGCACAAGCTTGATCCCCTTCCCCTCTGGAGGCGGTCTGAGGCTCTCACCAGATGCCCAGTCTTCCAGCCAACAGAATTGTGAACCAAATAAACCATTTTTCTTTAGAAGTTACCCAGTCTGAACTATTCCTTTATAGCATCACAAACGGACTAAGACATATGATTTCATATCCTTTGCCATTAATATTTTTAACCTCATTTGTTGATGTTTTTCTTCATTTGCATTATCCTGTAGTAATGCCCGTGCAATCAGCGTTTTTAAAGACATACCTGAAATAATTATCCTACATATATATTATTAATTTGAAAATATGTGAGTACTATTATTAATAGAACTAGTGAAAAATATATTTAAAAAGGGGTTTCTAAATTCATAATAGTTTTTGTCATTGTATATGTTCTCAGATAACAAGTACAATTATCATTTGGGATGAGATGGGGATTGACGAATCTATACCATTCTTTTAATGATGAAGGAAGTTCTTATTTCTAAAAGGTTAATAACCTTGGACTCAGAATTTAGTCCAAGTTTCCTTAGCATGTGTACAACTGGCCCTTACTATTATTCTCACCTATCCTTCACTGTTGCTCTACTAAACAACCCCTGTTCCTTCCTGCCTCTCCATCTTTCCCTTTGCCCTGTAAGTTCCAACTCATCCTTAAGACTGTTTAGAATCTTATATGTGAAATCTTCACAGTCCTCTTGATTTATTTTGTGTGTATGTGTATGCTAATATAGTAGCTCTATTAACAGGTATTTTACTCTATAGAAGTCTTTCATCTACTGACATATAGCAGATGATCAATAAATACTTGCTGAAGAAAGGAAGGAAAAGATGAAGTGCACATGACAGTTCATTAACATGTATAGTAGCTTCTTAATATAGTGATAGTTTAGGATTGATTTGAAGATTATTCATATCATTGACTTGGTAGTGCAGATTTTGGATGGTAAGGGATATTTGGTTAAATTGTCTTTTGTGGAATGAATTTTGTATTAACTTTATTAAAAATAATTTTATATTAAAACCCAAAGATTTGGGTTCTAGCTCTACTACCGTATTTTTCTACTAATCCTATAATTTTCTTATCTGTAAAATGTGAAATTCTAACAGATTTTCATTCATTCATGTTTTCATTCATTAAATATGTGCTAGACATTGTTATTGTTAATTTTTAAATGTTAACCCATAAATAATGATATTGTTCCTTCTCATAATTATGCACCATGTTTGTGTTTTCCTTATAGCAGTTTATTTTCCTTATTTTTTTGGAGGGAAAAAATTACCTTAAAAAAAAAACTGCACGAAATAAACTGTCTTTCAAATATGTCATCGCCAGAGATTGTAGTCTCAAATATTTATCTTTAAATAATTACATATGGATAGGTGATTTAATCTTAGTCTAGCAGCTCAATGATGTATGGAAATTCTTTTTGTCAGTCCCACCGGGGGAGCATTGATTGCTAAACAGAATATTGGGGACTGATATGCAAGATTAGGTATTTCTTTTCTCCAGAGAAAGTAATAGAAAATAGAAATTTCATGCAAATGTATGCAGTGGATAGTTAGTTATGATTCCCAAGTATTCATCTACCCAAAGTAAATGTCTCCTGTGCAAACAAAATATTTTCTTTGATTTTGTCATGCTGAATGGAAAACTGATTATATTAAATGTTCCCCTATCGAAGTCCACTTGTAAATGACTGCAGCAAACTGTAAAGGGATGGAATAGAGAATTTCAGCACTTGAAGGTTTTCACTGCACAAATGAATTTTATGAAAATCTAATGATCAGATGTTAATTATGAACTAGTTAATTGGTTTTCTTGATTAAAAAAGAAAGGTGAGAGCATGAGAATAATACACTTTGCATGTTTTAGCAGTGGAGATAGTAGATTGGCACTTAGTTTTCAGATAACAGGAAGACTAAGAATTAGGTAATAGTGCAATTGAAATACCTTTATGCATTCTCATTGTCTTTAAGGTGAAGGTGGTAAAGATGTAGGAAATTGATAGTTACTAAAACGTTCATCCTTTCTAATACACTTGAGATGGAGATTCTTCAGCAGAATATTAAAAGATGTGTTTATACACTTTAAAGTGAGTTATCAGTCTTTTTCCTGATTATAAGCCATTGCTTGTTATGTGCTACAGATCATGACTAATTTTAATGTGTAATTCGGATGAATTAAATGTGAAAGTAGAAGCCTAAAGTGAATAATGGAGCAGATTTAAGAAAATTATCATGGCATATCTTAGAGCCATTTCTTTAATTTTTGTAAACACAAACTTAATTCTTCTGTTGCCGAAGTGTCATGGGAAAATAACAAAGTCAATAGAATTCAAAATGCAAAACGTTAAAAATGGTATTTTGCTCATATGGGCATACTCTTTTGTGTTCTTTTGTAAAATACTTTGTCATAAAAAATTAAAGCCTTCAGTAAAGGACAACTATGTGACTTTTTAATAAAATAGTTATTATGAAATTTTGAGGGCACTCGGGCATTTTATAACTCATTCTCATTTTTGAAGAGGAAAAACGTCCTTTACTACTGGAAAGAGTATTATAAGTGATTGCTTTTTTCCCTTTTTTTTAAAACGGAAATTTCTCACATAACCTAGGTAGAAACTTTTGTAGGAAATTGGATTTGTAGTTGGCATTTGCTCTGTTCTATATTTTAGATCATAACTACTTTGGACAATTTCAAAATAAAAAGATGGAATTTTAGGCAACTTGTAATTTAAGTTCAGCCAGGTTTGAAATATCTGCTGTGATTTATAGAGACAAGCTTTGACCTGGCTAATTAACAAAAGCGCATACTAGGGCCAATCTTACAAATGCTTGGACAGTAAAATTAACTCCGTTTTAAAAGGTGTAGGTATTCTCTTAAACTCTTCAGGAAACTTTGCCAGAGCATTACATATCATCACTGAATAAGTGATTTTTTTTTTTGCTTGTACTTAAGGTGTGATTTGTTTCTTCTGAGTTATTAGTTCCCTTGTGTTATATCCAAGTCTCCTTTGGGTATAAACTCAGTCAAAAAAAAAGCTCATTAGTCTCTTATTAAGTGATCTTTTCCTAAACTCTGAGTGTTATTTCCTAGCAGGTATTAAGGATTCACTAGTTTTCCTTTTGTTGCATATTATATCATGACTAGATCCCAATTTAGTTTTCAGACCATAAAGGACTTATATTTCTATATTTCAGTAATACATATCAATATTGATTTTAACGTCTTATAAAATTAATACCTTCTCTATATCTTTACTGGGATTTTTGAAAGATGTAACTAATAATACAAGTTTACTTAATAATATTGTTGTAGCACTAGTCTTTAGTAATTGTCACCAAAAATATTTGAGGAATTTTAACCCAAAATTCAGTAGTTCTGATTAATACAGAGCTAGTAGCAGAGGAAAGATCACAAGTCCTATTTTAATAGCGTAGATGCCCAGATACCAACCACATATGAGGCTTCTGTTCCAATTGTCCTGCTTTCAGAAAATTCAGGAAAGTGTTTTCAGACTAATGAAAAGTTATCAGCCTGCTGCCCAGAATACTAAATTGTTTTCTTCCTTTGTGGTGATAGTTTGTGATTTGAAATAAACCATTTATGCCAAAAAGAAAGTTATATCAACTTCCTCTTTGTGGCAATTCACTATTTACCAAGCAGGACTGGAATGTTTGTATACATCGTGCCACCCAAATGTAATCGTTCAGAGGAAGTGACTCAGAACTTTAAGATGCAAATTAATTGAAAGTGACTTTAGTAGGAGATCCACTTTGCCGTGACTGTATTATCCATCTTAGATCATAGGCGTAAGAATTGTTACTTACATACATCTACTATGAATTGTTATAGAGCAATTCTTGTTAGTTATTTATATATTCTAAAGAGTACTGACAATGGACACCGATACATTTAAAAGCAAAACAAATGAACAAGCATGCTTGTGAATCCAACGTGGCAGATCTCTGTAGCCCCTTAATGGTATTTAGAACTGGTGATTTTTTTAAAGCATTAGTCCTTCACATATTTTTTTTTTTCTTCCTGCCAATGCGTGTTTTAACTGTACTCTCTAGGCTTATTGTGGAAGGAATTGGTTTAGGCACATTTTCTGTGGTGTGTTATTGTGAGTGATAATAAATGCATATACTGGTATCTGTTTAGTTGCCAGTCTCCTTTAGCTCAGGATGCTAACCCATACATGTTTTAGATTTGGAAGTTGTCTGATTGGTACTGTATTATAAAACAATCTAGAGTTTATTGTAGCAAGAGCATTCCTGGTTTTTAGCAGAATATTCACTGAGTTCTGTTTGAAATCATAATCATTCTGTAACTGATACATATTTAGAGGAATTCAAGCCAGTTTGGTATTATACATCTGTCCTCATATCTTAGTTGCTTCTCTGATAGGAAGGAAAGGTAATTTTTATTGAGTGCCTTCCTTGTACTGAATGCTTGGTACACATATAATCCTTACATGATAGTGACATTGTCTGGCCTTGACTAGAAGACTAAGAAACTAAGTGTTTCAGTTGACTGGGGGGAAAAAAAATCCCTGTAGAGAAATAGGATCCAAAAGAGAAAAAGTAGAAAGACTTTTTTTTTTTTAAGAAAAAAATGATAATCCAAATATCAGCTTTTAATTAAGCTGACTTTTGACCATAGAGCTCTTTCAAAAACTTTTTAAAAAATTTCTTATTACACTTTAGCTGAGAGAAACAGCTAACATTCCTGGCTTTTTAACTTCTTTAAACTGAAGGTACCTTCCAAGTGACTCAACACCAAAAACAATAAACCTTTTATGACTTAACCAAGGAAGCACAAATTATCTCCAAAGAGGCGGAAAGCAGGCCTTACAAGATCCAGGACCACCCCCAAAGACAGTTCAAAGAAAGCAAAGTTTGACTAGCTGCAAGCAGGGGACAACCCATGTTTTTGCTTGGCAATATTCTCTAGGGTCTCAGCTTCCCAGCTGACTCTCCACACAAAGGCCTGACAACTGTGTGCCCCATGGATGGATGATTAAAGGAGACAGTGAGATAGGAAATCAAAAGCTGTCCATGGAAGGGAAAAAGATCAATAACAAATGGGTACCCAAAAAGTTGAGTCACACAAATATCAAACCCATTTTAAAAATAAATGTTTCTTTTTTCTTTCCCCTTTTGTGTTAAAGGATTTACGTCTCCAAGGGACTAGTTCCTTGGCAGGGAATCAAACTTCTAGGCCGCCAAGGTGAGAGTGTGGAATTTTAACTGCTAGACTACAAGATGGAGTGGCGTTCTTTGCAAATCCCGCAGGGGACCCGAGGCAGGTAGTTTGAACGTACAAAGGATTTTAACTTTGTTTTAAATCTGATTTCTGCTTTTTTTTTTTAAGAGACAGTCTAAGGCTAGCCATGACACTAATATATGTCTTTCTTTCAGTTTGATCCTCCCATAAATACAAATAAGGCAACTGCTGATAATGTGAGTTCTCCGGAGTCTTTTTCAAATACAGAAGTCTTTTTAATTCAAAGGAACCATCTTCCAGCCACTGACAATTAGGATTTCCAATGGTGTATTATTCTAGTATCAACTCAATCCAATAAGCCTCTTCATGGAAAGCCCATGAAGTAATTTTCTAGGTTTCGAATAAAATTTTACCGTATAAGCAAAAGCTGTTCCTAGAGAGGGTATAGAAGAGATAGTTCCCATGATCCTCCAAAAAGTTCACTCCCCGAAATAGGCTAAGAAAGAAAAAAACTCTTGTTGCCACAGAAGTCAAGGATAACATTTGTATATACAGTGCCTCCAGTATCCCACAAATTTGTGAGGGGGCTGCCCATCACAGACCCATTAATCCATGACACTGGGTAGGCCCACCTAGGATTGGACTTTCCCAGGACTAACCAGACAAAAAGAATCGAGCCTTTTTGTCTGGACTAACCAGACAAAAAGAATGACAAAAGCCCGCTATGGATGGGACTTAAGACAAACTCTCCTGAGGTCTTGGCATATTCAGAACAAAGAGTAGGCTGCTTAATATGTTACATGTCTCGGAGTTCCCAGTCTTTTCAGGCTGGCCACCAGACATGACCGAAAAATCATGTCCCCTAGAGGGTGGAAACCAAGAGCAGGTATTCCTGTTTGGTCACAAAGCAAGCTCTCAAGGATGTAAAATAAGATGAGAGGGACGCTTTATAACAAATGACACAGAAAGACAGAGACAGCTGAAAAGCTATTTGTGGGAGGAAAAGGATCAGACAATATGAATATTCATGTTGAAAATACACCAGAATTTCTACACCCAAGTCAAGTCATACCAATAATTTTCTCCCATTAATCAAAATTTTGGAGAAAAAAAAAAAAAAAACAAGCGAGATTTCTACCATCCACTCAACCAGATTCCATATACAGAGACTGGGAGCCTGACTGGTAAGAAATACTTACACTCTTGCTAGCTTGTCAGGCTCTAGGTTCACTTGAATGTGGCGTCCAGAAGAGCAGAGGGGCTTTGGTATCCTGCTCACAGTGTCAAAAGAGTAGGGGCAAATAGAGAACTTCCCCTTTGCCTTCTGAAGGTTTGTTGAAAGTCAGCTGACAAAAGGTAGATTAATAGAAGAAATGGCATGCCAGTTTATTAATGTACACACATTTGCATGGGAGTCATACAAAATATGAACTGTGTGTGTTAATCTCTTCAAGCAAGCCACCAGAAATCCTAGTATTTTCAAATGTGCATTGAACACAAGAAAGTTCAGAATTTCAGCTGCAACTTCGTGTCTCTGCGTTATCTCTCAATCTCTATTTTATTCTCACTTTCTCACTTTTCAACTGCCTGTAGTTTCTGATCATATAAATGCACTGGTCTATATCAATCCCTTTTCTCTGCAGTAGTTCTGGAACTATCTTTATTGGGTTTTTTTTTTCTCCTCCCCCCAACCCCCCGTGTTAAGTTATAAATTACTTTGATTTTTCCAAGTGGCATTTCTTAACATTATAATCCTGGGATGAAATTTATGATGCCTGAAGACAGATTTTAAAACCAATTACAGAGATCTCAAGAGTGTATTGAATATGCTTGTTCCCATACTTTTGCATTTCAAAATAAACAGGAAAAGAGGGAGATATATGGTGTTGCCACCTGTTTATATTTTCACATTAGAAACACTTCAAAGCATGCACAGCTACCTTTTTTTTTTTTTGTAAAAAGAAAATAAAATAGAAAAAGATAATAGAATACAAGGAAGTGCTTTCATATGATAGTTGGTACCTTTGTGTCACCATAAAGACATGCACAGCAATATTAGAATTATTTTGTCATCCTAAACTTTACCTTTACCTGGTGATACAGTTTGAATATATGTCCCCACCACATCTCATATTGAATTGTAATCCCCAATGTTGGAGGTGGGGGCAGATGGGAGGTGTTTGGGTCACAGGGGCAGATTCCTCATGGCTTGGTGCTGTCCTCGCAATAGTGAGTGAGTTCTCATGAGACCTGGCTGTTTAAAAATGTGTAGTACCGTGTCAGGTGCTGTGGCTGACGCCTGTAATCCCAGCACTTTGGAAGGCTGAGATGGGTTGATCACCTAAGGTCAGGAGTTCGAGAGCAGCCTGACCAACATGGTGAAACCTCATCTCTACTAAATACAAAAAATTAGCTGGGCATGGTGGCACATGCCTGTAATCCCAGCTACTTGGGAGGCTGAGGCAAGAGAATCGCTTGACCCAGGAGGCGGAGGTTGCAGTGAGCTTAAAATGCGTCACTGCACTCCAGCCTGGACAGCAAGAGCAAAACTCTGTCTCAAAAAAAAAAAAAGTGTGGTTCTTCCGTCCTCCCCTCGCTCCTGTTCTTGCCATGTGAGACACTGGCTCTCCCTTTGCCTTCCACTGCGATTGTAAGCTTCCTGAGACCTCACTAGTGTGATGCTTCTTGTATAGCCTGCAGAATTGTGAGCCAATTAAACCTCTTTTCTTATAAATTACCTGGTCTCAGGTATTTCTTTATAGCAATACAAGAATGGTCTAATACACCTGGCTAAAATAATGGCTTCCTACTACAGATATTTTGACTACTGAGAAATCCAAAGATATATCAGCTCAGAATTCCAGGTCCAGTCCACCTTTCTAAAATACTTAAAGTCCTCTGCTTTCCTTCTGCTAACACAAACAATGGCTACTGCTGTCACTGACTGAGTGCCTGCATTAGCCAAGCTTAGTATAAGACACTTTATTTTCTCATTAGGCTTTAGAGTCATTAGTTAGTTATTAATACCATTTTATTCCAGATAATGAATCTCTGGTACAGTGAGGTTGATTTACCTAAAGTTGCACAACCGGAATGGTGGACCCAAGATTTAGCAGAAGTAACTACCACTGCCCTGTATATTCTTCCCATACATGCCCAAGTTTGCCCCATACAGTCATCAGGTTAGCAGTGGAATTGTACCTGGTTGGGAGACTCTGTGGGAGTTAATAATCCTGCTTCCCAAGCTGTATCCTCTGGCAAGGGACTGTCTCTGCTCGAAAGAAGGGTGACTTGGTACCTTTACTAGTTATGTTTCCAGTATCTACCTTGTATGTGCCTACACAGTTCATGTCTTGTGTCTTCGTTTATGCTGTACCATCACCTAATTGCCCTCCTCATCACCTCTACATGTTCCATTCCTCATTTACCCTGAGCGTAAGTGAAATGGCATCTCCTTCATGAAGTCTTTCTTAATATCTGCCACCACCACCACCTTGTCCCAGTACCAGATCTAGCCTTCTGTTGGCCTAGCCTCCCTAGCATTGTAATTATGTCATTTCCCCTGTAGAACATATGTCACTGCCTCCTTCGTTTTAGAATAATACATGCCCCTGTGTTATTGACTGTTTTTGTCTGGAAGCACTTTTAGAGCATGGAACATATTTGGTTTTTCTTTGTATTCCCCAAAGTCCCTTACCATGCGTACATCATGCATAGTAAGCACTCAGTAAATACTTGTTGCGTGAATTTTTTGCACAAGCTAATCGTAGTCCTAGATTTCTAAACCAAGTGAGACAATAAGCCCATTGTTCTTTCTAAGATTTATGTTAAAAGATATTTGTGTGATTTAAAGTTTAGCTTCCATATGTGTAGCTAACTTTTCATTATAGAATTTATTACCAAGTCTAAAACTGTGAGCAGTATATATGAGCCTACGTACGTCTTCTGAGACATTTTACCCTGCATCCTAGAGTACAGATTTTTTAGTTTTGTGAACATTCTGGGGTTATGTTGGAATGCGTCTATAAATAAAGACTTCAGAAAGCATCCCTTTGCTCCAAATAAACTGCAAGCTCATAAACATGCTGTAGTCTTAAATATTTTACTTGCTAATAAGCAACTTCTCTATAAGAAATTTTTCCTCTGTGGCTCTTTTCAGAATTATAAACAAGAGGAAAGATAGGCCAGCCAGCACAAATATCTGAAAGGCACAAATATTTCATTAGGAATAACCAAAATGTTTTACCACCTATCTAGGGATTTTGATATCTAGGGTATTAAAAAAAGTCATTATGGAAATGTATTAAATATCTTAAAATATACTAGGTAATGTTGGATTCTGAAAGAACTAGAGCAAAACTGTCTGTGGGCATTTATGAAATAATGATCTTAAGCAGCCAGTAGAACTTGTGGATAACTTCATTAATATTTGACAGAATAATGAAAGGACTGTATTGTTCTTTGTGTAGAAAGATGATACTCAGACATAAAATCAGATTTTCTTAGTGTCAGATTTCTTAGTCTGTCCTAATTCTTCTCTTAAGTTCTGTTACTCACATGACCAGTTTTCATGAGACTCGTGTCAGGAATAGAGTCTCTAACAAAGAATTTACTGGGGGTTGATTGACACACAGGGCTCTAACTCATGAAATGTTTCTTTTGAGGCCACAGAATATATCTAAACAGCAGCATAAATCAAGAGTTCAAGGTGTGCAGTAATGCTTGTGGCCAGAGGCTTAGGGCACAAAACTTCATGCCTACAAGCTATGTTTGAGCATTAACAATAACTGGACCCAGAATCCTGAGCTAACATACCTTTGGATTTCTTAAGAGTGAAGTTGGTTCTTCATGACATAATGAGAAGAGGGTGGACTTTGGAGTCAAACGTACTGGGATTTCTTCCCAGCTCTATAAACTATGTCATTGAGAAAGTTATTTGGCCCCTTTAAATCTCAGTTTTCAAATCTGAATTTATGTAATGGGAATATTAACACTTTCTATGGTTGTAGCCTTTACCCTGTTGTAAGCTAAAAAGTTAAGGATTTTTTTTCTCTCATTGAATATTCACTTTGTTAACTTTAAGTGAGTATAATTTCTTTAAACCTCTCTGGCAACGATGGGATTTGAAATTGGGAGGTGTTCCTGAATGTATTGAGTCTTTGCTTGAGTTTTTTAGCTGATGTTAAGATGCTATCTCTTCTTCCTTTCCTTTCTAATTTTTCTCTTATTGTGTAACTAGATTGACCATTTCAGAGAAATTAAAGAGAATTTTTACATTATTAAATAATCCTTTCCATTTGTTAAGTAGAATGTAAAAAAATTTGCACCTTTACATTAAAAATCAAAATAACCTTAAATTTTTTTATTTTTTAAATAGTGATAATTTACGTACTGTAAAATTAAAGATTGCTTTGGAAAACAGGCAGTCTTCAAAAAGTTAGTCATAGAGTTACCATACAACCCAGCAACTACAATCCCAGCTGTATACCAAGAGAATTGAATACATGTCCACAGGAAAACTTGACCCTGCAGACCCTTTTGAAGAAACAGAATTCTGTGGCTTTTAATATTCATAATGTTGTGCAACCACCAGCACCACTATCTAATTTCAGAACATTTTGACACCCCCAAAAGGAACCTAGTACCCTTTAGCTCCATTTAATTCCCTTTCCCCCTCATCCTTGGCAACTACTAATCTACCTTCTGTCTCCATGATCTGTCTATTCTAGACATTCCATATAAGTGGATTCATGCAATATGTGGTCCTTTGCGATGGGCTTCTTTCACCTAACATAATGATTTCAAGGCTCCTCCATGTTGTAGCATATACCAGGACTTCATTTCTTTTCATTGATGGTACATTTGGCTTTCCATATCTGTGAGTCCCTCATCCATGGATTCAAACAGACATGAATGAAAAATAGTTGAAAAAAATTGCATCTGTACTGAACATGCACAGACATTTTCTTGTCATTATTTCCTAAACAATACAGTGTAAGAACTGTTTACATAGCCCTTATAAAATATTATATTAGGTATTATAAGTAATCTAGAGACGACTTAAAGTATATGGGAGGATATGCATAGGTTATATGCATATATCATTTCATATCAGGGACTTCAGCACCCATGGTTTTTGTTTGATTCTAACCAACCATGGATACTGAGGGATGACCATAAAGGGTTCTGGAACCAAGCCCCCACAGATACCAAGAGACAATTTTATTCCATCGTATGGGTAGCCCACATTTTATTTATCTAGTTACCATTTATAGGACATTTATGTTGTTTCCACTTTCTGACTGTTATAAATAATGCTGCTATGAACGTTTATGTGCAGGTTTTTCTGTGGATATGTATTAAGTTCTCTTGGGTATATACCTAGGATTGTAGTTGCTGTGTTGCATGATAACTTTATGATTAATTTTTTGAAGATTTCCTATTTTCCAAAGCAAACTGCTCTTTAATTTTAAGGTCCTTGTTTTATTCCACTGTCCTTGAGTCATTGGTATTATAATATTGGGAAGTGGAAGGGAGAGAAAAAAAATTTTTTTTACTCTGATTTTTCTTTTTATAAATGGACATTTTATTTAAAACCAGTGAGTTGGAAATGACCCTATTCTATTAGAGCAGGGAGTCAGAGCAGGGTGGTTTCAACAGAAGCGACTGAGGCCTCTTTACAAAATGCTAAAGGAAAACAATAGTTTTTGGTTGGAAACCAAAATGTTCATTCAGTGACATTCCATTCAGTGGTATCAAGGTGACATTTTTTTTGGCAAGATACTCTGTCATGGTTTGTAATTTTTACATTTGTAGGAATGTTTTCCCCACTATTTAGTGTTTCTGCCTTTTTGAATGCACATGGTTAATGGATTTTCACATTCTACTGGATTCATTCATATGCATTTGTCAAAACCTGAATTCATTCAATTCATTTCTGATTTTAAATTGCTGTTTATTTTTCACCAAAGATGAGCCAGTTTTAGTACCTGCAAAGAGTAGTTTTTCAATAGCTCACTGAGAGAAATGGACTGGGTTCCTACTTGGAGAAGTGATGATAAATTGATGGAACAAACCATGAAGAATGTAGTAAATCAAACATGCACATGACTGAAAACCCATCTCCTCTGTTTATTTCTCTGAAGATAGATCTCAACTAGTTCCGTCAGGGTTTTTTTTTTTTCCCCTGAGATATGACAGTTTTGGCCAAAGATTGAAAATGTAGCCATGTGCCAGAGAGATATATGAGCCTACTAACTCCATGGCTATTTTATGAATTATTGAAATGTTACTCTTACCCTTAAAAAATGTTGCATTTGTGCTTTTATTCTGTTTTTCTGCTTCTGAGCAGCCTAAGACTTGCATATGTCACCAGGCAGCTGAAACCTAAAACATGTTCAAGGCTTTCAGGGATGAATGACCTTAAAGCTCAGGATAGTCTAATTTGAGACCTATGTTCTTATTATCAGTTCAGCCCCGAGCAGTAGTAACTGGGAGTTGCGGGCTGCCCGTGGACTCTTTGAAAGTTATGGCTCTGCTCTCCCCACAAAATGTGTTATGTATATTTACTTTATATTTTTCATATTGTTTCAGGGGTTTTGTGGCTTCCAGGAACCCCAGGTTAAGAACTCCTAATCTAAAGCTCTCCTGAACCTGTTATAATAGATTCCATACAAAGATCTTTTAGAGTTTTAAAAAAATTTCATCTCTTTAATTTCAAAGATATTATTTATTATAAGGTACTATTAGATTGTTTAAGGGGGGGGGGGGTTGAAATCCTGTGATCCAGTCCCACCACCTGAAGTTTCCTCTATATATGTTTTTTATAGTACGTCTTTATATTCTACTAACTCACTGTGAACACTTTTAAATGTCATTAAAATATTATATGGGGGAGTCCTTTTTTTTCAATTTACATACAGTACAATTCACTGTTTGTGGTTCACTTCTATGGGTTTTGACAAATGCATAGTGATGTATCCATCGTAATCAAAGATGCAGTGTAGTTTCATCACCTCAAAAATGCCCTCTTGCTGCCTCCTCCTGATCTATTTTTTGTAGCGATGTGTGCCTTTTCTGGAATTTCTTATCAATGAAGTCATCTCATATGTAGCCTTTGGGGTCTGGCTTTTTTGGGTTTAGCAAGGTGCATTTGAGATTCATCCACTGTATTAGGCTGTTGTTGCATTACTATAAAAAAATACCTGAGACTTGGTAATTGGCTCATGGTTCTGCAGGCTATACAGGAAGCATAGTGGCATCTGCTTCTGGGGAGGCCTCAAGAAGCTTCCAGTCATGGCAGAAGGCATGGAGCAGAAGTAAGAGAAGTGGGGTGAAGTGACACATACTTCTAAACCACCAGATATCGCAAAGACAGTACCAAGGGGATGGTACTAAACCATTCATGAGAAATCTACCCTGTGATATCCGATTACCTCCCACAGGCTCCACCTCCAGCATTGGGGATTACAATTCAACATGAGGTTTGAGTGGGGACACAGATCCAAATCATATCATCCATGTTTTTGTATATATTAATCCTTTTTTTATTGAGTAATATTTTAGTCATCAAACTATTTACTATTAATACCTGGTTTACCATGTAGTACTTTTATTTACCTTCCTCAAAAACTGTGGTGCATTCTAACATTGATACTCCTTTGAGCCTTAATCATTTATTTAGTTTCAATTATGTTATTTTGTGTATAATATTTTATATTTTTCTAGTATGATACACTGCTTCCTTAGATGATGTAAATATTTCACATTTCTGCTTATGTTAGAATTTAGAGAAAGCAGGAGGGGTCCTTGAGGATATGACTGCCAAACTGCTGGAATGTCTTTTCCCAGTGTGCACACATGGGTTGATGATAAATGTTAGTACAGGCACCATCACATGCATTGCTCTTCCAGTGCTCATAACAGCCTTGAATGGTAGATGTCAGTGTTCAGATTACACTGATGAGGAAACAGAAGCTTCCTGAGTTCATGGCCTAAGGACACACAACTAGCCATTAGTGGATCAGAAGTCAAATTAGTGTCTTGTGACTCATCTCCTATTAGAGTGTTTATTATTGTAAGAAAAATAGTGAACTGGACTTGGAATTTTTCTTTTACTTAATATCTTATTTAGTGTAATATTTCTCAGAAAAGACAAGAAATAAAGATGATCAATAAGATGCACCATTATTTAATAGGGCGTTATGAAATTGTAGCATCATCAGTATCCTGTTGGGCTCTGTGAAATATTCATATATTAAGAAAGCAAGTGAGTAAGCAATTTAGGAAGAAGAATGAATTTTGTGCAAAGCAGCCTTAGAAGAAATCTCATTTTGCTAAAAGTCTTAAGGTTAAAATGCTGAATCAGAGTCCTTAACTGGCATACTGTGTCTCAGATTACATTCTTCTTTTATACCAATGCTCAGCACCCAGGAAGTGTGCAGTAAACAGTTGTTAAATGAATATTCCAAGTTCCGAAGATCCTTCCGGTTTTGGAATATGCTCTTTAGGGCTTTTGCATATTCATATGCCAGCCCTTTGCCTGCCATTCTTAACTTTATTCACTGCATGCATTATTTATATCACTTCCTCATAGTCCTTCAGTCAAATATCCCCATTGTTTTGGAATGATGAGGAAAAAAATAAGGTATTGAGAGGAAATTGTGTAAGTGCTACTTTATTGACAGGACCAATTCTGTACTGAGGTGGCGTTTGTCTGAATTTACCTGTTTGTTCCTTGATATGGCTTTTATCCTTCCCCAGCATCCTCCATTGCCTCTTTTTTTTTTTTTCCTTTTTTGAGACGATGTCTTGCTGTGTCCCCCAGGTTGGAGTACAGTGGCGTGATCTCAGCTCACTGCAACCTCCACCTCTCAGGATCAAGTGATTCTCCTGCCTCAGCCTCCCAAATAGCTGGGATTACAGGTGCCCACTACCATGCCCAGCTAATTTTTGTATTTTTAGTAGAGATGGGGTTTCACCATGTTGGCCAGGCTGGTCTCAAATTCCCATTGCCTCTCATCCCCTCAAATTTCTACATGGTTAGGTGGCCAGAGCTGAAATGTGTTGCCTTCCTCTCATTTGCTGTGTCAATTGTATATATTAATGCTGGGTGTTAGGAAGGGCAGAGATGTTTCTGGGCAAGATCCCCATAATTGTAGGGGATCAAAGTTGGGGTTTTCAAGTACACTTCAGCCAGTATATATTAGAGATGCACCAAATACATACACATTTGGCCATATGCCAAAGGATCAAGTATATAAATCAGTATTAACGCTATAACCCAAATCACCATTATAGAATAAATTTCTAGGAGGCAGATAAACTAAAAATATTGCAAAATATTTTTGTTAATATTACAACATTATTATTAAAAAGTGATGGGGCCAGGCTGTTAAAATTTAACATCATGGTGTGGGAACCATAATTTCTCAGCACTGTCAGTTGCTCTTGTGTTTCCTGTTCTGCACATCTGCCTTAGTAAATACATACTCACTTTCAGTAATGCATTTAATAACATCACTAACCTTTTTTGTGTTCATAATTCAGAAAAAATTTTAATTTCTTCTCTAAATAATTTAGTGCCTAGGATTTATAGCTTGGGGAAATCTCAAAATCAGTCTATCTTTAACTACTGAGGATGGTCAGCTATCCATAGCAATCAATTTTTATTTTAAATTTAAAAACTATGAAGAATTAATGCATTCTTGGAAAGTTGTTTTGAAGTTTAGTGGAAACAAAATGTGTTTTGATTACCTCACTTTTCTGTAAAATTTTCTTTTTAATCTTTACATTCCTTGTCGGAATCAAAAATAGTTTATAATAAATTTTGGAATTTTTCCTCTTCATGAAATTTCAAAGTTGACATTTTGCTTTTAATTCATACAATATGGGAAGACTTTAAGTCCTAAATGGAATTAAATAACTAAAATTTCAATTCAGTTCTTAAAGGTTATTTTGTTTTTATGAATGCTGTATGGCATGTAGGAACGTAATAAAGATAATTCTCTGTATTTAGGCTTCTAATATATTTTCTCACTGATAATCACTGACAGCCTAGCATGACTAGGGCAACAAATTAGGAAATTTGTTTTAAAAATCAGGCAGTGGGTCTCTAATACATTAAATATGTTTTTACTCTTGTGTCCCATTTATATTTGGTGTCAGACAACAGACATTACCATGTACTTTGCTGAGTTCTGGGGGAATGGAAATGAAAAGTGTGTTATTATGTAGCATATTTTAGGGTGTTACTGTGTGCCAGGTACTCTAAGTGCTTTACCTATGTTGTTTCATTTCACCTGCACAGTCGTCCTGTGAAACAGATGCTTTTTACAAGTTTTACTGAAGAAACGATGCTTAGAAATACTTGATGACTTGTGTTATCAGGTATAGTATAAAGAAACATGTTTGGTCTTTGTCCCTGGTTCCTGGACAGAACACCCTTAAACCCCTGGGATTTCCTGAGTGACAGGAGTGTCTCTGGTTTTACTTAAGAAGTCACCTTTCAGCACTTGGCATTTATACTAATGAGGTGGCTTAGGGTGGCATCTCTAGATAGCTTCAGGGTAGAGGCTGGTTACCAGAAAGACCAAACAGTTGATTAGAGGGTGGAGCTTTTAGCCCTATTCCCCCCACCTCCCTGGAAGGGAAGGGTGGCTGGAGATTGAATTATAAAAGCCCTTGAAAAGTGAGTTCAGAGAGCTTCTGCATGGGCAGACACATTCATATGCTGGGACGGTGGCCCACCCAGGAAGGGCATGGAAGTTCTGTGCCCCACTCCCGCCCCTTCCCTTGTCCTGTGCCCCACTCCCGCCCCTTCCCTTGTCCTGTGCCCCACTCCCGCCCCTTCCCTTGTCCTGTGCCCCACTCCCGCCCCTTCCCTTGTCCTGTGCCCCACTCCCGCCCCTTCCCTTGTCCTGTGCCCTACTCCCGCCCCTTCCCTTGTCCTGTGCCTCTTCCTCTGGCTGTTTCTGAGTTTAGGCCTCCATAATAAATGGGCAATCATTAAGTAAAACCCTTTCCTGAGTTCTATGAAAAGTTGTAGAGAATTATGGAACCTGAGAGGGGCCTGTGGGAACCCGTGAATTTGTAGTCTACTGGCCACTGGTGTCCGAAGTGTGGGCAGTCTTGTGGGACTGAGCCCTTGACCTGTGGGATCTGTGTTAAGACACTCTGCATGGTTATTGTCAGAAATGAGTTGTATTGTTGGGCACCTGTTGGTACCTGTTGGATTGGTGTGAAGAGACACCATGCATTTGATGTTAGAAGGCACCACAACAGGCAAGAAGCAGCAGAGGGTGTTCCAGGAGAGAAATAGCATGCACGAAGACTTGAGGTGGAAAGAGGCTTGACTAGTGCCGGTATCTGAAAGAACGTGTTGTAAACAGGTGTCTTACATTATCACATGTGAGATTTGAAATCTATTTCAGAATTCTAATTACAACACAGAATTGGAGTGATCAGAATTGGGGAAAGAATACTTGCAGGAAGACGTATTAGGCAGCTGGCGCAATATTCTAGGCAAAAAAAAAAAAAAGGCTTGGGGGCCAAGGATAAGGAAAGTGGAGATTACCACATGTAAGGTATCATAGGAAACACCTGCATGTTTTACAAAGCTTATAAAATACACTTGATACTGGAAAAAACAAAAACACTGTATAGGCACATCCAAAGTTTTAATGATGAGATTTGAGATTCAGGGTGATGTAGGAGAAAACCCCTTGTGTATGTCCAGGTTTGTATGACCTTGGTAAGTAATTTAGTCATCAGAATCACAGTTTTGTAATTTCAAAAATGGGAACAATAAATCTTTTTGACCTACTTCATAGGCTTTGAAGATCAAGTAAGATAATCTATGTTAAAGCACTTTGTACGTTTGTTGTAGGAGAATGCCACATCTTATTTGTGTTTCTTGCCATTATCAAAACCAAAACAAAAATAACCAGTCAGGTAACATTTCTGTTTTGGGATATTTTCACCTGACCTACTTGTAAATGAGTTTTCCAACTAACTGTTTTAAGAAAAGTCATTCCTGTTTTAGGTGAAGTAATTTCCTCAGAGGTTCTTAAACTGTATTTCAGGAACTGCCAGTTATAGAGGTGACACTGATCTCTTCATGTGGGTAAAATACTCCCCCTTTCTGCCCAGGGCTTTAAGAGAGGAGCGTGCATGCGTGTGTGTGTGTGTGTGTGTGTGTGTGTGTGTGTGTGTGTGTGTGTGTGTGTGTGTGTGTGTCTGTGTGTGTCTGTGTCTGTGTGTGTCTGTATGAGGATGATAGGGGGTTCTTGTTTTGAGCAGGCTGGAAGGGTGGAGAAAGATGAGAGAACTAGTCAGTGAGGGGGTAGTGGTGGTAACTTGCAACTTGGAAATATGAAGAGAAAGAAGCATGTTGACAGCCAGAATGCATAATCAGTCGGCCACATGTTAGGGGATCCATAAGGTGAAAACTGCTTTCTATCTCTATCAAATGTTAGACATTTAGCAGGGCTTGTGGAATTGATTCGCTCTTGATTGACTGCTCCCCAGAAATAGCAGAACCTGGCTTTCATTTTAATGCTTATGTGGGTAACGGTTCTAGAACAGCTCATTTTGTTATCAGGGCAGGGACATGATTTTGTTCACTGCAGCATGTCCAGAACCTAAAAGTGTGTCTGCTATACATAATAGGTGCTAAATAAAGATTTGTTGAATGAAGACATCTTTGTCTTAATCCATTTGTGCTGTTATAACAAAATACCTTAGATTGGGGGTAATTTATAAACAACAGAAGTTAACTGCTTGCAGTTCTAGAAGGTGGGAAGTCAAAGATCAAGGTGCCAGCAGATACAGGGTCTGGTAAGGACTTGTTCTCTGCTTCATAGATGGTACCTTCTTGCTGTGTTCTTCACGTGATGGAGGGGCTGAGCAAGTTTCCTCAGACCTCTTGTAAGGGCACTAATCTCATTCAGATAGGCTCTACTGTTAGGACCTAACCAGTTCCCAAAAGCTTTGCCTCCTCTTCTTTTTTTTTTTTTTTTTTTTTTTTTTTTTTTGAGACAGGACCTAGCTCTATCACCCACTGGCGTGCAGTGGCATGATCTTGGCTCACTGCAGCCTCTGCCTCTTGGGCTCAAGCCATTCTCCCACCTCAGCCTCCCAAGTAGCTGCAAACTATAGGAGCGTGTCACCATGCCTGGCTAATTTTTTTGTAGAGATGAGGTTTCACCATGTTGTGCAGACTGATCTCGAACTTCTGAGCTCAAGCAGTCCATCTGCCCTGGCCTCCAAAAAAGCTTTGCCTCTTAATACTATCACTTTGGGGGTTAGGTTTCAACACATGAATTTTGTGGGGGACACAAACATTCAGACCGTAGCATGTTTTTGTAAGGCATCCTCTCAGTGTTAATTAAACTGCTGTCTTCTTGGTTTCTATATTTAAGAGAGGTCTGATGTGTACGACTAAGCTTCTGTGTATATTCTCTTAAATATATTATGTACCTGTCTCAGTCACTTTGGGCTGCGGTAACAAAATTCCATAGACTAGTAATTTAAATAACACACATTTCTCAGAGTTCTGGAGCCTGGAAAGTTCAATATCAAGGTGCCAGTAAATTTAGTATCTCCTGAGGGCCTGTTTACTGATTTGTAGATGGCTTCTCACGTGGTGGAAGGGGACTTAGCTAGTTCTCTAGTTCTTCTTTTAAGGGTGCTAATTCCATTCATGAGGGCTCCACCCTGATGACCATCACATTGGGATTAGGGTATGGACATATGAAAGAAGAGGGGTACAAACATTGTGCATTATAATACCCCTGTAATCCATAGAGTCTAGTTGATTCTCCTTCCTTAATATTTCTCATACCGATCCTCCACCTTCATCTCCACTGCCACTTCCTTCATTAATTATTATAGTTTTAAAACTGATATCCTTCCTTCAAATGTTATACCTTCCAACCACCCTTTCTATTGCTGCATTTCTAAGGTACTAATTTAGTTTCCTGCTAAAATGCTTAAACAGTTTTCCCTTACTTACAGCAGTGAGTTTCCAGCCATGGTGTCCTAACACACTGACATAACTGGGAACGGTGTCAGGCAAACTTGTCTTCCATTTGATTCCTAAATTAGATAGCTACAAAGATAAAAAAGCTACATACCCTCCTCACAATTTGCCCACAAGGATATTCCTGTGGAGAAAGGACAGACAAGAACTCAAAGTCATCCCTCTGCTCATGTGAGAAAAATGCTTATCTGAGTGTTTCCTCTGCCCTATTGCTTCACTAAGCCAGACTAAGGCATGAGTGACTATTCCTCTACCTCCACCTCACATGTCAATTGTGTATTTAGTAAGAGGCTAATCAGAGACTCAAAAGAATGCAATTGTTTGTCTCTTATCTACCTATGACCTGGAAGCCCCCTCCCTGCTTCAAGTTGTCCTGCCTTTTTGGACAGTTGTGAGGTGATAGATATTTCAGAGAATATTTGACTCATGAAAATAAGTCAAAAGGAGGTAAAAACGAGGATGGTTCTGTCAGCCCAAAACATCTGAGACAAATCTCAACCAATTTAGAAAGTTTATTTTGCCAAGGTTAAAGGACACACCCATGACACAGCCTCAGGAGGTCCTGAGGACATGCGCCCAAGGTGGTCGGGGCACAGCTTGGTTTTATACATTTTAGGGGGACGTGAGACATCAATCAGTATCTGTAAGATGTACATTGATTCAGTCCAGAAAGGCAGGACAACTCGAAGCAGGGAGGGGACTTCCAGGTCATAGGTAGTTAAGAGATAAACAGTTGCATTCTTTTGAGTCTCTGATTAGCCTCTTACTAAATAGACAATTCACATGTGAGGCGGAGGTAGAGGAATCATCATTCCTGCCTTAGTCTGGCTTAGTGAAACAATAGGGCAGAGGAAGCAATCAGATAAGCATTTGTCTCACATGAGCAGAGGGATGACTTTGAGTTCTGTCTGTCCTTTGTCCACAAGGAATATCCTTGTGGGCAAATTGCGAGGGAGGTATGTAGCTTTTGTAGCTATCTTATTTAGGAATAAAATGGGAGACAGGTTTGCCTGACACAGTCCCTAGCTTGACTTCCCTTTGGCTTAGTGACTTTGCCGTCCCTATTTTCCTTTTATGGTCCCATTTTGGTAAATTATCTCTTAAATCATTCATGAAATCAAAGATAGAGACAGAGCAGCTAAGAATGTCCATTTTCTTACCGTATGTGGCTAGAAAGTACATACTTCTAGGCTTTGCTAAAAAGACATAGTACTTCAGAATGTTTTCATTATGGTGATACTATTTTTAACTTAGTGACTTGTGTTGTAAATGATAGTGGTTTTATTAATAAATTAAAGGTATTAGTCACATTATACTTTCCATAATACAGGTATTCCACATTTTATTGGTCATTGTCATGAATTGACTGTAATGCCGCACAGACAATATGGTATAGCACCAACATTGCAGTCATTTTGTAGGTCAGGAAATAGCAAGGCCTGGATGTTGTCAATTACAAGAGTCACATTAAAACAAATCCAAATAGCATTTTATCCATTTGAAAGTAAATTTTTATTACTTTGAATTCGTATTTTCTTTATATACCAATGTAAATAAACATTTATATTGGAATACTGAGTTAAGGTATTTATATTAAGTTTAACTTTCAAATTATTCTCTTATTAAATTGTAGGTATTTTGTGAGGGTCACTTTATAATGCTAAAGGGGCATAGTAAATTGTGGCATTATATATTAATACACTTGAATAATGTATTCTGCTCAAAGTGTCAGAGTGCAGATCTCAAAGCCAGCAGAGCAGCTGGAAATTAGAGGAATCGCCAGAGGCAGCCACAGAGAGGGTAAGCCTACCTCTGCCTGAATTCTTGGCTAAGTACCACATTGTACAGGCTCAGGGGAGACCCATAGGAAACTAGAAGCCACAGGATCAAAACAGATATAAGCAGCTCCTTACTATGGATTAGAGTCTGCAGTTTTAATCTAGGCAAAGTACCTGCCTGTTAGAATACAAATTCAGGAGTCCTCAGGAAACATGATAGAATCTAGTGTTTCGGTAATATGTTATCTACAATCTCCAGTTTTCTACAAAAATATTAGACATGGAATTAAACAGAAGAGTGTGATCTATACCCCAAAAAAGGCAATCAGTAGAAGCTGACTTAGCTCAGATTTGAATTTAGCAAAGACTTCAAAGCAGCTATTTTAATTATATTCAAAGAATTAAAGGAAAATATGGTATCAGTGAATGGAAAAATGTTCTGAGCAGGGAAATGGTAACCATTAAAAAAAAAAAAAACTGGAAATCCTAGAGCTGAAAAGTACAGTTACTGAAATTTAAAAAATTGCCAGGTGAGCTCAAAAGCAGTTTGGCATTGTCAGAAGAAAGGAACAGCAAACCTGAACACCCAGTAGAAATTGTCCTGTATGAGGAATAGAAAAAAAAAATGAAGAAAAAGGAACAGAACCTATGAGACCTGTGAAGTAGTCCAGTATACATGTGCTTGGAGTCCTGAAAGGAGAGATGAAAAAGAGACATAAACATATTTGAAGGAATAATGGCTGGAAACTCCCCAAATTTAGTGAAAAACATTATCAGATCCAAGAAGCTTGCAGAGTCCCAAGAAATACAAACACAAAACCATTCCTAGACATATCATGGTCAACTGTTATGATAAACAAAAAATTGTGAAATCAGCCAGAGGAAAATGATACTTGCTTACCCTTCAAGGAAAACAACTGAAAGTATTTGTTGCTGATGCTAAAATTTGAGCTTTTAGGAAAACAAGAATTTTGGAAAACTTGTATTCACCAATATTTCTCAATATTTGACTTTGGAAAATTTGTAACCACCAACAGCTTCCCAATACTAAAAAGGCTTGTTTTTTTTTTTTTGGTTTTTTTTTTTTTGTTTGTTTGTTTTAAAGACATCGATGGTGGATAACAAATGTGACTTTAAAAAAATTATATAATGCAATGTGTCAACATTTAGAGATCTGCATAATCTATGTAATTCAGTGAACAATTATTTTCCAAGTAACCAATGTATGATGTTACAAAATCATTCACTAAAGATCCATTCAAAGTGCAAGGTAGACCAATGGATTTTAATGTAACAAATTTCAAAAAGTTCATTGATATGGTTTCAGTTTTCATATGACAACTAGTTTTTAAGAAGCTATTACACATCAACGTTTGTTATGGAATGAACAAAGAATAACTGCAGTTTTCTGAAAAGGTTCTATTACTCTTCCCTTTCCCAAATACCTATCTGTGAGAGGCCAGATTGTCTTTACATTTTTCAACCACAACAATATTGCAACAGAATGAATGCAGAGCGGATTTGAGAATGCAGCTGTCTTCACTTAACCCAGACATTAAAGAGACTTGCAAAAATGTAAAAAAAAAAAAAAAAAAAAGTTCTTTAGGAAATTACAGCTATTTTTCATAAAATATATTTTTATTTAATACAGTATATTAAATGAATAAATATATTTTTTAAATTTTTAATTTCTAATACAGTAAATGTCAGTAGATCTTCCCCATGTTAACAAAAGCTCTTTGGCATCCTCCATTCTTTTTAGGTGTAAAGGTGTCCTGAGACCAAAAAGTTTAGAACTGTTTTGAGTCTGCTCTGCCTCCACCTTCAGATAGTACATTCCTTTAAGGGCATCAGACGGGAAAATTAGAAATATCTTGTAGCTCAGGAAATTAGAATTCTTGAGTTTATGGTGACATCCAATTTTTGTTGGTGTCTTTGATTATTTTCAAGTAAACAATAAAATAAGCTGTCAAGTGTGCTGCTTAATGCTTCTAATCCCCCCTCCCCCCAACTCAATTTCTTTCCAGACCTTTTATTTTTTACCAAGGACTCTCACCAGGAAAATAATAAGGGACTTTTGCAGTGGTGACTAATTCTTATGTTTAGAGGTTATCAAAGAATGTTAGAGTACTTTAATAGTGAATAGCATAATAGTGCTAGCACAGTCATTACTATGCTATTCTGAACTGTTATTCAATTTCTGGGAACGAGCATTAATCATTTGAAATCAAAAGAATCAAAGAATCATTGAAGTTTATATCATTTGGTATGAAGAATTGTAAAGATGGTAACTGAAAGAAACTGAAATTTTTTTAGTCCCACTTATAATTTTCTGTTAAATGCATGTGCCACTGCTTGTTTCGGTTTATCTGGTAGTTGACAAAACCAATCTACCAGAAATAAATTTGTCGTGTGATGTTCATAACATAAATGTATAATAAGTTTAATTTTGCATTAGTTTGTTTTTTGACAAAAATAACCACCAAAAATTAAAAACAAAAGAAGCCCACTTACCTACCTGCTTGCATGAAACTGAACAGATCTCAACTTCCATACATTCCCTCCCATGCATTATTGCTTTTCCCATTTCTTGGTGTTCCTCCCCTTCTCCCATTCTTCTTAGTGACTCTGCACTTGCATTTGAATTTAGAAGACCCATCACTACAAATAAGCTTGTACAGATCTGATTATTGTTGTTGTTTCGTTTTTAAGAGATGGGATCTCACTCCATCACCCAAGCTGGCATGCAGTGGTGCAATCATGGCTCACTCTAGCCTCAGCTGTCTGGCACACGAGATCTTCCTGCCTCAGCCCCTGGAGTAGCTAGGACTACAGACACATGCCACCATGCCCAGCTAATAGATCTGATAGTTTTTTAAGACTTACACTTTTGTGGTCATAAAATCAGACAAATGTTACTGTACTCTGGCTTCTGATCTTTTATATTTTCACCTAGTATTTTTGGTAGTTTTGAAACTTACATGTGTGGACAGGATCACTAAAACAATTTTGTATGCTATTTCTTTATGTTTATTTTTATTTTATTTTAGAGATGTTGCCCAGGCTGGTGTGCAATGGCTATTCACAGGCGTGATCATTGTGTACTGCTGCCTCAAACTCCTGGGCTCAAGCAATTCCCTTGCCTCATCCTCCTGAGTAGCTGGGATGACAGGAGCATGCCACAGCACCTGGCTTTTATTTCTTTGATAATTGAGTTGAGTTACACAGAAATAATAAAATAGACAATTTTCTCCTGTATTGTGTTTAAAGGACTGAATAGTGATTTGCTTTCTGAATCTTCTTTTATTTTTGAAATGATAAGGATTTTCATTTCTTTGCCAATGGTTGTGGTTCTGAAAGTCACATAAGGGCCTACACCAGAAGAGAAAGCTAATCTGTGGATGTCAATTAGAGGGATATCCATTGGGGTCTGCAAATAAAACCTGATTATTTATCAACTGACTTCTTCAACTGCAGTTTCCCTTATTATTATTTTTTAGGCCAAAGATGAAGAGGAAGCCTTTCTGGATTGGAGTGATGATGATGATGATGATGATGATGGATTTGATCCAAGCACACTCCCAGATCCAGATAAATACAGAAGCTCTGAAGATTCAGATAGTGAAGATATGGAAAATAAAATAAGGTATGTTTTTACTATGGGTATGAAATACATACTTAGTACTCTCACATCAGTCTTTTAATGAATCCAAAAGACATTACTAAGAGTTCTACTCCAAGAGATGTTTGTTGCTTTTTTTTGATACCTTTACTTAGATTCCTGGAAATCCTGCTGCTGTTTTTTTACTCATTTTGCTGCAGATTGTTCTGGTCATGTTAGGGCCTTTTTGATTATTTCTATAATCCCTATTAATAGATATGAGTATGATATATGAGTTGTGTTTTTCCTTTCTCTATTCTTTTTTTTTTTTTCTTATCTTTCTCTGAGTCCTTTATGCCTAAGTATTTGATGCACTAAAATCTGTTCTCTGCAAACAGAGTTAGGGTTTTATTTTTTTTCATTGTCAGAGAACTCTATTAAAGATACTGCTAAAAATTGTCCTTGAATTTTAAAACGTGGACATTATTCTTCCACATTCTTTTATATGGAATTAAATAACAAAATACTGGTGGGGCTGGGCGCTGTGGCTCATGCCTGTAATCCCAACACTTTGGGAGGCTGATATGGGAGGATTGCTTGAAGCCAGGAGTTTGAGACCAGCCTGATCAACAAAGTGAGACCCCAAATCTACAAAAACAAATTTTTTTTTAATAAATAAAATAATGGAACACTTGTACAGAAACAACTCTTGACAAATTCCTTCACTTTAAAGTCTATTTGCTATTATTTATTTGCTACCATTGGCAGAAACAAATGAAACGTGATGAATAATAATATGACTTGCTCACCATTTGTTTTCAGAGTACTATGTATTAGATTACATTAAGAGTTTATTGATTTCAAAGTTGAGAATGTTAAACTTCATGCTCAATCTAAACCAGTGAGCTTCTTTACAGAAGGGAGGTACTAATAACAGATAGAGTTAGTATGATTGAAGGGAAGAGGAAGCCTGATGGAACCCTTGAAGTGCTAGCACAGGGTGTTTGCAGTTGGAGAAGTAGGCCATAGAGAGCTATAATTTGTTTTAAACAAGAACATTATGAAAAGGTCTTAAAGATTTTCTTAGGACAAAATGCTGTAGAGAGACAGAGTTACTCTTCATTTGAATCTTATGCATATTTAAACATGAATTATTTTTTAATAGGAAAATTCACTTATCCAAATTCAGTTTTCTGAGGTGATGCCAGAAACTTCCATTTGCTGTTGGACAACTAGGTGGTTGAACATATGAGCTTTATATAGTATGTGTAGGCTCTAGGTAGTGGACATCATTGTTTTACTACCACAAGAGGCACCACAGATAAAAATAATTTGATTAGGATTTAGAAAAATATACAAATGTTTGTGCCATAAGGATTAAATAATTTAGGTTCTGGGCATATTCCTAATCTTTAAAAATTGACCTCTAAGAGTAAATATACATGCTCTGAGTTCCTTGGTGTATGGTCTGAGACCTAGATGAACCCCAGTGGGGTCAGGTTTGCTTCCCCTTGTGTTCCTATATAAATGCACCTCTTTTAGAATGGTTTATGGGGTCTGTATTTTGGTAGATGTGATTTAATGTAACATACATGACTTTCAGTCATTGTCTTCCAAGTGTTTCCATGTAACTTGACTCCCTGGAAGCAACATTAATTGGTTCTTGCATTTCTGCAGCCATATTTTGCATATCTATCTAATATACCTTTAAAAAATAGTCAACCTTTGAAACCTTTGGCAGGATGTCAGCAGTCCTTCTGCATTTGATTTATATGGATTTTTTCCCTAACATTTTAGATAGTTTCTGGGTCATCTTTCATCTGTGTACAGCAGGCATTTCATTTAATTCTTCTGCCATTTCTTGCCCTTATAGTGACATTTCCATGCTACCACCTAGTTAATAGAACTTGTTCTCTAGTAGCTCATGTGTTTCATCCTGTTAATTGGCTGTAAATGTTTTGTACCTAGAAATTGTCCTTACATTTTTTTTTTGGTACCAACACTTAACTGCTCTAGCCTCAATTCCCACCCCTAATATTAATGTCATGGCACAGAGAATGCCTTGACATATTTGAATTGATTAATTGATTGATGAAGGAGATTTACAGGGTTAAAAAAGAAATGTAATTATAAGAGACTATATCATTGGTCCTAATATTAATAGGTTAAATGATACAAGAGATGACAGAATATAGATGGAGAGTTGGAAGAAGCCAAGTTCATACAGTGTAATGGTGATGAACAAGAAGGTAGGAGTACTGTGAGAGATGACAAAGCATCTTAACTTAAAGACAAGGGTTCAGATGGAAAGTATTTAAGCATTATATGAAAATTAAAACAGTTTTAATTTCATGCACAGCTAACAAGTCAGCATTAGTGGAGACTGGGATTGGTCAACTTGTTTTAAGCTGACAGAAATTGTCTTTTGTTGAAGAGGAGGATATCAACAAGGGCTTGATCACTGATGAGGGATTTTATTCCTGTAGCGTATATAAGGGCTTCCTAGCAGGTTTTTTGTTTTGGCCTGTGAACACAGAGATTGTCTAATCTTATAGCCTCCTTCTAGATGAAAAAACCAAGGCTTTAAAGGCTAAAATAACTTGTCTGTGATCACAATAAAAGTTAGGGACAGATCAGTGTGATCTTTGTAAATTAAACTAACTCCCTAGTTCTAGAATCTCAGTTAGGTTGTATAGAATTACCCTGGTGTTGAGAGAGGTAGCTCAGGATAATGTCATTTGACTAAACACCTGGATCCATGGACTAACCATAAGATAGACATGGTTTCCCACCCTCAGCATTATTGATATTCCGGCCCAGATAGTTTTTTGTTTGAGAAAGGGTATAAGCTGCTTAACATCATCCTTGGCCTCTACCACTAGCATTTGGGACAACTAAAAATGTCTTCAGACATGGCAGGTATCTCTGAGGAAGCAAAATTGCCCACAGTTGAGAACAACTGGATTAGACCCCAGATGGCAGATACATATTACTGGTGCTTAATTTCCCCTGTCCTTCAGTCAGAGTAGGTTTTTTCTCTATTCACTTCCATTTGGCCTAAGCAGTCCTCAGCACAGTCTCTGTCAATCAATTGGAACTGGTACGGAAGGTAAAACCTATTTGCCATTCCTGGACTAGCAGGCAGGATTTGGAGTAAATTATAAGTAGTAGCCTACATCTGTAATTTCTATTTATACTTTAATTTCCATTTTTCTCCCTTTTCTGTGGTTTATTTGCCTCAATGGCAATGAATCAAGATGTATGTAAACTAAAACCAAAATTGTTTTAGATAAAGAAAATGTATTTGGAAGATTGTATATACTAGAATTTTGACAGTGGTAATTGCTGTTGCTGCTAGCATTTGCATAGTAGCGCCAGTAAAGTTTTTCTGTATTCTTCCAGTTTGGCTACACACTGGAAGCATACAGCTTCCATCTGCTTATGCTTCTCATAAGCTGTATGATTACGTGCTAAGATCTTATGATGTCAGCTTTAGTGAGTCCTCTTGACATGTTCACAGGTTTTACTTGCTGTGCTGTCTCTAGCCCTCTACTCAGTAATTGAGGCAATGGCTAGTACTCCAGCCTCTTGGACATCATCACATCTCTCAGTAGGTTATTCTCTGGCTATACACTTAGCATTTTCAGAGACGAATTCACTCTTATGGGACTAGATAGACCAATTGGAAAGTAGCTATTAGTCCTGGCCGGGCGTGGTGGCTCACACCTGTAATCCTAGCACTTCAGGAGGCCGAGATGAGTGGATCACGAGGTCACGAGATCGAGACCATCTGGCTAACACAGTGAAACCCCGTCTGTACTAAAAATACAAAAAATTAGCTGGGCATAGTGGTGGGCGCCTGTAGTCCCAGCTGCTGGGGAGGCTGAGGCAGGAGAATGGTGTGAACCTGGGAGGCGGAGCTTGCAGTGAGCCGAGATCGTGCCACTGCACTCCAGCCTGTGCGACAGAGCAAGACTCCCAGAGAGAGAGAGCCGAGCACAGTGGCTCACGCCTGTAATCCCAGCACTTTGGGAGGCCGAGGTGGGCGGATCACAAGGTCAAGAGATTGAGACCATACTGGCCAAGCTGGTGAAACCCTGTCTCTATTAAAAATACAAAAATTAGCCGGGCGTGGTGGCGGGCGCCTGTAGTCCCAGCTACTTGGGAGGCTGAGGCAGGAGAATTGCTTGAACCTGGGAGGCAGAGGTTGCAGTGAGCCGAGATTGTGCCACTGCACTCCAGCCTGGGCAACAGAGGGAGACTCCATCTCAAAAAAAAAAAAAAAAAAAAAAGAGAGAGAGAGAGAGAGAAGAAAGCGAAGAAAGCAAAGAAAGCACGAGGGAGGAAGGGAGGGAGGGGAAGAGAAGGAGAAAGAAAGAAGCTATTAGTTCCAACCTAAACTAGCATGAGCGAGTTTCTTTGAAAATTTCCTCTGGGTGTTTCTTTTTCCTTTACTTCATTGACACATATAAATATTCAGCATGAGTAACACTTTTGTTTCTCCACATGGAAAAGACACTGTCAGTTGGAACTAGGCAATGGAGAGCCAGATTTAGTGGAGAATGACAGAATCTGGGGTCAATAGTTCCCCCTCAGGGAGGGCTGACAGGGTTTTAAAGAGTTTTTACTTCTGCCTTCTTTCTCAGTTCAGTGCATAGCTGCAATAGAATTTAAACTACCTTCGACCCTCTAAAATTATCAGAATTGTTATCTCCAGCACTGAGATTTCAAAAGGGTTCTGATGTGGATTCAACCCAGTTTAGTTAGCATGACTAAAAGAGAACTTGCTTATAATATGGTTTCAGGGACAAAGAAAATTATGTGACTTTGGGTTTCTTTTAATGAGCTTTAAGAATACCCCCATGAATAGTTTATTTATCCTCAAAAACAGAGCTGTGAAACAGGGGACCAGCTAATCTACCCGCAGTACAGAAGTAGTTGGGGCCAGATGTCCAAACTCCATTTAAGGATCTAGGCTTTCATGTGCTATTTTTGATGACAGGTGTAGAAGGGAGAGCTTGATGTTCTCTGGCTTTTTTACTCTTCTTTATCCATCTTATATATTGGTATAGGCTGTGTTTTACTCTGGCTTTCACCTCTCATTCTTCCTTTGAATATGTGGAATAGGTAGAATTAATAGATGTTAGGATTTGTTGTTGTTGTTGTTATCATTGGAGACACAACAGCTTAGTAGGAAACCCAGCTCTCTGTTTCAGTGGGCTTTGTGACATTCATTGAATTTATTGGTCTGCTGGGAACTGCACAGAGTCCTGTGTTCTTATCTCAAGTAAGTTTTGAAAGAGTTTTGTACCTTTTGAGGAACCAAGACCTCAGATACTGTAATTGCCTTTGGGCTAATGAATGATTTTTCATTTCAAATAGTCCATACAATAAAGTTACACCATGTTCAAAATAAAAATATTTTTAAAAGCTTCTATGTGGAGTGCCAAGGAATAGAGTAAGAATCTTCTGCATTATTTAAATCATATTTTACTTAAGAGTTAAGAATACCCACTTGATCTGTTAGTCTCTGGATTATAACATTTCTTCCATCCATTCTTTCAACTAAAAATGTTTTAGTGCCTGTCATGGGCCAGGCATGGATCCAGAAGATAAAACATTAAACAGGAAACATATCTTTCCTGCTTTCACAAAGCTTTTTGTTCCATGGAGGTTACAGGTAGCTAAATAAGCAATAACACAACAGTGTGATGGATTAGTGCTGTGGTTTGTGCACTTGGGGAGGCGATGGTGAGTGGAGTAGGTAGGGAATGAACATGGAGACCACATAAGTGATGGGTCCAATCTAGGCCTGGTGGGTCAGAAAGAGCTTCCTGCAGGCAGTGGTGTCTACACTAAATCGGTCTTAGGTGTAAGTATTAACTGAGCAGAGGGGAGGGTAAATTGCACTTCTAAAAAGCGTGGCTTCTAAAGTGAGATGAGTGTCTTTAACCGTATTCCGTTTAAACTCTTCTTTCAATAAAATTGTTTCTTATAGCTGTGCTTCACAAGCTGAGAGACTTGATTCTGAGCATATAAGATTAATTTTTGTATATCTAGTAGCATTTATCATGTTTGGTTTTTGGCCATCTTCGTGTGAATTGCTAATGATGTGAAAATTTGCAAAGTATTAAATACAATGAAAAAGAAACAGCCGGATGTTCCAGATGTTCATTATCCAGTCAAATTAAATTTTTAATATATATAATCTTAACCTTTTTCAAACAAAAAAAGGAAAAAGAAAAGGTGATGATTCAACTCTTACTACCTTACATCAATCTTTGCTTTGTAGACTACATTCTCTGAGGCAGGTAGCTTCCTAAAGAATTCTTACATGGTGCAGGGTATTTCGTAGATTATTCTAGGTAGCATAAGACCAATTACATCTATAGTTTGTACTGAGGCTATTGTCCTCATTTAGACCTGATAACTTCTTTATGGATTGATACCTTTTCCAGTACAGAGTAAACTATTCCACATCTAAATATAATTAGGTGTTCTTTTAACCTATTTTTACACATCTCTGAATCAAAAGACTAATCAAGGTTTTTGGTCTGCATGTTTGTTCTTTTATTTGGGTTTTTGTTTTGTTTCTAAAAATCTGTTCCATATTCATTTTTCTATCTTTTGAGTGAACTTGCCTGTCTTTAAAAATGATCTCTTATGTGAGGTAGATGAACTGCTTTAACCACTGTAGTTTCTCCTAGTATTGAGTTCTGTGACATCTCTTAAATAAGTTTTGCTCAGTACCTATTCTAAGATTTTACAGTCAGCTTCATAATTTGTGGGAGGCTTTTCACTTGGAAAACAATGTTCTCAGAAGCCATTTTCATTTCTTTCTTGTTTTTGGATGGAGCTAAAAGAGCTTTTTCTTAGTCTAGGTGATTGTTTAAAAAAACTACTATTCACTGCAGTTTCCAATTACTTGAACCTCTCCTTCATTATGAATCTCATTGTGTGTAGAAAATGTAGAAAGAGGTTGGCTCAGCTTAATTATATAGTGAATTTATTGTGTGCCTGCCATTCTTTCCTCTTACTCTTTTCAGCTTCAGGAGTATATGCCCCCTTCCCATATGCCAAGCAACTTTCAAGAGAAAATCTCAGTCGTTTCTTATTTGTCAAACATTTGAAAATAAGAACAATATTTGGAGAAACTCCTGAGGCAGATTGTTGGGGTGGGGTTTGGGAAAGGCAATATTTGTCTTAGGACTTTTAGAGAAAGGTTGCTACACATTGGGGAAGGAGGATGTTATTTTCTGGGGTGAGGACTGGGTTGAGATGGGGAAGACACAGTTTGAGAAATTGGGAGTTTAAGAAGCTACTCTCTTACTGTTACTGTTTTTGCCCTGTGCTTTCTACTCTATCATTTAGTCAACCATTATATATAACTTAGGACAGTTGTGAGCCTGTCATTTTTCAGAAGCGCCAGGATCTCTAAGAAGGGTGAATAGCTCAGGATGCTATGAGGCTAAGATGAACCACCCTTGCTAGTAGGGTTCTCTGGCAGCTGCCCTAACTCTGGTGCACTGCAACTTTGTTTTCACTGAAAAGACCTTTGTGAGTGACTTCTTAGGATGTTTCTTTTTGTCATTTCACATTGCATTCACATAGAATGCACTCATGCCTAATGACTGCAAACTTTCTATCACTTGGTTACACCATAAGTTCCTTGTCTACCTCCCTTTTAAAATTTTTAGATTGTACCCATGCTTAGGTTTTTGGTTCTTGTTTGATTTTATTTTGTTATTACAAGTAATTTTAATGGGTTTTAATTTTCGCTATTGTAAGTAATTTTTAAAAATTGTTAGTAAATTTTTTAAAGATCGTACCCATGCTTAGGTTTTGGGTTCCTGTGTGATTTTATGTTGTAATTATAAGTGATGTTTTGGTGGGCAGCTTTGTTGAAGACTGGGTTTTCTTTCCTTTGAAGTCATTTGAAGGACTAATGAAGAGTGAGACTAAACTGTAAAACTCCATTTTGTCAGATAGCTGGAACATTAGGGACATGCTTGGGTAGGTGGTGATCTTAGATATTGAAAACTAATCAGGGAAAGTAGATTGAGAGAGAAGTGGATGGGATGTGTTTCTGAGGAGCACAAAATGTTCTACATGCAGATTAGCTGTGAGAAAAAGGCATAGCATAAACTCAACTTGTATGATGTTTAATTTTTTTTTTTTAAATCTGGGAGAAGAGACATAATTATACCTTCTAAACTGCTGTGGAGCAGGGATTCTTAACCTGGGCTCTATGGATGAGCTTTAGGGAAATCTTGAGATTTCGTGAAAAATGATGGCATGGGTGTGCATGTAGCACAGACACTCCCATGCAGTTAACTGGATGATTTATGACGAGAAAAATAGAGTGGGGCCAAAAACTTTTTGCCAGCCCCAAATGGCGTTGTAGATATTTTACAGATGGAAACACATATGTGAAGTAGTGGTATGATGTGCAGTCTTCTGCCTTCTAGTTCTTCCTCACCACCACCAGCCTTTTCTGATTATTAGAATTCTGATCCAAGAGGACCAGTTTTTTCCTCTCCTTTTGCAGTTATGTTTATAATGAACTCTGAGCCCATCAATCTTTTCTTAGATGAAATTGTTTTTACAAATTTGTTTTTAATACTGAGCAGCTAGAAAAGAGACATTAAGGACATGATACATTTTCACTACCGATTCTACATGTGGTAGCCTTTGCTGACAGGAGAAAGCTGAGCACATTTTATGGAATGTACTGCAGTAATTAATCTTCATTAGGACTGTTGCATGGCCTCGTAAATTAAAATTTATGGTAAGGGGAAAAGTCTCTGGCACAACATATTTGAATACCAAAGTGCCAGTACTTTAGGATGGGTATAAAGGTTTCTGAGAATGTTTCAGATGATCACAAGCTCATGTATTAGGTTTAAATTATTTAGGAAAAAATCCAAGCTACATTTATGATATGAATGCAAGAAGGAGAGTTTTATACAAATAGGTGCCCAAAACTGGGCTCTCAGGCGCTAAATTCTTGTCTCTCACAGTAGCTTTCCACAGCCAGTTTAGCAGCATGTTGTAAAAGGACACCTCAGGGTTTCTGTTTAAGGGCATATTCACTGTTCTCCACCTCCAGACACCCACCCTTAGCTTCCTTGCAGCTTTATCAGTCTTTGGTTCACCTGATTTCTTAACTTAGCATTCCAAAGGAAAGAAGAAAAAGCAAGAGATTGAAAAGCTGCTCAGACAGTCTAATAAAGGGAGTGTGCTTTCTTCCAGCAGCCCCTTGTCCTTGCTTTTGTGAAATTTCTGAATAGGCTGTACAGTGATGTCAATCCCCTATTTTGTAATTTAACACATACAAACTTGCACACCCCTAATTGTACATGAAGAAATGCAGCTGCCACAGAAGTTATGAGCTCTGAAATGAGGCATATGCCACTTTCTGGCCGCACAGTCTCTTGTTCAGAGTCAGGCTTACAGAATCCCCCATAATTTCAGTTGCCGTTTTATAACTTAATTATTGGAACTGTCTGCCCCAGCATCCTTGGAAGTTTAGTGCTCACTCCACTAGATTGTGTTTCTATAAGGCACTGCATCCAGCAGGAGAGAAGTTAACAGATTTTCCCAGAAGATGTTTTTCTTCTATGTTGCCTTGGGCCACAGCCATATCAGACAGCACTTGGAACTTTTTTTTTTTTTTCTTTTTCTGATGGAGTCTCCCTCTGTTGCCCAGGCTGGAGTGCAGTGGCGTGATCTCAGCTCACTGCAACCTCTGTCTCCCAGGTTGAAGCAATTCTCCTGCCTCAGCCTCCCGAGTAGCTGGGACTACAGGCGTGCGCCACCATGCCTGGCTAATTTTTTTGTATTTTTAGTAGAGAAGGGGTTTCACCATGTTAGCCAGGCCGGTATTGAACTCTTGACCTCAGGCAACTGCCTGCCTTGGCCTCCCAAAGTGCAGGGATTATAGGCGTGAGCCACCGTGCCCAGCTGGAACATCTTGAAGTTTGGTTTAGTGGTTCTGATTATTGTGTCCTCGCAGCCCAGGAAGTGTGGTTTCTAGGTTACAAAGGACATTCTGACTTGTTTTGTTTGGATTTAATTCACACATCATTTAAAGTATGCTGTTTACCAGTGAGAGGTCTTCCTATTCATGGCAGGTACCAATGATTACCTTCCTCTTCTGTGATAATATGTTATTTGCCCCACTCTTTCCCACACTTGTAAGTTTATTGGCTAAAGTGTCCTAAAAGCCAGAAAGGGAATTAAAAATTCAAGTGGAATAAGCCCTAGGAGTTCTCGCTACATGGAATAATATATCAGTGAATCAGTCTCTCTCCTTATGCCTTTCTCTATCAATACATAGAAATTTAAACTATGCCTGATCCTGGCAGGGTGTTCTCAGAAGCATCTGTTTTACAAAAATAGTTGCTCTAGCAGGTGTGAGATATGAATTACATGAGGTTCTGTGAACCGAGAGACTGAATGCCTTGCCCACATGCACCACTGCTTGTAGTTTTGGAATATTGATCTACACGCTGTATTATTATCAACTTTGCAACAGGGAAAGTAGTTTTGTGAAATTAAGACTGTTAGAACAAAGGCAGGCTACTTGGCTTTGTGGGGAAAACTGTGGGTTTGGGGATTTGACAGACCTGAGTTTGAATCTTTCTTTTACAAGTTATGGACCTTTGACAAGTTACTTAATCTCTGTGACCCAGCTTTCTTCATCAGTCAAAGGAAGATAATTTTTACCTTGCAAAGTTACTGTGAAGATCTAACGAGGGTAAAAAGAAAGTGAAATATGACATTGAATAGGGTCATTAATGTGCAGTAATTATTTTAATTACTAAAAGCAAAACTGGTAGGAGTTTGTAAATGAGTATATACATTGATAGGAATAAAACTTAATGTCCTCTAGGATAGCTACTTTTCCTTGTTTTCCTCATTGAAGTCATTCATTAAGTCCCCAGGTAGCACTAGGCCCTATATTCAAAACAGTTTGCAAAAATATCTTACAGCCTGGTTGAAATTAATGATGTAGTGACAGTAATGTCATGTAACATAGCCTATTCAAAATATGGATGGAGAGTCCACGTTACCAAATTGGAGTGTAGGAATGCCCTTACCTGTCTGTTTTCCTTTGACAGTCACATAATTTAGGCATTTGATAAACTGCTAGTTTACCATGTGACTGGCAGAGAGCAATAAAGAAGAGATACTGGACCCCAGCCCCTCATAGAGCGTACGCTCCAGCAAGAGAGACAGACCATAAGGAAGTAAACAAAAAGCAGACAAGAGGTGGTGACAGGGCCTTGAAAACAATAACTGATGAGAGAGGAATTGGGAGAGTTCACTTTAGCCAAGATGGTTAAGAAGAACCCTCTCTGAGGCAAGACCTGAAGAATTATTGCAAGCCACCTCTGGGAGGAAGGAATGATTCATCCTAGTGTTCTAAGCATGGTTTGCGTAGACAATTATTATTTAAATATTTACCCTAATAGCATCATCATGACTGTACAATTCTGTGTATTCCTGTTAGGAGATTCCTTGGCTGCTTTTCACCTCATCATCATTCTACCCATGTGTCTATCCTGATTGTGATACTGACTTCATAGAAGGTGATGAGTATAGGAAACAGTTGCTAGTCTAGTCCATACAGTGGCAACTCATTAGAAAGGAGTGAGCCAGCATTGAAATTCTCATAAGAACAGAAAAGTGGAATTGAGATGGTCTGAGTACTCTAAATGAGGATGGGAAAGGTAAGTCAGGTGATGTATTAAGGGGCATGTAGTTCTTTGGGGATAAAAAAAGAAAAATCTAATGTGTTTTTATGCTCAATTTAATTAAGTTATAATGTATTGGGGGTATACTAACTCTTTTAAACTATACATCTTTTTATTGACTTTCTGCCTAGGAATTTTAGTTTTTACAGTAAACATGGAGTGAAAAATATAGTTTTCATATTTCTCTTCACTACCTCTCCAATTTCCCCTATTAGTAACATCTTGCATTAGTGTGGTAAATTTGTTACAATTGATGAACTAATATTGATACATTATTATTAACTAATGTCTGTAGTTCAAATTAGAGTTCACTTTCGGCATTGTATATCTTATGGGTTTTGACAAATGTATAATGTCATGTGTCCATCATTATAGTATCACACAGAATAGCTCATTGCCCTCAAAATCCCTTGTGCTCCACCTATCTATCCTTCTCTTTCCGAATCCCTTGCAACCACTGGTCTTTTTATTGTATTCACAGTTTTGCCTTTTCTGGAATGCCATATGGGTGGAATCATATATGCAGCCTTTTCAGATTGGCTTCTTTCACTTAGCAATATATTTTTAAGGTTCCGCTATATCTTTTTGTGGCTTGATAGCTCATTTCTTTTTATCACTGAATAATATTCCATTGTATGGATGTATCACAGTTTGTTCATCTATTGAAAGACATCTTGGCTGCTTCCAAGTTTTGGCAATTATGAATAAAGCTGCTATAAATATTCATGAGCAGGATTTTGTGTGGTAATAAGTTTTCAGCTCCTTTGGGTAAATATCAAAGGGCATGACAGCTAGATCACATGGTAGGGAGTATATTTAGTTTTATAAGAAACTGCTAAACTCTCTTCCGAAGTGGCTGTAGCATTTTGCATTCTTACCAGCAATAAACGAGAGTTCTTTTTGCTCCACAGCCCCACCAGCATCTTGTATTGTCAGTATTTTGAAATTTAACCATTTCATAATAATTTCTGTAGTTTAAAGAAAGCTGTTTTTAACGTTTAAAATACAGTAGACTGTGATAATAATATGCTTTGTCTTTTCAGATTTTGGTTATATGCTGGATTAAGTACTATTCTGCCAAACATGAAATTCTAGCTCAGCATAGCCCTTCCTTATGAACAGGGCTGCCCTTTGAGGAACTGTCTTCTCAGCCTCTCAAAGTGAAGGTTCTTACCTGAGATAAGGCTAATAATAATATACTTAATTTTAATAAAAACGTCAAAGACTATTGTTGCTTGCTGAGGACCTTAACCTAACAGGGACCCAGAACCTCTCTTCCCTCCAACAACATTTGTCCCAGACCCCTACCCCATTCAGTATCCCTTCCTGAGTGTCCCAGCTCCCCAGGAGTTCTCTCATGAGCCATGATAGCACCCTGTACTCCAGCCTGGGCTGAGCAAGACCGTATCTCAGGGGGTCGGGGGACATCTCAAGTTAAAAGACTTTCACCTTACATGGTAAAGACCAATATAATCCAGTTAACATCAACAGAAAAGTAAGATCATGCCCACCATGGGGAGTTGGAGAAGCTATAGTTAACATTTATAATGCATTTACCATGCATATATCACTTATTTAATCTCTCCATGAGGTAGATATTAGTCACATTTACAAACATAAAAATTGGCACCCTGTGACGTTCAGCAGTTTTCCCAAGTTTTAGGCAACTGCCAGGGTTTAAATCGGGTCAGACTGACTCCAAAGCCATTTTCTTTTCCTCTATACCAGAATTTTGGAAATGACATATTTAATAACAGTGCTTGAATCACTGTTAAGTAACTATTTTTAAAAGCAGTCATTTCAACATTAAACAGGGAAGGGAGAAAAGTAGATATTTTTTACATTATGCCATGTGTACATTTCAGAGAAGTTACCTGTAAAGTTAAGGGGATAAAAGGTTCCATGGTCACAGTATCTTCCAAATATACTGAGTTAAACTTGATAGAGACGAAGTTACAATAAGATCCAGGCACCATGAACTAGATGTTATAAAATACCTTTAATAATAAACCTTTTAGGAAACTAAAGATTCTTCTTAATCACCTAGTTACGCTTTCTCCTAATTTTGTCTTCAGATCCTGTGTCTCAATGTTATCCACAAGGTTATTGTGTGTTCTATGCCTTGTGGAAGCCTAAAAGCATTCATTTTCCTGCTTTACCAGTCAAATAACCCTCTAAAAGCAGTAAGGTTGGTCTGATATGAATTGTTTTTAGTGAGCCAACAAAAGCTACTAGAATCAGGGGTCTGGTTTTTGGTTTTGTTTATTTCGCACAGTGCTTGTTTTATATGTCAGCAAGGTATAAAATATAAAAAAGGGATCTACCCTTTTTCCTCTAAAGGGCTAGATAGTAATCATTTTACACTTTGAGGGATACTCATCTCTGCCAGGGCAGTGGTAAAGCAACCGTAGACAATACATAAACAAGGGGGTGAGGCTGAATCATCATTAAAACTTGATGTATAAAACAGGCACTGTGTGAAATTTGGCCAACAGGTATAGTTCGCTGACCAGGCTTTCCTATTTAAAGTTTGTAGTTCACTTTAAAGTCTTGGTTGAAAGCTTTATATACTTTGCAAAATTTACCTTCTCCTTCTCTTTGAAAATGGGAACCAGGCCGAACATGGTGGTGTGCACCTTTAGTCCCAGGGAGGTTGAGGCAGGAGGATTGTGTCAGCCCAGTTCAAGGCCAGTTTGGGCAACATAGCAAGACCCCCATCTCTAAAAAGAAATAATAATAAAATGGGAACCACTTTTTGCCAGTCTCCAGTCTTTGAGGATCCTCTTCCATTCTCCATTGAATCAGAGATGGCCAAATGAACAAGATGGTTTCCACATTCTCTAAGAACCCAGTGTGTAGTTCTCAAGAGTCAGGGATGTACTTCATTTAGAGTAGCTAGTGGCTTCATATAATCTTCATCCACTTTGTTTCTTTCCTGGATACCAATGTTTCTTGTTTTTTCTAAAGGTCTTTCTCCTTAAAAGAAAACAAAAGTTATGAGTTGAGAATTTGCTTTTTGGTCTTGTTTTCCATCAACATTAGGTAGTTTGTGACAAAAATGAAAGTAATTTCAATTTTTACTTTTAATATTTTTGGCAAGTGCTGTATTCGCTTATTATACTCTTTGTTGAAATATTGTATCTGCTGGTGGCAAACCACCCTGAGTCTAAAGTCCAGGATAATGAGGGGAGATCCTACTGTTACTGCATGTCTTATGGAACCTGATACCTTTGTCTTGAAGTCATAGTCATTTGTTGGCTGTGCTACATGCTGTTAAAGAAAAAAATTCATGACACTTACTAAAGAAGGGTAAGTCAAACGTTATTCAAGGGGTAGGGGCCACTGCAATGGGGTTTTTTAGTAGGGGCAAGAGATTGAGCTCAACTGAGAGTACAACTCGGACAAGTGAGAGTTACAGAGATTTACAGGGAGGGGTCATTAATGGAAAGTTATTAAGAAGGAACATCAGGGTTGTGGAGGATTCTGGCTAAACAGATTCCACAGGATTATTACTGAAGGCAAGCCTGCGGGATGGGAAATTTGACCAGATATTAAGGGTGAGAGATTTTTGTTCAGCTGACTTAGCAGGATTCTTGCTAAAACTGGACTAAGTGGGCAGACCTGGACTAAAGACAAAGCCCAGTCAGAAAGAGGACTTAGAATAGCCAGACTCGAGTTTGGTCAAAAGAGAGTATCTTTGTCAGTACTTCATTGAGGGTTAAGGTTTTGATGTGATCACACATTTTTAAAAGGATAATAGTTAGATATTATTGCAAAGAACATCAAAATTACTCATTTTTATTGAAGTGACATGCCGAGTTTTGATCTTTTTATAATCTTAAAAGTATTGTCTCATTTCTCAGAGCCTGAAGTTATTGGGTACTTCTTTTTTACAATATAATTTCCCTTCCGCCATTAGTGTTTTAATTTTCACTGTGGCTTTGATCTCTTCAATTTCTTTGGAATTAATGATACAGTGTTTAGAGAAAAAATACAATGCAGATTTAAATGTCTACTTACATACTGGCTTAAAATGAATCATCTATGCTGCAAAGAAGATAAGAATGTGGTTTTAGTTAGGGAGCATTCTTTCTGACCCTGTATGACATACAGTAGGCCAGTCAGATACTAAACAGTACAGAAGCTCAGCCCAGTGGGTTTATTCATGTCTTCAAGAAACATGTATTAAGCCCTTGGGTACCAAGGCAGTGTGGCTGCACAGAACAAGACAGTTTTTGTCCTTAGGGAACTTGTAATCTAATCGAAGATAAGCACATAGACAGTTGCCATAAGGCATTTCAGATGGTGTGATAGAGATGGTGCGATGGAAGTGTGCACAATGTGAGGGTAACCCTAAGAGGGCACTTGACTCAGATGAGGGTGGGTCAGGGAAGGCTTCCCGGAGCTGGATCAGGTGAAGGAGGGCAAGGAGTGAGGATGGTTGTAGAAGCCCTAGAAAACATAGGTGGATTTGAGAGATGATCAATTCAATTAAGGTTATAAAAGAGAAGGTAGCTCAAGGATGACTTCCAGGTTTTCAGTGGGGGAATAGTCCTTTTCACTTAGAAGGGAAATAAATACAGGAAGAGCAGATTTGGGGAAAACATGTAATAGAAGCATGTTTACTTTGAGATGCAGGTAGAAACATCCAGGAGCTGGTTGAATATGCTGATCTGGTGGTCTGGAAAAAACCCTAGGCTAAAATGCATATTTTTAAGTCATTAGCATTGTGGAAGATTGTGGAAACACTGAACTGCATGAGAATACCCAGAATGAATATGTAAGATGAGGATAGTTGAGGCCCAAGGATGGAACCTGGGGAAATGAACATTTATGTAATGGATAGAGGAAGAGGAAACTGGGAAGGTACAATCAGGGAGGTTGTAGTCAACCTTTAAGTATTTTAAATTTAGATGATTGCTGATTACATCTCACATGGAAGTTGCAGTCATGGTAAAATTTAAACTGTCCATTGACAGGGCGTTAACTCAGCAGAAGTTGTGTTTGAAAAAACAAGTTACTGGGTTTAGCCATAATTTGGCCACTTATATAATTTTTAAAAACATGCAAAGCCAAAATTTAGAACACTGGAACTTGTGATATTAAAAACGGAGGATTAGTCAGCAGACAGGAGCCTGTGCACCCACAGACTGGATTGAGTGTTCTGGGGGTGCTCCCACACGTGACACTCTCCTCTGTTAACTCCGCTGGAAGTCGAATTCGCAGCAAAATCCATTGAAATGTTGCCTTTTTTGTTGCAGTGATGGTAATTCTTGGGGCTTTGAACAACCCTAACCGTCATTATTTTTACTATTCAGATGAATGGACCTTTATTGAATGAATTCTTTAAGTCATCTTCAGAAATGAAGACTAGGAGCCCCAGACCTCAAAAAGCTAACCATTTGGTAGGCAGAAGAAGAAATCTTCCACCTCAAGGTGGAATCCTTGAGGAAGAGGTATCATTTGAACTGGCTTTTGAAGGATAAGGGAGGTTTAGATAGTTAGAAAACAGAAAAGGGAATTCCAGATGGAGATAAAAGAAACTGAGAAGCTAGGGCATATTCAGGGAATAGAAAGGAGCCTCAAAGAGCAAGGGGTATATTAAGGGGGGCTAATGCAGAACAGGTTACAGAGGCAGGCTTATACCAGATCATGAGACTCTTTAAAGATTATACTAATAATCTTTCTAGAGAACCACTGAAATTTTTATGAAAAAGGCAAGACCAAGTGGTGCTTGACAGAGACTACTTCTCTAAGCATGCTTACAATGGGCTCAAAAGAGAAATGTTATACATGAAGGTTTTATAAATGATATTTCAACAAGAACTTTTATTTAAGATGACTGGTTCTTAATTTTTTTTTATTTGAGGGGAGGTGGGCATGGAAACCATTATTGAATGGCTTCCTAAGAAGGCTGATATATAAGACTGAAAAGTAAAATTATCAAGAATTCTCACAGGTTTCTCCATATGATCCATGGAGCACCATTTTCTATCCTGGAATGATGACTTCCAACCTTTTCATCATCACAAGACAAGCTTTTGTGTATCCATTTTCACAAAAATTTCAAAATCATCAAAATAGAATTTCCCTGTCATCATCTGTTTTGTTTTCAATGATAATGGTCCCATGTTTTAAAAGATTTTTGTCTCTCAAGAAAGTTAATATTTCACATTTGTTTCATTAACGAAGATGTAATTTTCAGTTCATCCAAGTATATGAAGTATTGAACGTTTACAAAGCTCAGTTAATATAATTCTAGCCAAAAGCAAAGAAATCCCACAACTTAGTCTTTGCCACACAATTGCAGATTTTTAAAAAAATATTGAAAATAACCCATGATTCATATATCTTGACCTAAGCAGTCTCACCTTTTCCCATACATCTGTAGACACAGGGACCCTAAGTTGGAGATCAGGTTATCACAGGAACAGAGATTATGTAGCATACCTACTCTGTCATCATGTGTTCAGATTACATATTACATGCTGATTTTTTCTCTGTTGTATGATACGTCCTTTCAGTGGCACACCAGACATTACTAATAAAGTCTTTATTATTTGGATTATTGAAAGACTGTTATCTCTGAATTCTTTAGCTCTACTTCTTATTTTTATAGCAGTAGTAGGGCGTACCTACTCTGTATGCTTCTGAGCCTTGTGGAATTAAAAAGAGTAATTGACGTATACCTAGCTACCCAGAACTTCAAATTTAATTTTTTTCTTTATTGCAAAGAGTAATACAGGCTCATTACAGAAAAATGAGAAGACATATATAACAGCAAAAAGAAAATTAAAAAAAATCTTCCAAACCTTTTTCTATGCAAACTTACATATAGACTTTTTAAAATACAAATGGACTCTCTCTTTTTGTGTTGGTTTTATAATATTGTCAGTGTCAAAAGCAATTCCTGAAACATCATTTTTAATAGCTGCATAGTATCTCATTTCTAATTTTATAACCTATTTAATCCTTTATGGTTGGACTTTGGGATTTCTAACTTTCTGAAATTAAAAGTAGCTATCCCTTGAATATCCTTGTGCCTAAATCTTTGTCTAAATCTCTATTTCCTTCAGATAACGTCCCAGAAGAAAAATTGCCAGGAATATATATTTTAAAGATTTTTGAAGGGTACTGCCAAAATGCCCTCAAGAAAGATTGTGCCCATTCACTTTTCCACTCACGAGTTTACATTCTAATTGGGAGTTAAGATGCATACAGTTGGAAAAGAAAATCAATTTAGTATCAGGAAATAGCAATCTTAGGTGCAAAATGACTGATAGATAATTGGCGCTTTTCCAATTCAGAAGAGCTCACTTTTAATAGGCAGATTTGTACCTTTCACGGGAGATAAGGAATTGGAGATGGGTCTTGAAGGACAAGGGGAAGACCCAGAAGAGGGAGGTGCCACATTTACAGCAAACACCGTGGAAATGCCCAAGTGTCTGCCGATCTCGCGAGTGAGGGCCGTGCTTGAGGAGTGAGGGACTGGGAGGAAGGCTGACCTGAACGTTCTAACTTCAGGTTTTCCTCTGGCTCTTTTGTTTCTCGTGAAATTAACACTGTTATTCTGGGGTGATGGTGTAACTACAAGTATCTGAAAAAATTAAAATGGTGAAACCAGGAAATCAACCCTATTAAAAAATCGGTTCAATTTCTCGGATTATTTTGATGTTTGGGGTTTCAGAAAATTTAGAAATTCAGAAAGTTATATTCCATTTAAAACTCAATTACAAATAAAAATTTTAAAATTGAATTCACATTCCAATGTTGTATCTTGTTTTCTTAATTATTAGCAATGAGTGAGTTGTTTGGCTCAGATGGTTACTTTGGTTATCAAGACAAGCTTTTGTGTATCCATTTTCACAAAAATTTCAAAATCATCAAAATAGAATTTCCCTGTCATCATCTGTTCCGATTACATATTACTTGATGATTTTTTCTCTGTTGTATGATATGTCCTTTAAATGGCACACCAGACATTACTAATAAAGTCTTTATTATTTGGTTTATTGAAAGACTGTTACCTCTGAATTCTTTAGCCCTACTTCTGATTTTTATAGTAGTAGTAGGCCTTTTGGTGTGCTGAGTTAAGCCATGCTTTTGCTTTTTAAGATGTGCTTTATCCATTACGTTGCACTGTCTTAATGCTGAGCAGTGATATGTTTGCTTTTGACCCTTGCCTCGAACATTTAAAGAATGTGGCAAAAATCTAAGTCCCACAGAAGTGCTGACACGAAGATAAAATGCAGAGCTCAGGCTTGGACTCGCCCCAATTTTGAAGGAACCCCCTCATTGTCAGTCATCTCAGGGACCTCCTTACCTCCCTCGGCTTAGTGGAGAACACTAATTTCACTCCTTTTTCGACCTCTATTGCATTTTCATTATTTCATTATTGCATATTTCATTATTTTGTTACATTATCCCCCTTTTGGTAATTTGTCTGTAGAATGCCTATACTGTTGTTTAATAATTAACTTGTTATACAGATTGCTGCTTATTTGCTATAGAAAGTAGTATAAAGGGCCTTTCTAGAATTTGAAGTGATCCACAGAGCAGCAAAGCTGCCTATTGTGAAAATACTTGGACTACATAAATTTTCTACCTTTTATTATCCAAACCACCTATTTCCTGCAGGGCATGTAATGTGCAGGAGCACATTAACAGAGGATGCAATAGACAGCCCACTAATTAGGCCATTTCTGATGAGCTGACCTGAGATGCACTTGATGTATAGGCAGAGCAAATACCAGTATTCCCTTGAACCAAATAGATCCTGGCACTATAACCCTGTGGGACTGTCACAGGACTGGCCATACTCATAAAAAGATTAGGGCTCAATACTTTTTTTTAAGACCCTCTTTCACTAAGAATTATTTTAATTCTTTGCTGACTGAATTTGTATCACAGGGAACTCTTTCATGTTCATCTCTCCAGGCACTCTTTTAAAATGCAGTGATTTGTGGCTTTAAAGAACCTCATAGTGCCATCTAGTTTGTCTTTCCTCCAGTGGTGAAAGAGAATGGCTGAGTCAGAGCATTGGACACTTCTGGGAGGAAAATGGAGGAATTATTTCCAGTTTTGCATCAAGCTGGTCATAAATGGATATGCTGATGAGGCACATTCACTTTGATATCCAGGCTGTCTTCTTAAAGAGTAATCCAGGCCGTTGGAAGTTGAGCAGTTTGTTCTCTTTCAGAACACATCATGTGCTTGGGGTATAATGTAATATTTCTGTGATTTTTTTATTTATTTATTTTGCTGATTAGATATAGTGAATGTGAGAATTTAAAAGGGAGTAGTTTTTAGAAAGTTAACGTGTATTGAGCACTACTGTGTGTTCTCATTTATCTAAGTTCATTTAATTCTCACAATTTTAAGTAAATTATATAATCCCTGTCTTTACAAATAAGACAACTGAGGGTTAGAAGTGTTAACTAAAGGTCTGACTGTGTTGATGTCAAACCAGTGCTCTTTCCACAGTTCCTGGCATTTAAATGTTGACTGAGTCAACTCTAATTGCTTTCAAAAGCTTGCCTTTGGGGCTGGATTCAGTATCATTCATATCTGAGTTTGAATCCCATGGGTGTAATCTTGGTCCAGGCATTTAACCTCTCTTAACCTCATTGCAGAATGAGACTAATGCACTCCACACTGAGGGTTGCCATGAATATAAATGACATAATCTATGTAAGGTATTTAGCGCAGTGCCACACTCTGAGGAAGCCCTGGATTCATGGTTGCTGCTACTAATAGATGGACTTTTTATTTTGTTTTAATCATATATCCAATAATTGGGTCATCTTGGAACAGATAATATCTCAAAATGCTTTGAGGAGAATGTTTTGCTTTTTCTTCTGTTTTTAGCATATCAAGTGATTTCCTCAACTTTCAGAAATTAGCTTTGTTTTTATGGTCTATGTCTTGAGTATGTACTTAATACTGCAATAATGTTTGCTTTCTTAAGGCTATCTGTATCTTTGATACAGATTTTTAAATGGAGGAAATTTATTTGATGTCTTAACTAATCTGTAATTTAACATCTCAGGTTCTATTTTATGCATGTTCTCTAGATCACAACTTAATGCAACAGATATTAGAAGCAGTACCTGGTGTCCAGATAGCTGTTAGCTTGCACACTGCTACCTAAAGATAACCTGACTTTCAGTAGAGGTAGTTTGGTGTGGCAGGACAAGCACACACTGGAGCGAGACATACCTGTGGTGCATCTCAGTGTCCTCAAATTGTGGATGATACAGCTGTAACTTCCTAGAATGATTGTGAAGATTGGATGACCCAGTGTGAACAAAGTACCTTGCATGTGCCTGGTGCGTGGTAGGACCTAGCTACTGATGGGAAGGTACTTACTAATTATACAGATATCTTGATGTTGCCATGGTTTCCTTCATTCTTGAATAATATCACTTTACCAACTCTCTGTTAATTTTGTCCTATTTTAAATGTTTGATTTCATACTGAGTCTAAAGTAAATCTTTGGATTTCTTCTCACCAGTGATACCAAGAAGAAGCAGGGGATGAAGAAGAGGAGCAACAGTGAAGTGGAAGACGTGGGACCAACAAGTCATAACAGAAAGAAGGCCAGGTGGGACACTTTAGAGCCTTTGGATACCGGCCTGTCTTTAGCAGAGGATGAAGAGCTGGTGTTACATCTGCTAAGAAGTCAAAGCTAAATACTTCCTGCGCCTGCCTTCTCCTTGAAACCTTGGTTATGACTGCGTAGGCAAGAAGTTGAAAAACAGTTGATTTGGGGGCACTTAGGTACCATATGCCCCATTCCCAAAGGGCACATTTCTGGATAGAAGCGATCGTATCTCCAAGTCCCTCTCACAGGACATGCTTTGTGCCATCACTGAGCATACTCAGATCGAGGGTGGATGATACCATTTCCTGACCCCGTTTTCCAGCATGTGTTCTGTTAGATTTTTATCCATGGGTTCCTACGCCTTGTCATTGGAAACACTGCCTTTGTCTTACTGGCAAGTTCTGGAGCTCTTGTGTCATTGTTAGAAATCCCTGTCTTGCTTACTGTACAGAAGTTTCTGTTGCTGTTAAAATTGCTCATGATTTCGACGTATTTAATATTTTCAAAGAGACTATGATGGACCAGCCCTGAGAAAGAATGAGTATTTTTGAATTGAGATGATCAATAATAAACATATTTCCTATAAAAGAAAGTATTAATGTTTGCATTGTGTCCAGTAACATAAGAGACCTCTCACAGGAAGGTTCTTAAGATTAAAGTGCTTGGCCATTTCCTCAAACTGTGAATTTGTCATATTCTTAAGTTAGCCTGTTCTCAAGGATATCATTTAACTTAACACTTGCAGGTTTGCTAGCAATTGTTTATAAAATCGGTAGAAGTTCTGAATATGAAGACTGACTAAAACATGGCCTCTCACTGTGCACATGGTAGCTGCAGGTCCTCTGCAAGTGCTCCAGTCAGCACCTACCACAGAGCCCCACCCAGACTCAGCTCCTGGTAATGAGTACGATGCAAAACAAGACAGAGCCTCTTTTTTGTTACAAATAACTCAGATTCTTCAAGGGGAAAGAATATGGTAAAGAAATGAGTCTTGACGTGAAACTGATTTTATAGATTTGCCACCTTCTCATGATTCTGTCCCTTTCCTATTTTCCCACTCCGTGCACAAACATTTTCAGTAACAGGGGCAAATAAATTATAAATACAAGGAAGAGGAATGATGGCATTACACCTGGGTATCTCAAACCTTTTCAACTCAGCCTAAGTCCATGTTTGTCTCAGAAAAGTTTCTCCTCTTTTATTTGATATCCTCGTGAGCCCGCACCAACATCATTTCACCATCAAAAGGAAATCAGGTGACACCTCAGCTTCTCGCTCTTCCCACTCTTTTCTTTACTAGTTCTTTTGATGCCTCTTCTGTAACTTTTTTTTTTTTTTTTTTTTTGAGACGGATTTTTGCTCTTGTCGCCCAGGCTGGAGTGTAACGGCATGATCTCAGCTCACTGCAACCTCCACCTCCTGGGTTCAAGCTATTCGCCTGCCTCAGCCTCCCTAGTAGCTGGAATTATAGGCGCCCAACACCATGCCCGGCTAATTTTTTGTATTTTTAGCAGAGACGGGGTTTCACCATGTTGGTCAGGCTGGTCTTGAACTTCTGACCTCAGGTAATCTGCCCGCCTCAGCCTCCCAAAGTGCTGCGATTACAGGCGTGAGCCACCGTGCCCGGCCACAACGTTCTTATCCGTTGTTTCTTCCCTATTCTCACAGCTGCTGCCTTTAGTCAGAGTTCATTCTCCCATCATGATCTGCTGAGACCCCTGCAAGATCTGCCTGGCCACTGTCCCTCTGCTCTCACATTTCTCCTACCCAGCTTTCCCCTGGTGCTCAGAATTCTCTTCACAGCACATGGATCTCAGCACACTTCTCTCCAGCTGTTCCTTCTATTATATTACAGTGCCTATCATACAATGTTACAGACATTTGTTTATATGTCTGTTGCCTCTTTTATATGACAAGTTTCTTGAAAGAGCAAAAGGGCCATGTTTCATCCCCAGAGCCAAACACGGCAACTGTCCTATGGTTGCTTAGTGAATTAATGAGGAGACATTATAAAACCAGCTCAATTTTTAAAGATCTCTTGTAGCACATTCCCCTACCACTTCTCATAGGAAGGATATAGAATGATAGAAATGAGAACTAGATGAAATGGCTATATAAAGAAGAAAGGGGAAAGTAGGTGGGAAAGGAATTCAGTGGACAACAACTTGGGTAGATTTTTAAAATTAGAGTTTCTGGCCAGGCAGGCATGGTGGTTCACGCCTATAATCCCAGCACTTTGGGAGGCTGAGGCGGGAGGATCGCTTGAGGCCAGGAGTTTGAGACATGCCTGGGCAACTTTGTGAGATCTTGTCTCTACAAATAATTTAAAATTAGCTGGGTGTGGTGGTGCATACCAGTGGCCTTAGCTGCTTGGGAGGCTGTAGTGGGAGGATCGCTTGGGCCCAGGAGATCGAGGCTGCAGTGAGCTGTCATGGCATCACTGTGCCCCAGCCTGGGTGACAGAGTGAGACCCTGTCTCAAAAAAAAAAAAAAAAAAGTTTCTGATACAGGATCTCTTGGCCTTAAATATTTTCAAAAGACATAAAGTTGCAAGAGTATGTAAACTGAAGGTTTACCATTGAATTTACCCTGTATGGTTTCAGATTGTTTTCCTGACTCAAGTAAGGAATTAAGGCAGTTTACTCCCTATATATAAATATTGAATACACATATTGCAAGGCCTTTGGTTCATAGACTAGTTTGAGTTGTATTCTGTCGCTGGAACTGAATGCATCCTGACTAATATATATGTTGTAGGGGATTTTAGTGTGCAGATTTTTGAAAACTAATTCTAAAGATCAGAATAGTGCTAATAGAAAACTTGGGTAACAAATATGTTTGTAAGTGGGCTAAATTAGCTACTGTTTTGGCTCCTGTCATTTGTACCGTGTGTATGTTTAGTGGTAATAGACCCTGTTTTCTCTGACATCAGGGGTGGGTACCTGGTTAAAATCTTGCCAGCCATCAGAACCCGACTCCTAGAGACAGAGATTGGCGCAGCCGTAATACCCAGGTGGGGACAATTAGACTCCTTCCCTGGAAGTGATAATAAATTCTGTACCCATGGGAAGTTACTATGAAGGGAGGATGTAGACGTAAGGCCTCGGGCTGCCTCTGAGAGAGTGGGGAGAATAAGACCAACACAGAGGCGAGCAGAGTAACGAGATGAAGAAAAAGCCCCGGATGACATTGTTTGAGCTCCTGGGCTTCACCTGAATGTATTTCGTGGACTTCACAGTTGTGTCATGAATAAGTACATTTCTTTTTTGCATAAAATATTTTATGTTGTATTTCTGTCCCTGGAACTGAATGGATCCTAACATATGTGTCTGAGGGACTTTTACTTTGCCAATTTTGAAAACTAGTTAAAGCATCAGAATAGCACTGGTAGAAAACTCATGCAACAATGCATGATGGATTGTATTTTGCACAGCAAATACTCACTCCAGCCCCCTCCCTCCCTCGGGAAACATTCTTAATAGCTCACCAATATTGGGCTTGGTCGTGTGACCTGCTTTTAGTCCATAGAACACAGCAGAAGTGACTGTGGGCTTGTCACATGCAGAGCTCTGAAGCTGCATTGATGTTTCCATCAGTCCTGCCTTATACCTTCAGATCAGCATGAACCGGAGAGAAGACACTCCTCGGTCTGGGCCCAAGGTGAGAAGGCAGGTGAAGCAGACTTACAGCCACCTCTCAAACCTGCAGAACAAGAAATCCACTGAGACTTGGGGGTTTATTACAGTAAAGCCTGACTAATACACGAGGTGGGAGAAACACATTACCAGTGAGCAAGAGCAGTCATTCATTCGACAAATGTTAATAAATTCAGCAACTCCCATATACCAGGCCCTGTGCTTCTGAGAGATACAGTTCCCTCCCTTGCTACTGTGTAGTGGGGGGAAAGAGAGAAGCAATTTCATAATTTGAGTGCACCTTGAAAAGAGCAGACGGAAAGAGGAAGATTGTTTGAGTGAGGGAATTCTTGCTGGAATGCAGGAAGGAGGGAGGACATAGGTAGTTGCTTGGTCTAGGACCCAGACAATATTTCTTGTTTGATGCTTAATGAAGGCTAAGGGGCCATTCATCAGACTCATGTAAAATGATCCCTAAAATTACATAAGTCTCTGATGGATTCACCCAGCGGCAGAACCCTTTGGAGGACTGCCATCTCATAAGCTTAACGTGGCATTTTAGATTTGTTTGGGGCTGTAAAAAATTGTTAAGTTTAATTAAATGTAATTAATTTTGTTACACAACATTTGAAATATGCTGAACATGAAAAGTCACCTCAACTGCCAGAGGCTGCAGGTGTTCGTAGGAAGTGGGGGGAAGGAGGGAGGATGGGAGGTGGTGGTGTAGGTGAAGGGGAAAGAGTCTGCAACCCAGATTTCAAACCCTGTTTCATGTCTTTTAAGACCACTTTAACTAGACATGTAATCACAGTGTGATTTTCTTCCACAGCCCCTGCTGATCCGACAGCCCAGGGCAGACGTGTTTTATACCATATTACCTAGTGCCCGCTGACTCTGAAATTCTAACCCATTAGCCTGTGAGGGAGGCTGGTGCTTTCAAAAGCTCTGCCCAAACAGGGATGAATTGAGTGAATAACTTTTTTACTCTATGAAACTGAAATTAAGGTAGTGAGCAAAATTGGAAGGTTATGAGACAGACCAGGGAGCACATGATAGGCAAAAAGAGCTCAAATTAGAAGTTAGTTAAAACTATAGGTGAAAAAGAACTGGCAAAAAGACAAGAGTAAGTAGTGAGGGACCCCACTGGTCATAGGACCAGAAGCAATGCACAGAGTAGTGAATCCTGGTCAGGGCTGTCTGGGGAAGACTCCCAGATCCAAGCTGACCCCCTGGTTCTTGTCTCCATGAGGCTTCACCTTTTCATGGGTCTTCTTGGATTCCTGTATAAGTTTGTCTCCTCTGCCTGAGGCGTAAGACCCCGTTGTCCTGCCTGAGCTAGGCTTAGTGAGTCTTTGGGTTTTTTGTACCCTAAAGAGCTTCAGTAAAACTCAGAATACTCCAATGCAGTGCTTCTTAGATTTTAGTGTGTATAGGAATCACCAGACTTAGCAGGTGTGTTTGTGAACCACCCTGTGTTGCTGACTTCTCTAGGAAGCACTTCCTTTGGTCTCCAGGCCATACCCCACATCGTTGTGATGGGGCTTTCACTGAAGCAAGCCTCATGGCCAGCACCAGCAATCTGTTCTTTCTCAATGTGATTGATGATCTTTATCACTGGAATGCTGAAAGTCTTCCAGTGCTCCTCCTTGGAGAGCCTATCTGTGACGTTAGATGTTTTCTCTAGCACAAAGAGTCCTTGGAGCATTTCTGAGTGTCACACCTTCAGGTTGCAGCGGGAAGATGGATGCTGGCAGCTCTCCCATCTCTTTTAAAGTGTTTTAATTAAATTCTTGTTCCTGTCACTCCATGGAAACAGCTCTTGTCAACTCACTACCAGCTTCCATCTTGCTAGATCCAAAAACAGTTCTTGGGGCTCATCCTAATCAACCTTCCAGTAAAAGTGATGTTCCTACCTTCTCGAAATGCTTTTTCACTTAGCTTTCAGAGAACTAACTCTCTCTCTCTCTGTCTCTCTCTCTGTCCTTACTGACTACTACTTTTCACTCTCCTTTTCTGATTGCTCCTCACGTTCTTGACTTCTAAACATTAGGGGCCTTCGGGTTGGTGCAGAAGTAATTGCAGTTTCAGACCATGAATGTTACATCATTATAACTAGGATCAAACACATCTTTATTAATCAAAATAGGAACAATTACAGTCAACGTATTTTTGCCAGTGAGAAATAAGTTTGTTTTTTCCTATAGCATAAAAATCCGTGCTTAAGGCTTCAATGAACTTTTCGAAAGCATTTTCTGCATCCTGCTGGTTGTGAAAAGGTTTTCCCTGCAAAAAGCTTTGATATGCTTGAAGAAGTGGTAGTCGGTTGGTGAGACGTCAGGTGAATGTGGCGGATGAGGCAAAACTTTGTAGCCCAATTCGTTCAAGTTTTGAAGCGTTGGTTGTGCAATGTGCTGTCTGGTGTTGTGGAGAATTGGGCCCTTTCTGTTGACCAATGCCGGCTGCCAGCATTGCAGTTTTTGGTGTATCTCATCAATTTGTTGAGCATACTTACTTCTCAGATGTAATGATTTTGCCGGGATTCAGAAAGCTGTAGTGGATCAGACTGGCAGCAGACCACCAAATGGTCACCAGGACCTTTTTTGGTGCAAGTTTGGCTTTGGGAAGTGCTTTAGAGCTTCTTCTCCATCCAGCCACTGAGCTGGTTGTCACCGGTTGTCATATAAAATCCACTTTTTGTCGCATGTCACAATCTGATTGAGAAATGGTTTATTGTTGGTGTGTAGAATAAGAGAAGATGCGATTTTTTTTTTTTAAATTTAGAATGGTCAGTGTTGAGCTTTTAATTTGGAATGATCAGTGTTGAGTTCTTCGGCAACTTCTCATGTAAGAGGATCAGCTTCGATGATTGCTCTCAATGGGTCATTGTCAACTTCCGATGGCTGGCCACTATGCTCCTCATCTTCAAGGCTCTCATCTGCTTTGTAAAACTTCTTGAACCACCATTGCACGGTATGTTTGTTAGCAGTTCCTGGGCCAAACGCGTTGTTGTTGTTGCAAGTTGTCTCCACTCCTTTATGACCCATTTTGAATTAGAATAAGAAAATCACTCGCATTTGCCTTTTGTCTATCATCATTTCCATAGTCTAAAATAAACATAAACAGCAAGACATAAGTCCTTAGCAAAAAAAAAAGCAAGAAATGCCCATTAAAATGATGTATAACATAACCACATTTATTTCAATAGCAAACGGCAAATTCCAACAATGCAAAAGCCACAATTCCTTTTGCACCAACCTCATACATTCCCTCCCTGAGTGATCTCATCTAGTCTCATGGCATAAAATTGCATCTATACACTGATTACTCTCAAACTTCCGTCTGTAGATCAACATCTTTGCTTTCCAGACTCATATTCAACTATATTCAATATCTCTACCTGGATGTTTAGTGGGCATCTCATACTTAATATGTCCCAAAATGAAGTCCTAATTTCACCCCCCAATCTTCCCCTCCTTTTTCTTTTCCATCTCAGTAAATATCTCCATTGTTTTGGGGAACAAATGGACTCCTTTTTCTTTTCCATCTCAGTAAATTTCATCTCCATTGTTTTGGTTTGTCAGGCCAAAAACTTGAAGACATTCTTGACTTGTCTCTTCCATCTTCCATCCAATTTATTAGCAAATCCTGCCAGTTCTTCTTTTGAAATATATTCAAAAGCCAACTTTTGGACACCATTTCCATGACAGTTTCTACTCTGTTCCATGCCATGATTCCCTTCTTTTGCAATAACCTCTTAACTGGTCTTCCTGCTTCTACCCTTTCCCTCACACAGCAGTCAGAATTATCCTTTTAAATCATAAACTGGATCGTGTGATGACTCTGCTAAAAACGAATGGCTTCTTATCTCACTTCAAACACAGTAGTCCCTCTTTATCTGCAGTTTTGCTTTCCAAGGTTTTGCTTACCTGCAGTCAACTGTGGTCTGAAAATATTAAATGGAAAATTTCAGAAATAAGAAATTCAGAAGTTTTAAATGTGTACCATTTTGAGTAGTGTGATGAAATCTAGCCCCTTCCTGCCCCATCCTGTCTGTGATGTGAATCATTCCTTGTCTAGCGGATCCTCACTTACTGCACTATTCACCCATTAGTCACCCATCTCGGTTATCAAATCTACTGTCAAGATACCACAGTACTTGTGTTCAAGTCACCTTATTTTACTGTATAATGGCCCCAGAGCAGAAGAGTTGTGATGCTGGCAATTCAGATATGCCAAAGAGAAGCCACCTTTAAGTGAAAAAGTGAAAGCTCTTGTCTTAATAAGGAAGGAGAAAAAAACAGTATGCTAAGTTTGCTAAGATGTACAGTAACACTGAGTCTTCTATCTGTGAAACCGTGAAGAAGGAAAAAGAAATGTGTGCTAGTTTTGGTGTCACACTTCAAACCACACAAGTTACAGCCAAAGTGTGTAATATGCGCTTAGTTAAGATGGAAAGGCGTTAAACTTATGGGTGGAGGACATGAACAGACATGTCCTCCAATTGACAGCAATTGAGTTCATTACTATCTGTGGTTTCAGGCATCCACTGGGGGTCTTGGAACATATACACCTATGGATATGTGGGGACTATTGTAAAATCGAGTGCCTTTTCCATAGCCTACAAGGCCATATATTTTGTTCTAACTCTAACCTCATCTACTACTTTTTTTACACCATTTTAGTTACACTGGACTCTGCTGTTTCTTTTTTGTTTGTTTTTTGTTGTTGTTCTTTTCTTTTTTTTTTTGGGAGACAGAGTCCACTCTCGTTGCCCAGGCTGGAGTGCAATTGCGCAATCTTAGCTCACTGCAACCTCTGCCTCCCAGGTTCAAGCAATCCTCCTGCCTCAGCCTCCCAAGTAGCTGGGATTACAGGCATCCACCACGACACCCAGCTAATTTGTGTGTGTGTGTGTGTGTGTGTGTGTGTGTGTGTGTGTGTGTGTTTATTATACTTTAAGTTCTGGGGTACATGTGCAGGATGTGCAAGTTTGTTACATAGGTATACACGTGCCATGGTGGTTTGCTGCACCCATCAACCCATCATCTACATTAGGTATTTCTCCTAATGCTACCCCTCCCCTAGTCCCCAACCCCCCAACAGGTCCCGGTGTGTGTTGTTCCCCTCCCTGTGTCCATGTGTTCTCATTGTTCAACTCCCACTTATGAGTGAGAACATGCATTGTTTGGTTTTCTGTTCCTGTTTTAGTTTGCTGAGAATGATGGTTTCCAGCTTCATCCATGTCACTGCAAAGAAATGAACTCATCCTTTTTATGGCTGCATAGTATTCCATGGTGTATATGTGCCACATTTTCTTTATCCAGTCTATCACTGATGGGCATTTGGGTTGGTTCCAAGTCTTTGCTATTGTGAACAGTGCCCCAAAAAACATATGTGTGCATGTGTCTTTATAGTAGAATGATTTATAATCCTGTGGATATATACCCAGTAACCAGATTTCTGGGTCAAATGGTATTTCTGGTTCTACATCTTTGAGGAATTGCCACAGTGTCTTCCACAGTGGTTGAACTAATTTACACTCCCACTAACAGTGTAAAAGCATTCCTATTTTTCCACATCCTCTCCAGCATCTGTTGTTTCCTGACCTTTTAATGATCACCATTTGAAATGGGGTGAGTTGGTATCTCATTGTGGTTTTGATTTGCATTTCTCTAATGACCAGTGATGATGAACTTGTTTTCCTTATGTTTGTTGGCTACATAAATGTCTCCTTTTGAGAAGTGTCTGTTCATATCCTTTGCCCACTTTTTGATGGGATTGTTTTTTTCTTGTAAATTTGTTTAAGTTCTTTGTAGATTCTGGATATTAGCCCTTTGTCAGATGGAGAGATTGCAAAATTTTTCTCCCATTCTGTAGGTTGCCTGTTCATGATAGTTTCTTTTGCTGTGCAGAAGCTCTTTAGTTTAAATAGATCCCATTTGTGTCAATTTTGGCTTTTGTTGCCATTGCTTTTGGAGTTTTAGTCATGAAGTCTTTGCCCATGCCTATGTCCTGAATGGCATTGCCTAGGTTTTCTTCTAGGGTTTTTATTGTTTTAGGTCTTATGCTTAAGTCTTTAATCCATCTTGAGTTAATTTTTGTATAAGGTGTAAGGAAGGGGTCCAGTTTCAGTTTTCTGCATATGGCTAGACAGTTTTCCCAACACCATTTATTAAATAGGGAATCCTTTCCTCATTGCTTTTGTCAGGTCTGTCAAAGATCAGATGGTTGTAGATGTGTGGTGTTATTTCTGAGGCCTCTGTTCTGTTCCATTGGTCTATATATCTGTTTTGGTGCCAGTACCATTCTGTTTTGGTTACTTGTATTTGGCCTTGTATTATAGTTTGAAGTCAGGTAGCGTGATGTCTCCAGCTTTGTTCTTCTTGCTTAGGATTGTCTTGGCTATACAGGCTTTTTTTGGTTCCATATGAAAGTTAAAGTAGTTTTTTCCAATTCTGTGAAGAAAGTCAATGCTAGCTTGATGGGGGTGGCATTGAATCTATAAATTACCTTGGGCAGTATGGCCATTTTCACGATATTGATTCTTCCTATCCATGAGCATGGAATGTTTTTCCATTTGTTTGTGTCCTCTCTTATTTCCTTGAGCAGTAGTTTGTAGTTCTCCTTGAAGAGGTCCTTCACATCCCTTGTAAGTTGTATTCCTAGGTATTTTATTCTCTTTGTAGCAATTGTGAATAGGAGTTCACTCATGATTTGGCTGTTTGTCTATTACTGGTGTATTACTGGTGTCACAAGGAATGCTTGTTATGTTTGCACATTGATTTTGTATCCTGAGACTTTGCTGAAGTTGCTTATCAGCTTAAGGAGATTTTGGACTGAGACGATGGGGTTTTCTAAATATACAATCATGTCATCTGCAGAGACAATTTGACTTCCTCTCTTGCTATGTGAATACCTTTATTTCTTTCTCTTGCCTGATTGCCCCAGCCAGAACTTCCAATACTGTGTTGAATAGGAGTGGTGAGAGAGGGCATCTTTGTCTTGTGCCAGTTTTCAAAGGGAATGCCTCCAGTTTTTGCCCATTCAGTATGATATTGGTTGTGGGTTTGTCATAAATAGCTCTTATTATTTCGAGATACGTTCTATCAATATCCAGTTTATTGAGAGTTTTTAGCATGCAGGGCTGTTGAATTTTGTCGAAGCCTTTTCTGCATCTGTTGAGACAATCATGTGGTTTTTGTCATTGGTTCTGTTTATGTGATTAATTACGTTTATTAATTTGCATACGTTGAAACTTGGATCCCAGAGATGAAGCCGGCTTAATCATGGTGGATAAGCTTTTTGTATTTTTAGTAGAGATGGGGTTTCACCATGTTAGCCAGGCTGGTCTTGAACTCCTGACCTCAGGTAATCCACCCACCTCAGTCTCCCAAAGTGCCAGGATTACAGGTGTGAGCCACTGTGCCCATCCATGTGATTCTGCCATTTTTTCTGCCTGAAGTTCTTGACTCTCAGATGGCCTGAATGGCTCAAGTGTCACTTTATAAGATGCCTTCTCTGACCAGTCAGTGGAAAATAGCACCCTCTAAACCACCCAGGCATACGCCATCCTAAATGAGTACTTACCACTTACCACCGTCTGACATTGTTTTTGTCCATCTCCATGGTACTCTCCTCTCCTACCCCTGCCAAACAAGCTCCTTGATTGAGGCTTTCACTATGTGATGTGCCTGCTTCCACTTTGCCTTCTGCCATGATTGGAAGCTTCCTGAGGCCTCCCCAGAAGCAGATGCTGCTAACCTTCCTGTACATCCTGCAGAACCATAAGCCTATAAAACCCCTTTCCTTATAAATTATCCAGTCAGGCATTTCTATAATTATTGTTGTTATTTAGAGACAGAGTTTTGCCATGTTGCTCAGGCTGGTCTCAAACTCCTGGGCTTAAGCGATTCTCCAACCTTGGCCTCTCAAAGCGTTGGGATTATAGGCATGAGCCACCACACCTGGACAGGTATTGCTTTATAGCAATGCAAAACAGCCTAATACAGTTACTTATCATTGAATGTCTACAGATAACCATTGTTAGTATTTTAGTGTATTTTCTTCCCTATATATGAAAGAATTTATGAGATTATACTATTTTGTAAATTACATTTTTCTCTAAATATTTGGTAGACATTAAATATCTTTTTACAACACGATTTTCAATGACATACTAAAATTTCATTGAATACAACCTAGAAGCAATAAGCACACCTAGTGCCCAGATCTTGGTTTCTCCAAACAAAGGAAAAAATTGGAGAAATGGCTGATTCTAGAACTGTGGGAAGAAATATACAAGATGAGGCTGGGCATGGTGGCTCATGCCTGTAATCCCAGCACTTTGGGAGGCTGTGGTGGGAGGAAGGTTTGAGGCCAGGAGTTAGAGACCAGCCTGAGCGACCTAATGAAGTCTCATCTTTATAAAAACTTTTTAAAAATTAGCCAGGTGTGGTGGTGCACACCTGTAGTCCCAGCTACTCAGGAAACAGAGGTGGGAGGATTGCTTCAGCCCAGGAGTTCAAGGTTAACAGTGAGCTATGATCGTGCCACTGCTGCAATCCAACCTGGACAACAGAGCAAGACCCTGTCTCTAAAAAATGGAAAGAAAAGAAATATACAAGATGAGCCTGGAGCATCTTGTAGTGCCAGAAAGTAAGAAAGTGTGAAACACACACAAAACTCACAGTGTGAGAATATGCCAAGGAGTACAGGAGCCAAGTGAAAAAGCTCCCAGTGGCTAAAGATGAAAGAATTTGAGCAACAAAATAAAGTAGTATTGACTTATAACCCAACATGCAAAATAAGTATTCATGAGTCCATGCTGATATAAATGATTGAATACATAAATAATTGTGGGAGTAGAGACAAGTCTCTTGTGCAGGAGAATTCACAATAATTCATGTAGTTGTCCTGTCCTTAAGGGGATGAAACATAAACTCCCACTCCTAAAGCGTGGGCTGTGCATAGTGACTTTCCTCCAAAGAGTACAGCATGAAAAGAGCAAAAAAGAGAGTAAATTTACAGTGGAAACACCTGAAAAACAGTAACTCTGCCAAGTGATCAAAGTCAACATCAACAGTGATAAGTGGTGTTGATAGTGTGTATCTTTGATATGAGGTGATAAGAATGGCACTTTAGGCCGGGTACGGTGGCTCACACCTGTAATCCCAGCACTTTGGGAGGCCGAGGTGGGTGGATCACGAGGTGAGGAGATCGAGACCATCCTGGCTAACACAGTGAAACCCCGTCTCTACTAAAAATACAAAAAATTAGCCAGGCATGGTGGCCCATGCCTGTAGTCCCAGCTACTAGGGAGGCTGTGGCAGGAGAATGGCGTGAACCCGGGAGGCTGAGCTTGCAGCGAGCCTGGATTGCACCACTGCACTCCAGCCTGGCGACGGAGTGAGACTCCATCTCAAAAAAAAAAAAAAAAAAGAAAAAAAGAAAAGAATGGCTCCTTACTTCTGTGGTCTTTCTCCCAGAATACATAACCCCAGTTCAATCACGAGAAAAACATCAGACAAATCCAAGTGGAGAGACATTCTACAAAATACCTGACTGGTACTTTTCCAAACTCTCAAGATCATTGAAAACAAGGAAAATCTGAGAAATGGTCAAGTCAAGAGGAGTTTAGGGGACAAATAAGACATTTGGTAAAAAGTAAGAAAATCTGAATAAAGTATGCAGTTTAGTTAATCAAAATTTATCAGTATTGGTTCATTAATTGTGCCAAATATACCATACTAGTGTAAGATGTGAATAATAGGGGAACTGGGTGTGGGTATACGGAAACTCTCTATGCTGGCTTCACAGTGATTCTGTGAATCTAAAGTGTTCTAAAATAAAAGGTTTATTCAGAAAATGACATGCAACAGAAGCATCATATTTTATTTAATCTCTTATGATTGAACATTTAAGTGGTTTCTAAATTTTTGCTATTGAATACATTTATGATGAATGTCCTTACAATCAAATCTTTGCACACATCCCTATTACTTCCTTCAGAATACATTTGTAGAAGGGAAATTGTGGGATAATAGATGTGCGTATTATAACAGTATTAAAGATTTTGATGCAAGATACCTAATGAGGCCCCCTCAGTTAAAGAATAAGTTAACTCTAAATTACAGTCAAGATGAAGGTTTAGAAAAGACTCTTGGATACTTTTTGCATCCAAGCCAGTCACATCAAATGCCACGAGGAATTATTTTCAACACCCTGAGAAAACCACTTACCGACGGGGAGCCTGTGTTCAGGGGTATGTCTTGCATTGGGCGTCTACTGCTCTTACAAGAGATAAATCAGAAGACTTCACTTCCTCATGCTGTGACCATCCCAGTATAAGAAAATAAAAACAAAAAGGGGAATGCAGATCTCCAAAGACCTAGAAGACGTGCACAGAGCCCTCCTGCATTTTATTAGGCAATCAGACTAAGAATACTATAGATCCGTGGCTCTTGTAGTGCGGTCCTCAGAACCAGCAGCATCAGTGTCACCTGGAAACTTGTTAGAAACGTGAATTCTTGGGTTCTACCCTAGGTAGACTGAGTCAGAAACTCTGGAGTTAAGGCCCAGATATTTGTGGGGTTTTTTTTTTTTGAGAAGTAGATATACTTTTTAATGCATTTTGGCAGGTTTATTGATATGTAATTCACATACCATACAATTAACTCATTTAAAGTGTACAGTTTAATGGTTTTTAGTGTATTCACAGATTTATGCAATTATCAACACAATCATTTTAAAACATTTTCATTACCTCATAAGGAAACCCTGTACTCTTTAGGTATCCCCTCTGCTCCCATCATGTTCCCTAGCCCTAGCAGTCACGAACGTATGTTCTGTCTCTGTGGATTTGCCTATTCTGGACATTTTGTATAAATAGAAAAATACCTGCACAGCAAAAGAAACTATCATCAGAGTGAACAGGCAACCTACAGAATGGAAGAAAATTTTTGCAATCTATCCATCTGACAAAAGTCTAATATCTAGAATCTACAAGGAACTTAAACAAATTTAGACCAAAAAAAAAAAAAAAACCAACCCCATCAAAAAGAGGGTGAAAGATATGAACAGATACTTCTCAAAAGAAGACATTTATGCGGCCAAGAAACATGAAAAAAAGCTCATCATCCTGGTCATTAAAGAAATGTAAGTCAAAACCACAATGAGATACCATTTCATTCCAATTAGAATGGCGATCACTAAAAAGTTAGGAAACAACAGATACTGGTGAGGCTGTGGAGAAATAGGAATGCTTTTACACTGTTGGTGGGAGTGTAAATTAGTTCAACCATTGTGGAAGACAGTGTGGCGATTCCTCAAGGATCTAGAACCAGAAATACCATTTGATCCAGCAATCCCATTACTGGGTATACACCCAAAGGATTATAAATCATTCTACTATAAAGACACATGCACATATATGTTTATTGCAGCACTGTTTACAATAGCAAAGACTTGGAACCAACCCAAATGCCCATCAATGATAGACTGGATAAAAAAACTGTGACACATATACACCATGGAATATTATGCAGCCATAAAAAGGTTGAGTTCATGTCCTTTGCAGTGATATGGATGAAGCTGGAAACCATCATTCTAAGCAAACTAACACAGGAACAGAAAACCAAACACTGCATGTTCTCATTCATAAGTGGGAATTCAACAATGAATACATGGACACAGGGAGGGGAACATCATACCTCGGGGCCTGTTGGGAGTTGGGGGGCAAGGAGAGGGATAGCATTAGGACAAATAGCTAATGCATATGGGGCTTAAAACCTAGATGAAGGGTTGATAGGTGCAGCAACCCCCCATGGCACATGTATACCTATGTAACAAACCTGCACATTGTGCACACGTATCCCAGAACTTAAAGTAAAATAAAATAAATCAATAAGAAAATCTAGAGGAAATTGGTAAATTTCCTTTTCACACAACCTCCCAAGATTGAACCAGGAAGAAATAGAAAAAAAAAGAAAAGAAAAGAAAACTACAATATAGACCTGTTGTGTCTGGCTTCTTTCACTGAGCATAATGTTTTCAAGGCTCATTCATGTTACAGGAGGTATTCGCACTTCATTCCTTTTTATGGCCAAATCATATTCCATAATGTGGATATACCACACTTTGCTTACATATTCATGAGTTGGTGGACACTTGGGTTTTTTCTACCTTTTGGCTGTTAGGAATTGTCTTAGTCCATTTTCTGTTGCTTTTATCAGAATACCCGAAACTGGGTAATTTATAAAGAAAAGGAATTTATTTATTTCTTACAGTTATGGAGGCAGAGAAGTCTAAGGTTGGGGTTGGGGGGTGCATCTGGTGAGAGCCTTCTTGTGCTTGGGGATACTTTGAAGAGTCCTGAGACAGTGCAGGGTATCACATGGCAAGGGGGCTGAGCATGCTAACTGCTATCTCAGGTCTTCCTTCCTTTGGTAAAGCCACCAGTGTCCCTTCCTGGATAATCTGTTATTTCATCAACCCATTAATCCATGAATGGATTAACACATTCATAAGGGCAGGGCCTTTATGATTCAATCACCGCTCAAATGCCCCACTTCTCAATACTCCCACCTTGGGGATTAAGTTTCAACATAAATTTTGGAGGGGCATTCAAACCATAGTAGGAATATTGCTGCTATGAACATTTCTGTGCAACATATATTTTCATAATCCTTCAGGAGATTCTAGTGCATGCTACAGTTTAAGAACCATTATTATAGATGGAGTGGTTACAAGAACAAATAGAAGATAGTTCTTTTTAATAAATAGAGATCATCACCTATCCTTTAGGTCATAAGCCAGCATAGAAAAGGAAAAACCTAGGTAGCGAAATCTGATGGTGTGTGGTCCAAGGACAGACATCCTTGTCACTGTAGAGATGTAAGGCAAGGGCCCAGGCATGGTGGCTCACGCCTGTAATTCCAGCACTTTTGGAGGCCGTGGCGAGCAGATCACTGAGGTCGGGAGTTCGAGACCAGCCTGACCAACATAGAGAAACCCTGTCTCAACTAAAAATACAAAAATTAGCTGGGCATGGTGGTGCATGCCTGTAATCCCAGCTACTTGGGAGGCTGAGGCAGGAGAATCGCTTGAACCCAGGAGGTGGAAGTTGTGGTGAGCTGAGATTGCACCATTGCACTTCAGCCTGGGCAACAAGAGTGAAACTCCGTCTCAAAAAAAAAAAAAGAAGAGATGCAAGGCAAGGTTGGGTTGAGGTGATCAAAGGAAAGGAAGCCCTGGTTATAAGGGAAGTGTCCACTTTTTGACCACTAGGCTACCCCTATTAATTTACTGGCATGTCATTGCATTCTTTTTTTTTTTTTTTTAGACAGAGTCTCACTCTGTCACCAGGCTGAAGTGCAGTGGCGCAATCTCAGCTCACTGCAACCTCGGCTCACTGCAAGCTCCGCCTCCCAGGTTCAAGCGATTCTCCTGCCTCATCCTCCCGAGTAGCTGGGACTGCAGGTGTGTGCCACCACACCCAGCTAATTTTTGTAGTTTTAGTAGAGACGGGGTTTCACCATGTTGGCCAGGATGGTCTCGATCTCTTGACCTCGTGATCCACCCGCCTTGGCCTCCCAAAGTGCTGGGATTACAGGCATGAGCCGCCATGCCCGGCGTATGTCATTGCATTCTAAAGGTACTGGGGCTGTTAAGTACTGATGCTTCTCTTTAGAGGAAATGACTCACCAACACCTGCTGTTTCTACAGTTCTTGAAACTGTATAAAGCCTTTTCTACCTGCACTTTCCTTCTACTGTCACAATATCAATATACTCAGCTACAGCTTAGTCTCCCCATTTAACAGATAAGGCCACTGAGGCTTAGTGAGTTTCAATGACCTGCCTGAAGTCATGGAGCAGGGTGTGACAAAAGTGGGAAAACTGGAATCAGAATCACTTCACCCACCCCTAACCTCACCAGAACAGTGTTTTCAATTCTAGCTACACATTAAAATCACTGGAGAGGTTTTAAAAATACTGAAACCCAGGCTCTGTACACAGTGATTCCATTTAACTGGTCTGAGGTGGGGCCTAGGCACTGGTATGTTTTAAAGGTTTTCTTGGTATTTTTTTTTTCCAGTTACTTTCTTTAAAAAATTTTTTTTTAACTTTTCATTTGAAATAATTTCAGACTTCCAAAAAAAGATGTGAAATAGTACAAAGCAGTCCTGTGTATCCTTCCCCCGGTTTTTCCAAATGTTAACATCTTACATAACCACAGCGCAGCTATCAAAGCCAGGATATTAACATTGATACAATACCATTCACTAATCCACAGACCTTATTCAAACGGTATCAATGGAGCTTGGTGGATAGTTCTAAATCATTCTGGAGACCTCATTATTTTTAGTTATTCCATCCCTTTAGTGTACTTGAATCTTTCCTAGGTGATCTTAATGTGCAGCCAGGGCTGAGAACTGCTGGGTGTGGACGGTGGAGCCTGGAGTTAGTATTCTACGAGTAGACTTAATTGGCTTTACGGTGCATTTTTTTCTCCCCGTTCTCTGACATGTAAGAGCTATGTCTGAAAATCTAGTATATTTCTAAGCTATTGTTATGCTGCTGATGGGATGAATCATTTGAAGATTTCTGACTATTTTTATGAAGTGACAGTTATATCTGCTGGGAGGAGAAATGAGCCCTAGTTATATTCATAGCAAGGTTACTGCCACCTAGGTGAAAAATGGAAAATGGTGTATTGGGGAGGGAAGAGTTGAAGAGCTTTCAAATATGAACTCACAAGTCAGTGGGCTAGGTCTTCGCAGAACTCAATGCCATTCTTTGGATGTGAGTCTGGAATACAGTTTAGATTTTAATTAGAGATGTGCTGGACCTTAATGTAAATGTATTTAGATAGGGAAGCCAAAGACACTAAACTGAAAACCTTGCATTTCCTACAGATGGTTTATTAAATTGAAATATGTCTCTTAACCTCTGGTCTTGACCCTGCTGTTGCAAAGATGAGTCATTGAAACATCAGCCTGTCTGTTATCCTGAATGACTGGCTGGAGTGGCCCGGCTGGAGGCACCACTTGGTAACACATGAAACTGGTTAGTTCATGAGGATTTTTACTTTTATTTTCGCCTACAGTCAAACTACCTTTATCCAATTAGAATTTTCACCCTCATCTATTTATTATCTCCTGCTCTGGGTAAAAACAAACCTGAGTGTCTCTGCCGTGTGCAAATTAGCCTGGCTCTGAGGGCCGCAGGGCTGAATAGAAACTATCCTCGAGTGAATAAAAATGTTATTAAATTTAAAACCACAGCCCCCATCACCAGCACTGGATTCCTTTATGCCACAGATGTTGACTGTTTGCAAGTGTTTCCTCTGTGAGGCACTGGCTTGGAAGCATTTGAACCTAATAGCATTATATGTGTGTTTATATCAGAAATCATATGCACAGATACATTGCCAGCCTTCAAATTCATAGAGAAAACAATTGGCTCCCGTGGTGTTAGGTAGCAGCCAGGGCTGTGGCCTTGTGGGTCCCAGCACAGGAGACTCTTTCATAACCCCCTGGGCTTTGGAACATGCTGCTGCCTCTGCCAAGTACACCCTTGTCTCCCACCACCCCTCTTTTCCTGGCTCACTGCTGCCACCTCCTCTTGGAAGCCTTCCTTGATTTCCTCCCCCAACCTGAGTTAGAAGTCTTTTCCATATATTTGCACAATACTCAGTGCTTCTATGTGCTGCAGTAAAAGTAATTGTTTATTTGTCTGATTTCTTCACATGCTAGCACCTAGCCCAGTGCCTGCCACATAGAAAGTGCCTATGATAATGTGTGTGTGTGAATAAATGAATGATAAATGAGAGCTACTGATTCTGCCTAATTACACCAAGCACTATCTGTGTGAAGCCATTTGCACCCATTATCTCCTTTAATCTAGCTAGAATTTAATCCTTTGATTCTGAAGGGATGGTATTTTACCCAATTCTACAGGTAAGGAAACAGGCTGAGAGGGAAGTGACTTCCCCATGACACAGAGCCAGGATTTGAACCTGGCCTAAGTCCACAGCTTGACCTCTTCACCACAGCCTCTTCCTTGCACAGCCTCAGCTGAAGGTCGCTGTGGTTGGTGGAGCAGCCAATGGCTGACCACAGTGGGGACGGAAGGTCTCTGCACAGGGCATGGAGCTGTGGGACTCTGAGAGCTACATTTGCAGGCCTTGGTTCACCTTGGGAGGCGTAATGGTGGAAATGCAGAGTTCCCAGCCATGGGGAGAGGGTGTGCTCTCCTTGATGATGCCATAGACCATGCCCAGCATGTACTGTTTGGTGAAAAAAAAGGATGGCCTGGAAGAGTCCACAAGGACCAGACAGCGATCTGTGCCTTAAACCTCAGAACTGCCTGCAGCCCAGCGTCACTCCCAGTGTGCTGAGGCATCTAGCAGACAGTCTGGCTCCTCAGGAAGGATTTTGAGCCTCAGTTTCTGATGATTTTTTAAGCTTTGGAGCCAGCTCGTTGTCCCAGAGCTCCCATAAGTGCAAGGGCAAATCAGCTCAGTCCCCACCATTCAGAGGGAGCTGTAAGCTGCTTCTCTGCAAAGAAGGCACCAAAGGGATGAGGATGAGGAGGAGGAGGTTCCCAGTTGCCTCCTCAAGAGTGAGAACTCCATGGGAATGAAAACTGCTGCCTGCACAGAAGCCTTGCCACCCAGCTCTTCGGGCGAGTCATGTTCAGTTCTGCCCTCCTCCCAGGCACACACCTCCGGATGTTCTGGAAGACAATGCAGAGACGGGTGAGAGGAGGGATCCCTTTGTGTCTGGAGATTCCCCGTGGGGAGCCTGTGCTTGCTTCCTGGCTTTTCAGATGAGCAGGCACTTCAGTGTGAGGACAGTCCAGGCTCTGTTAAGGTTTCTGAGACTCAGGGTGGAATATCTCACTTGGAGAAGGCTCTTGTCTTTTTAATACCCGTCTCCTTCTACCCCTCTTCTTTCGTGTGCCTCCTACACCTGACAAAGAGAACTCATGTGGGGTGGATCCGGCTTCAGCATGGGCTGTCTGGGTTATTCAAATTTCTCTTCCTCTCCTCCCTGCTAGAATATTAATTCATAGATGGAGGCCTTTCTGGCACCACAAGTATCTTCTAAGTAAGAAGACCCCTCCCACCTCCCTGCCACATGGAAGGGTTGGCCTAATAGGAACCTCTTCTCCCTTATACTTCCTGGCCCCAGCTGACCAGACCACGGTGAGGCCCAGCCTTGAGCCCACAAACTCTGACTTGTTACACAACAGAGAAAAAAATAAACTGGGTCGGTGAGAGTCTCCTGCTCATTGAAACTCAAGGGAGTTTACATTAGGTACTACAGAGTCGCAGCAGTGGAGCTGGGAGTGGTTGTCAGAGCCAGAAGTTTGTGGCATTGAAGAGAGACCAGAGTTGCCACAGCAGGCCACATCTAAGCTGGGATTTGAGGAAGCACTAGCACGCACAGGCTAGAGGTAGACAGAAGCCACAGCTAAGTATTGCATCTCTTCTAAAGCCTCACACTATAAGAATCACATTTTCCCTTTCATTTTTTCCCCTTCTAATCTAAAAATATTACAACTGCTGCCCCCAGTGTAACATCTATGTTCTCCAGGGCCCATGACGGTCCATGATGATCGAGTCTTAACTGTGCCCCCAGCTGAATAAAGTAAACACCTGTCGACATTATTGAAGCAACTGTGAAGATCGGCTGGAAATGGCTCTCTCACTGCAATGCCTGTCTTTGTGATATACCCGTGGGCACACAGGGCAGAAGGAGGCCTGGATGCCTTCTATGTACAGGCAAGGAAATGAAGCCAGCCAGGTGAGCATATATACCACGCTGTCAGTGTCCTGTGGCCCTTCCTCTGGCCACCTCCCAAATAACAGCCATCATAAGATCTTAAGCATGGCTTCTGGGGAGGCTAAGGAACTTGGAGGAAATATTAGGAATCTGTGGGTCCATCATTAAAAAGAGGACTAGGAAAAGAAAGAGGAGAAGATGTCAAGAATAAACTTAACATTCGAAACCGTGATCTCTGGGCTTCAGAATGCTCGCAGCTTAGATCGTTCAAAGAAAAAGCAAGTGCAGAAAATCTTCACGAAGGTATCCTGAATGAAGAAACCCACTAGTTTTATGAGGCATTGGTAGAGTTGTTTTGATTCAACTTTTTGACTTTGGAAAAAAGAAAAGCCAACAAGGGATATTATCAAGGGGCGCCCCTGTGTTTACTTGGACAGACACAATTGCAGCCCTGCCTGATGTGCGGCAAATGCATAGGTATGCTATGTGGTTAAGCTGTTGAAGTACCTTAAGACTTTGCTTCCACTCTGCCATTAAATCTTTGCAGAGATCAGAGAGGAGTCCCCTAAGGAATTTATATTTTGTTTTGATTTATTTTTTTTCTGTGGAGAGAGAGGGTTATTGAGTTCTCAGAAAATGGAAATTAGCCCTGTTCAGAGAGTCTCAAGGAGCTGCCCTTAATAAAAATAGCGGAAATTATGGGTTTTTTTCTTGCCTTACAAATATTTTTTTTTTTGAGACAGAGTCTCACCCTGTCACCCAGGCTGGAGTGCAATGGTGTGATCTCAGTCCACTGCAACCTCCGCCTCCTTGGTTCAAACGATTCTCTTGCCTCAGCCTCCCGAGTAGCTGGAACTACAGGTGCCCGCCACCATGCCCAGCTAATTTTTGTATTTTTAGTAGAGACGGGGGTTTCACCACGTTGGCCAGGCTGACGTCGAACTCCTGACCTCGTGATCCACCCACCTTGGCCTCCCAAAGTGCTGGGATTACAGGCGTGAGCCACCACGCCCAGCCTCAGATCTTTATTCCATATGAGGGACAGTGAGCTGCATTCGTGGAATTGCTGCCTGGACACCTGGGAGGCAAGAGGCTCAGCGCCTGCCCAAGAAGATGGTATGGTTACAAGTGCAGGGAGGGGCATATGAGGCTTGAGGGACTTCTCGTTTGTTTGTTTTCTGTTTTCCCAAATACACAGTACATAGTATAGCAGTCTTTAGAAAACCAACCTGCCTTAAATTGGTTTACTGTTTCTCGAGGACAAGCTGGCAGTTTACATCAAAAGCTGTGAATTATGTGTCTCCATTATATGGCAATTTTACTTTCAGCAATTTATGCTAAGGAAATAATAAAGGATACTGAAGGATCTACATTTTAGAGTTGTTTAGAAGAAAACAAACAAACACACTGGAAATGACACACATTTCCAACAGTTGGAGAGTGGATGAGTCAATTATGGCAGACTCAGTGGAATACTACGCATCCATTAAAAGTTCTGTTGTAAAAAAGGCATAAACAGACACTTCTCAGAAGAAGACATACAAGCGGCCAACAAACATATAAAAAAAATGCTCCACATTCCTAATCATCAGAGAAATGCAAATCAAAACCACATTCAGATACCGTCTCACAGCAGTCAGGATGGCTATTACTAAAAAGTCAAAAAAACAACAGATGCTGGCGAGGCTGCAGAGAAAAGAGAATGCTTATGCACTGTTGCTGGAAAGTAAATTAGTTCAGCTGCCATGGATAGCAGTTTGGAGATTTCTCAAAGAAGTTAAAACAGAGCTACCATTCGACCCAGCCATGTCATTCTTGGATATGTACCCAAAGGAAAAGAAATTATTCTACCAAAAGACACATGCACACCTATGTTCATCACAGCGCTATTCACAATAGCAATGACATGGAATCCTTTGGGCACAGTGGCTCACACCTGTAATCCCAGCTACTCAGGAGGCTGAGACAGGAGAATTGCTTGAACCCGGGAGGTGGAGGTTGCAGTGAACCGAGATCGTGCCACTGTACTCCAGCCTGGGCAACAGAGCAAGACCATGTCTCAAAAAAAAAAAAAAAAAAAAAAGACATGGGATCAACCTACATGTCCATCAACAGTGGATTGGATTAAAAAACATGGTACATATACACCACATAATACTATGCAGCCATAAGGAAGAATGAAAATATGTCCTTTGCAGCAACATGAATACAGCTGGAGGCCGTTATCCTAAGCGAATTAACTCAGGAACAGAAAACCAAATACTGCAAGTCCTCACTTGTAAGTGGGAGCTAAACACTGGGTACTTATGGACATAAAGATGGGAACAATAGAAACTGAGGACCACTAGAAAAGGGAGGGGGCCTGAGGGAGAGGGCTAAAATACTAACTACTGGGTGCTGTGCTTAGTACCTTGGTGATGGGGTCATTTGTACCCTAAACCTCAGCATCACACAGTATATCCCGGTAACAAACCTGCACAGTGTCCCCTGAATCTAAAATAAGAGTTGAAATTATTTAAAAAGGTATATATATATTTTTTTCTCCATATATTTTATTTTCTCCATATATATTTATATTTATATTTTATATAAATATAAAAATATATATTTATATTTTATATAAATATAAAAATATATATTTATATTTTATATAAATATAAAAATATATATTTATATTTTATATAAATATAAAAATATATATTTATATTTTATATAAATATAAAAATATATATTTATATTTTATTTTCTCTATATATGGAGAAAATAAAATATATATATATGGAGAAAATAAAATGAAAATAACAAAAAGTAGATTATTTGAAAGACTTATTTCTATTTTTTTTTAGGTTATTGTAAATCAGAAACAAAGCAAATTTACAAATCAAAGGCCAGGATGAGCATGGGTCTAAGTGAAGGGCAAGACGCCTGGCCTTGGAATGTATTTTAACTCTGGAAAATCCTCTTTGGGACATTCCTTACTTGCCATGACTGCTATCAGGTTTGTTTTAGTCAAAATATTTGTTCATTGTCTCTACTTATCCCAATCCAATAGGACTTCAAAGATTTGAGGGCATTTTTGGTTTTCAATTTTAAAAAGTCACATCTAAAAATAAAAAATTTAAAAATTTATAAATGAAAAATTCTGTTGTAAAAAGATATTTCTTGATATGAAAAGATGTTCACTGGCTGGACCCAGTGGCTCATGCCTGTAATCCCAGCACTTTGGGAGGCTGAGGTGGGTGGATCACGAGGTCAAGAGATCAAGACCATCCTGGCCAACATGGTGAAACCCTGTCTCTACCAAAAATACAAAAATTAGCTGGGCGTGGTGGTGCACGCCTGTAGTCCCAGCTACTCGGGAGGCCGAGGCAGGAGAATCACTTGAACCCTCGAGGTGGAGGTTGCAGTGAGCTGAGATTGCGCCACTGCACTCCAGCCTGAGCAAGAGAGCGAGACTCGGTCTCAAAAAAAAAAAAAAGGCAAAAATGTTCACTATATTCTTACATTAAGAGAGGTCACAAATATAATAATACAGAATGAGCCATTAAATAATTGCATATTTTCATGAGATTATGCCTCATTTTTCTTGCCTGTCTGCATTTTATATCTTCCCTCTGGTATCTACACTGTTTTTTTTTTTCTTTTTAAAAAGGGGCGAAAAGAAAACCAAACTGCTTAGTGATAGTTTGTGAAAAGCAAGAAGTGTTGTGACATTTCTTGGTGCATGCGTGGAAGAACCATGGGATGAATGTGTAGGAAGTGGGGGAGGTGGGGAGTTCCTGGGTTAGAAGAGTTGGACAGAAGGGAGGTCAGCACACGAGTGTGAGCTAAGCTGCTCTTACAAAAAGACCCCAAATACGGTGGGATAAAGAGCAAAGGAGTTTGTCTTGCATGTCTCAGGTAAGCATTCCTGGACCGTGGGCAGTGCTGTCTACTTCCTAGAGGACCAGATTCCTTCCATCTCAAGGCTCTGCCCTTCTCCAGCGCTTTGCCATTCACTGCCTGGATGGCCAAGGCTGAGTCACAGCCACATGTGGAAAGAGAGTATGGAGGGGGTCAGGTCACACGGTTGGAGCTGCAGGCTGCAAGTCGTCCTGGTTGCAACACATCCCACTGGTAAGAGCTTCATCCACGGCCTCATCTAACTGTAAGGGAAGCTGAGCTGGCAATGTAGCATGGCTAGACAGCCCCATGTCTGGCTTTGATTCTACTCCTGTGGAAAAAGGGAAGAGCGGATTTTGGTGGACTACCAGCATCCTCTACTGTTGGTGTTTTAAGAGCCAAGTGGAGACACAGCAAGCAGTGGGACGAGGAAGCAGAGCAGAGAGAGGAGGTGAAGAACGGCAGCCACTGTTAGCAGCTTTCAACCAGGGTGACCTGTTTGATGCATCAGATGATGGTCCCCAAAGCATGGATGGATGATGTGGTTGTGGGCTGAACACTTCTGTTCATACTGCTGATGTGCGGGCATTGCTGCTGTCTCTCCCACTCAGGAAAGAGTGTCAGAATTCAAGTTAATATGACATCATTAGGAGGAACCTGGACTTCAGCAGCAGCCTCCTAACTCATCACTCACCACCACCAATCTATTATCCATTCCACAGCCAGATGAACCTTCTAAACCAAATCAAAGCAGCTCCCTTCCCTGCTTCCAGCCCTTTAGAGGCTCTCTGTTGTTCTTTGGATAAGGTTGAAGACCTTTCCCTTGAGTCATGCTGTCCTTTGTAATAGGGCCTCTGCCTCCTTCAGCAGCCCGATGGCTTGCCATTCTCCAGCCGTGCTGGTTGTCTCAGCTCTCCGGAATAAAGAATCTTTCTCTCCTGCCTCAGGGCCACCTTGAGCAGTCTTCCCCGTGCTCTTCTCCTGGATAACTGCTCCTCATCCTTCAAGATCTTTGAGTAAACATCACTTCCATGCAGGACTTCCTGTATCCCCTCAAACAGGGGAACACACCTGTGCTATACATTTCCATACCCCTTGCATGTTCATAAAGCCTACAAAACATGCGGCTCCTCATGGGATAACATCATCTTCATTTGACAATAGAGAACTCTAAGAGGGTCCAAATCTTTCTGTCTTGTTAGAGTTGGTGTTAAATGGGTGAAGAAATAAAGTACTGGGTTCTTCAGGCGTGCTGTAATCATTTCAAATGGTGCGCTTTAGAACCAGGTGGGAGTTATATTGGGGAAGGGCTACCAGCCAAAGGAGAGAGGCTTTCCATGAAGAGTGTGAAAAGGTGAGCAAAACCTTCACTGGCCGTGAGGGAGACGCCTGAGTTTTAGATACTGAAGCTAAAATAGGTAGGAATCAGATATTTCAGAAGGTGAAAAAAACAAGTGTGTCTGACCTTGTCTTCAGAGCATTCCTGGCCTCTGGGATCTATTTGTATGCAGATGTCATTTCCTATTTATAAATTAGCCTGGAGGGGCTGTGGGTCGGTAGGTGAACTGAAGGACAGTGGTGAGTCTGTAAGGGTGAGAGACTAGAGAGGAAAGGCTGAAAAAAATGTCCAATATTCAGCATTTTGTACATCCATTTAATAAATAGCTTGTGACAGCTTACTGATGTGCCTGCCACTGTGCTGGATGCTTTTGGGGACAAGAGGGGCAGGCAATACAGAGATGGAGGATGGAAAGGTCAGGGTGTGTGGGAGCACAGAGGAGAAAGCAACAATTTGCTCAGGCCAGGTGGGAGAAGGCATCACTGAAAGGGCAAATTTGAAGTGGGCTGTAAAACAATAAATTAGAATTTCCAGTGGAAAGGAAGAAAAAGGGCATTCTAGAAAAGTGAAGAATGGGAGCTTGAAAAATGTCAGTGTTTGGGCAGTAGCGAGGAGTTAATGTGGATCAGGAACCCAGACTGGAAAGCAGTGATGATAATGATCGCCGACATTTAGCAGACACTTCTTATGTGCCAGACACTGCTTAAGTGCATTGCCCATATAATCTCAGCTTACAAGTGGCAGAGCCAGGATTTTGAGCCAAGGCAGTCTGACTCCAGAGCTCATGCTTGCAAGCACGGGGCTATTCCACATTGTCATGGAGACTGCATGCCAGGCTGAGCTCCTGGGAGGGGTGAGGGTTTGGGAAAGATTTTAGCATTTGGAAAATGACGCGTTCAGACTGTGCTTTGGAAAGACCATTCTGAGACCTGTGTGAATACAGGCTGTGCAAGCTGTCATGAGAGGCAGAAAACACGGGATACTGCCCCACCAACGGGAAGCGTAGAATCTCCTTAACAAGCAGACCTCACAAGTGAGCCAATTAAATGCTAGGGTTCTTAACACAGATGAAGAACAAACTCTAAAAGAGCTTAGAGACCAGAGAGAAAGCTAAGCTGGGCAAATGAACACAGCCATTTTAACTTCAGGGAAGGTAGAGTTGAGTCCAAATCAAGATGTCCTTGCCTCTGCAGTGGAATGGCCCTAATTTTGTCCCCAAATATACTGGTTCGAATTGTATCCCCCAGAATTTCTTGCCCCTGAACCTCAGAGTGTGCCCTTATTTGGAAATAGAATCTTTTGGTAAATTAGTTAAGATGAGGTTACTCTGGAACAGAGTGGGCCCCAAATCCAATGACTGCTTTCCTTATAAGAAGAGGAAAAGAGAAGCAGAGACAGACACAGAGGACACAGACACACAGGGAAGATGGTCCTGTGAAGGTGGAAGCCGGGGTTGGAGCAATACCTCTACAAGCTAAGAAAGCCAAAGATTGCTGCCAATCACCAGAAGCCAGCAAGAGGCAAAGAGGAATCCTCCTTTAGAGCCTTCGGAGGGAGCATGGCTCTGCTGATGCTTTGCTTTTGGATGTCTAGCCTCCAGAAACCTGAGGGGATAAATTTCTATTATTTCAAGTCACCTCATCTGTGGCAATTGGTTATGGCAGCCCTAGCAAACCAACACAACAGAGGAGCTGAGAAACCAGAAGTCAAAGTCCTGCTTCACTCTCCTGATTTTTTTTTTTTGGAGACAAAGTCTCACTCTGTTGCCCAGGCTGGAGTGCAGCGGCACTATTTTGGGCTCACTGCAACTTCTGCCTCCTAGGTTCAAGCAATTCTCATGCCTCAGCCTCCCAAGTAGCTAGGATTACAGGCACCCACCACCATGCCTGGCTAATTTTTGTATTTTTAGTAGAGACGGGGTTTCACCGTGTTGGCCAGGCTGGTCTCAGACTCCTGACCTCAGGTGATCCACTTGCCTCGGCCTCCCAAAGTGTTTGGGATTACGGGTGTGAGCCACCGTGCCTGGCCTCACTCTCTTGATTTTAAGGACACATAGTCCACAGCCACGTTGTTAAGGTTAACCAGGATAAAGTCAGGGTGACTGAGGGCAAGGGCTCTGGATTTCAAATCCCTCCTCCTCCACCTACTTTCTAGGTAACCTTGAGCAAATTACTCAATTGCTATGAGCTTGGATTTCTTACCTGTATGATGCAGTTAGTGGTCGTCCTACCTCACAGGATTGTTTTGGGGATTAAGTGAGTTTATATACTTAAATATTTAGAGCAGTGGTTGCTGTTACCCTTATTGTTGTTGGTGGTATCATTTGCTTGGATTTGGGATAGGAAATAAGATGTCCTAGATCTTCAGCACTAATCCCTGCTGCTTTAATCAGGCATGCCCCTGCCTTTGTGCATCGTTTACCCAACATTCCACATCCATGCTCCCAGAAACATGGCCTTGATGATGCCTGAGAGCCATCTGTGATTCAGATGGCACAGGGTCCCCAGGGTCAGCACACCAGGTCTGCTGTGAGATTGTTTGCTCCAGAAAAGGTGGTGCAAGTTGCCAAGCAATGTAGAGGCCACAGCTGTTAGATCCCAGGAATTATACCTCCAAGTCCCACAAGGCCCATTTCTAATGCAACGACTGGGGAAGAACTCCAAAAGCATTATTTGTAGTCTTTCTTTTCCAGTCCCAGCCTACCCTACAGGTCACAGGACAGCAACTGCTGAGTACACCAAGTGTGAGTTTCATGCTGGCAGCAAAAAAAGGTTAGAAGAAATTGGAAGTGTTCTCTGGAGTTCTCACTCTATTAGCCTGCTCTGGTTTCTTAAGACTTTTGGCTTCTCTAAACCCAGGCTTTCTTAGGTCTGGGTGGACAGTCATTCCTTTTACTCTTTAGGGTTCTGACTTATAGAAAATAAACACAAAGAACTGAGTTAAGCAGGGGTCCACAGGGCACTTTTATTTACCAAAGTAAGGGCTCTCCAGAAAACTTTGTAGGCTTGAGACCAAATAGAGCTTTCTGTATCTTCTCCCACCTCAAAATCAGACTTACCCATTGTGGTAGATAAAGATGGCTTCATATCCTTTGACTCTTCTCCCATTGCAAGTAGAATCTATGTCTCGCACTTTTGAATCAGTGTGGGATCTTTGGCTGCTTTGATCAATAGTATATGGGCAGAAGTAACATTGTGCTAGTTTCCTAGTGACTTCTTTTTTCTGTTCTTTTGGAATACTCACTATTAGAACCTGGAGGGGCAGGTGAGAAGTCCAGCTTTCCTGGGAAACCACACAGTAGCCCTGAGACTCCATGGAGAGGAAGAGGCACCCAGCCGAGCCCAGCCTTCCAGCCATCCCCACCATGGTGCCAGACATATGAGTGAAGCTGTCTGAACCACCCCCGCCACAACCTGACCCAGCCACTAGCCAAACACCATGAAGTAACACCAGTCAGCGTCATGTGGTGCAGAAGAATTGCTCAGTTGAGTTCATCTCAGATTCTTGACCTGAAAAATTGTAATATATTATGAAATAACTGTTCTTGTAAGCCACTAAGCTTTGGCATAGTTTGTTACTCATGGGTAATTGGAACACTCACCCAGTCTCAGATAAAGAAACTGGAACCCAGAGTAGAGATTGGGCTTGGCATCATAGGCAGGCATTCTCTGATTCTGCTTAACAAAATGAGCCTGGGAACCCAAGGAGAGCCCAGGCCTCCAAAGCCCAGGGGCCCGTAAGAGTGAGAGGTGAGTGATGGACCCGTAACTTGTTACAGTGCATGGGCCTGCCCGCTGTAAATGGGCCCAGTGGGTGTCAGCCTTTCACCAGTTTTGCTAATCAGATAAATCTGATTTTCTCTGGGAAAAAGCAAGTAAAAAGGCAAAAAGAAAGATCAAGTATCCCTTCCTGGGACTTCTTGAGTGGCTTGAAGTGTTTGTAGATGTTTCTTCTTCTGTGAAAACCTGAGAGCAGAGGAGTAAATATCATATGCTCAATGAACAAAACAAAACCAAACCCGGAAACAGGTTATTTGGTTTGACTTTGCAAGGAAAGGACATACTTAGAATTGGTAAGGTAGAATTTGGCAAAATACTGGATTTTCTCTTCCCAATTTGTCTTTAGTCTGAAGCAGGCCATGTCCCATTATATGCTCTTGGCATTTTTATTTCCCCTGTTGGAGCCCTTATCACAATTGTAATTAATTGGTCATAGGATTGTCTGTGCTTTTCTACCCTGAAAGCCATGACAGTGAAGACTTTGTTCTCTTTTGAATCCCTGGGGCCTAGGTCGTAATAGATGCCCAGTAAGTATTTACCGAGTGGACACCTGAATCAATTAGGTGTGCCTGACATTCAGGTTATGGAGCCCTGATCTCACCCACTCTTAAAGTCTCATTCTGTGAACCAACACCTCAGCTCTCCTGGTCTTCAGCTTTATGGGGAGGACTTTCAGCAGGGGCTTCACATCCCTGGTCTAGCTCTGTAACCCACCTGAACTCCTAGCCTTACCATGTGACCCAGTTGTAGGGTAATTACTCTCTCTTTAGTTTGCAGTTAGTTGAACTGTGTCAGCATGAGTTGTAGACAATGCTAAGACCACCTTCCATTCTAGACCTGCTGTGTGACCCTAAGCAAGTCACCTAACAGATTGAACCCCAGCCTTTTATAAGTAAACGCAATCTCATCTCTGCTGGCCTCACATGGTAGTTGTGGGAATCCAATCTGAAAATGAGGTCAAGTCATTTCATAAAGCTCTTCTTCAACCATTAGCAATGGAGGTACATTCACAGGATTGAAATAAGACTTCAACCAGCTTTTTTGCCATGGCTCAGAAATTTAAAAAAAACAGGTTTATTGAGATATAATTAACAGATCATATAGTTCACCATTTTAAAGTGTACAGCCCAGTGGTTTTTAGTATATTCACGGAGTTGTGCAGACATCACCATAATCAAATTTCAAACATTTTCATTGTCTTCAAAAGAAACCTCATATCTGTTAGTAGTTACATCCCATTTCTCCTTCAACCTTCCCAGCCTGAGGCAAACACTAGTCTACTTTCTGTCTCTAGGTTTCATATAAATGGAATTATTCAATATGTGGCCTTTTGGGTCTGGTTTCTTTCAGTTAGCAGAATGTTTTCAAAGTTCATCCATGCTGTGGTGTGGATTCCTTCATTCCTTTTATTTCCAAATTATATTGCATTGTATGGATATACCACATCTTGTTTATTCATTTTTTGGTTGATGGACATTCGACTTGTTTCCACTTTTTGGCTATTATGATTAATGCTGCTATAAACATTCATCTACAAGTTTTTGTGTGGACGTACGTTTTCGTTTCCCTTGAGTGGAATTGCTGGGTCATATGGTAACTCCATGTTTAACACCATGGCTCAGGAATTTGCTGGCTGGAGAATAGAAAAGTGAGGCTCTTCTGGATGGCAAGGAGAATTTGAGTCTGTGTGTGTGTGTGTGTGTGTTGTACACAGATGTGTGCAGGAGCAGCGCTGCTGGGGTAGGAGCAGCAACTTTTGACTATCATATTCAAAGTAATTCTTGGCCAAATTCCTGGTAACTCTGAAATTTCTGCCCACCTACTCCTTTGTCTGAATGTTGCCCCTATTGGGTGGTCGTCCTCAGACAGCTCTTCAGTCAATTAGAAGACTTTGGCAAAAATCGACAAAAGCATTCTGGAAGAATCAATTAGTTATATGAAATGTACAATAGAGAGTATTATAAATGTTATTATTAGTTGTCACTTGTGTTTTACACCTTTTATATCTACAACATTTATAATAAATGAATGGACATATACACGTATACACATTTTTTCCCCCAAAGAGTTGTTGTGGACATGTGCCTGCACACACTGGGTCTGCAGTGTCAGAGGAGCAGTGCCACCGGGTCGTCTGTCAGTGTTCTGAGCAACTGGACTAGGAGCTCTGGTGGAGGTGGGAGCAGAGAAGGAAGGTGAGTGTTTAAATTTACCAGGACAACGCTGGGTAACTGACAAAATATTAACTGTCATCCTTCCATACCCTTGTCCTTCCCCTCTGTAGCAATCCTTCCAGGGCCTCTGAGAAGGGCCTGTTCCTCACTTAGGACACCTCCTTTTAGGACTAGCTTCTTCTGGCCTCACATTTCCCCAATCACTCTGAATCGCCCCCACTTCATGTTAAGGGGTCCCATTTAAGTCAACTCCTGTGTCCACCCAGGTCTGAGTTCCAAGACGGGATGTTTGTGCTAGTCTTTTTCACTGTTGTCTCCCTGTTGCACAACGTACTCTGCTCGTACCCTGTCCTGATTTCCTATCCTGGAGTCCTATACCCTGTGTCCAGCAAGGTATCCATGACAAACACACATCAGGATGGCCCCGGTGTGCTTCCCTTTTGGTAAGAATGGCCCTTGGCAGGAGAATAATCTCTGGACAGACATCAGAAAGATATTCTTGTGTTTCCATGCTTTGGTTGCACGTGCTTTCCTTGCATTGCCTTTTATTGCCAGTGCAGATGCGAAGAGCCTGCTGGCATCACTGGGAGTCAGCTGCCATCTCTGCAGTAGGTGCCTCCTGAGTGGCGGAATGTTAGTTCCCAGTTGATGACAGTCTCTGATAATACTTTTAGCGTTTTTCTTCTGAGTCATTTCCCTAGGGCTGACTCAATACTGCAAGTTTTGGTGTCTTATTGTTTTTTTTTAAAGGGATGCTTCAGACCTCAGCTCACCTATTAACTTTTCCTTTAAACCAGTCTGCTCTTGGAAGGACTCTGGTACAATGATATTCCTGCCTGTCCTAGCAGGACCTCAGGCCCTTGGGTGGGATCTCTGTTGCTCTTTCCCTGCCTCCTGCTTCCCAAGGCTCCGGTCATTCGGCCACCTACCAAACTCAGAAAAGAGCTTTATGGCACTAGACTGGGAGACGCCAGGGGACCAGAGTGTTGGGGAAAGTGAGGATGGGGGAAGAAAGCCACAAGTTTTCTGTCTGGTCCCAGGCTTGACAGTGAATGCTCGTTCCACCTCTAGATTCCCATCGCTTTTATAGCATTGCGTGAGATCATCACACTCCTGGAAGAATAAAGCCTCTGCCTCTTACGCCTGCCACCTAAGACTGATTGCTTTGTGTTCACGGTCCTCAGTCCATAGGTGGGCCTGAGTGCTGAAATGCCAAATCTGCAGAGAAAAAAGCTTCACAGTGACAGTTTTGAGAGAGAAAACCCTTTTACTAAGTGTATAAAGGTTTTTGCAGAACGAATACAATTCACCTAATGATTAATACCATAAAAAATCGGCATATTGATCCCTTTGTCAGTGAAATAAATTGATCAGGTGCTCACATCACGCCAGTGGATCAATTTTACTGCATCCGATGAGCCGACAGCATTCTTCATTGGATAGTGTGTTAACACCTTAATTGATATATTTCATAATTTTATTGTGGCTTATAGTCACAGGATTGCTTCTGGGGATAATAATTTATTTTTTTATTGGCAAGAGGTTCAGAGCAGAATTTGTGTGGTATTTCTCAAAAGTGGTTAAAACTGAGACATGTGTAACAACTGGAAAACTCCTCTGGTCTTTGGATCCAAACGAGACAGTTCCTGATCAGTGGTGTTCACGTGGGAATGAGCATCTGCATCCACAAGTTTGGAAAGGCCCAGTAAATACCAGGTGGTCCTGTAATCTCAGCATTTTGGGAGGCTGAGACAGGAGGATTACCTGAGGCCAGGAGTTCAATACCAACCTGGGCAACAAAGACAGACCTCATCTCTTAAAAAAAAATTAAAAAAAATTATCTGGGTGTAGTGACCTGAGCCTGTGGTCCTAGCTACTCAGGAGGCTGAGCCTGGAGGATCACTTAAGTCCAGGAGATAGAGGCTGCAGTGAGCTACAATTGTGCCACTGCACTCCAGCCTGGGTGACAGAGCAAGACCCTGTCTCAAAAAGAAAAAACAAACAAACAAACAAAAAACCTACTAGGTGCTCATAAATTATAACTCTGATTGGTTTATTGTAGTTGAATTGCACTGACTTAGACTCTGTTCCAGTTTCCTAGGCATCAGGACCTACTCAGTGTTGTACCAGCCACTGAATCACTGCTTTCTCTGCCTAATTTGCTTTCCTGGTGTCATTGGGGAGACGTGGAGCTTTCTAGGATGCTGGAAACTAGGGCAGACCCACTTCCCCTGGAGGCTGGTTTCTAAATGCTGCTGACAGCCCTCACCATGCCCTAATAGGGAAATATAAGGCTAGCTTCCCTCAACCACTCCCTACCTCTCCATGCCTCTGCCATTCAAACCTTGCCCAAATATTTGCAGGCACACACAAATCCTGAGCAAATAATTGCCCACAGAGTTAAATTGTTTGTAGTATTTAGTATTCTGTGCTGCTAGTGTCTCTCACACACTCTATGATTTTTTTTTTTTTTTCAGATAGAGTCTCGCTCTGTTGCCCAGGCTGGAGTGCAGTGCTGCGATCTCTGCTCACTGCAGCCTTTGCCTCCTGGGTTCAAGCAATTCTCTGCCTCAGCCTCCTGTGTAACTGAGATTATATGTGCTGACCAACATGCTCAGCTAAATTTTTTTGTATTTTTAGTAGAGTGGGGCTTTCACCATCTTGGCCAGGCTAGTCTTGAACTCCTGACCTCGTGATCCACACACCTCAGCCTCCCAAAGTGTTGGGATTACAGGCATGGGCCATCGTGCCAGGCCTCACTCTATGATTTTTAAAGGCAACTGGCAGCAAGCACATTTTGGAGGGTGTCCACAGCACAGAGACAGAGTGAGTGTGTGCAGAACTTCTGGTCCCTTCCAGCCCTTTCCCCAAGCCCCTCACTAAGCACCTGATGTGATTATTCTGTGCTAAAAATAGGAGTGTTATCACAGCTCTTCGGCAGGTGGGAAGCTTTGTGGAAAGAGATTTGCCTTTATGTTTTCCGGCTCCCTTTCCAAGTCCTTGAGTGCCAGATGGACGAATGCAGCTTGATTATCATGTGTGTACAGGGTGTGCTGGGAGATGAGCAGGAGCAGCTCACCACTCATGTGCATGGTCAGAGGCAAGGCCAGGGTGGAACGACTTTCCCAGTTCTCTCCGCAGCCATGCTCATTTCAAACCATGGCATTAAAACCAGTCACTTGTAAATGTGTAAAAAAAATTATCTTGGAAAAATGCTGAAGTTTGCTCTTTTACTACCACACTTGGGATAATATTTGATAAAGGGGTGATTAGGGAATATTAAATCTAAATGTGAGGAGAATAAATTCTTTTTCAAATTATGTATTTATTTATTTTTATTAATTTTAACTTAGAGATGGGATTTTGCTATGTTGCTCAGGCTGGTCTCAAACTCCTGGCCTCAAGTGATCCTCCTGTCTGGGCATCCCAGAGTGCTGGGATTACAGGCGTGAGCCACCATGCCTCCCCAGTTTAAAAATATTTATTCAGTTCCTACCAAAGCAAGAAAGGTTTCCACACATTTGGTGACACTAAGAGTTTATAGTCTAGTTCGAGGGTCAAGATATAAACATAGAAGTTTTGATAATATAATAAATAGTTTCCAATAGCACCTTTTTAGCATATTTAGGGTTTTCTCTTATTTCTTCTGGAATACCTCTCTTAGGAAAGTAGGCAGAGCGGTTAAGCAATGTATCCGACTAACCAAGTAGCCCCCAGCCCAGGAGGAATAGATAGGCAGGGGTGAGGTAGGATGAAGAAGGGAAGGACAGGTGGCAGGATTCTCCAGGAAGCCAACAAGGGGACTCCACAAAGCAACTCTACCCCTGTACTTGATTACATAAAGGCAGCGAAAGAGGTCTGCATTGGGAAGACACGGAAGTGAGCGTTGTTACTGGTGACCTTTTGCCCCAACACCTTGTAATTTCTCCTAATAGCACCATTGGATGTGTCTGTCAGAGCCAGGCCCTGAGGGCTCACCCTGTGTGACCCAGAGTAGGCTAGGTGGCTCCTCTCCATCAAGTGAGTGAACACTAGATTAGCTTGTTTCTCACCCACATAACAGTCCAAGGTCTCTCCTCCATGTAGTCATTCAGGGACCTAGATTGATGGCTGACTGTCTTCCAAGGGTGGGTGCCTTAGCCTGGCTTTTCCCATTAGAAAGCAGAGTCAAGGGCTTGGTGCAGGGGCTTTAATTAGAGGACTTAATTTTGGGATTCAAGGGACTATGAGAAGGTTGCTGGAAAAATGGAAGCAGGGGTTAAAGTGAAGCCATCACAAGCATGGGCTACCAAGCTGGACCTCATTGTGAGAAACAGAGGAATCACCTCACTGGGAATTCTGAGGACTTGTGTATGAGTTTGCTAGTGCTGCTATAACAAAGTACCACAAAGCTGGGTGGCTGAAATAACAGAAATGTATTGTCTCACAGTTCTAAAAATCCCAGATCAAGGTGTTGGCAAGGTTGATTCATTCTGAGGGCTGTTAGGGAGAATCTCTTCTATGCTACTTGCCTAGCTTCTGGAGGTTTGTTGACCCTCTTTGATGTTCCCTGGCTTGTAGGCACATCACTCTGATTGCTGCCTTCATCTTGACATGATGTTCTCCCTATCTGCAAGTCTATCTTCAAATTTTCCCTTTCTAAAATGACACCAGTCATATTGGAATAGGGCCCACCTTGAACTTGATCATCTGCAAAGATCCTATTTCCAGGTAAGGTCACGTTCACAGGTACTGGGAGTTAGGGCTTCAGCATCTGTTTTGGGAACACGATTCAATGCATAATGAGCTGTATAAATGGACCTCAGAACTGTCTGCCTAAGGTACCTAAAAGAAAAGCATTGGCTCCTGCTGTCCATTGTCAGTGCACCAAGGGATATTGCTCTTCCAGACTGCACCCGTGTGAATAGCCAGTGGCTCCTGCTGGCATCCCAAGTGGCTGCAGAGAATCTCCAGGACAGAGAGTGAGAGACATGTGGAGCAGCTTTCAGGGTGCACCCATGGAAGAGCTGCTGGGGTAAAAGTTAAGCCTAGAGGATGTGAGGTGAGGCCAGGAGGTATCTGATATGCGGGAGTGTGGGAGATGCTCCTTCATCCCCTACTCACACCACCACAAGACTCCTGTTCGTCTGCTTCCCCTGTTGGACTAGGACCTCCAAGAAGGCTGGTCTTTTTCACAGCTGTACCCCTGTTGCACAGCAGAGTATCTGGTACATTAAGGCATTTAATTCACACCAAAAGAATAAAGGGTCATACTTTTAGTCCCAGTATCTCCATCACGATTGAAACTTTGGGGAACTTGATATAGCCACAGGAAGCTGCTTCAGTGAATTGGGGGAATAAGATTCCCTCCCCTGTCCCTCTTCCATGCATAGGTAAACTGTTGGGAAGGTCACAAACTGTGACCCGCCTCCTCCTCTCCTCATCCCAGTGCCTCCCCCTTCTAACTCCTGAAGAATGGAGGTACGGCAGGGCATTTAGTTTTTTAAAATTTTTGATATATCCCAACTGTCTTTTTGGTGAAACCGCCTTGTAATACATCTTTGAGGTATTTTAATAACCAAATCCCTTTGACAAGGACCCAGGATGGAGCCTCAGGAGAATAAATAGCTCTCTAACAAAGTTCCTGTATATTACCATTATCATTGTCTTCTTTATTTCAACATGGCTTGCAGAGAGAGAAGAGAGGTCAACTGTAAAATGCTCATTTAAAAGTAATTTCTAAGCATCTGCCTGTGCTGAGCACTGCATTAGGTATTAAGTGGACAGAGCATGTTCAATTCAGATCCTAACAAGCTCGTGCTGAAGCACTTACCCACTTGGTGCTCACTGGGAGGATGGGGACACCGTGACCCAACTCTAGGAGTTACTTGGTAAGGAAAAGCAGAAAAAGAAATCTGTTTTATTCTGATCTAAAAGCATTCGGCAGGCTTCTCGCACCTGCATCATAGATTTTGGGGCATTTGCCCTGGGGGATTGGTCCTGAATTTCCTGTGGGTAGAGCTTACACATCCATTCCCCCTCCCTACATGCACATCTCTGGAGCCTCTCTTACCTCTGGTGGTCTCAGGGATAATCTATGTAGCCTGGGGCTGTACAGCCTGCCCCAGGGCTTTGTGAAGACCTGGCTGGCTATGAATCAGCCCTTCCCCTCCTTATTCTTTTATAATCAGAAGATATTTACATAAAGCATCCCAAGAGGGTTGCAATGGGGAAAGTAAGGTTCTGCACCCTCTACGCCTTCCATCTCTCAAGTGGTATATAATTTGCAGCCTAGCCTCTCCTAGCCTAGAGGTGTCGATGGGGAAGATGACCATGTATTTACTCTGCCCCCTGTGAGGGGTCAGGGGGCAAGGATCACCATAATGTGAGGAGACAGGTTATCTGTGAATCTGCAAGGAGGGAGTTGGAAGGGTGTGGCAGCAAATGTAATGTTGCTAGACAACAGCCCCTCTCTGACCCTCTTCCCCACCATGATGAAAAGCATCTGAGGAGAAGTGAAGGGACGGCATCCTATTTTAGGAGAATCATTCTTTAGGGCCAGTTCTTTCCCGTGCTAAATACAAAGAAAGAACCAGAAGCCCCATCAGAGGTTTTGCAGAGGGCAGATTGTAGCAGCTCCATTCTTGGGCTTTGGAGACTGAATCCCAGCTTTGCTTCTACTTTCTGAAAGGCCTTGGTGAAGTGACTGAAATTTGCCAAGCCTCAGTCCCCTCCTCTGTAAACTGGGCATAATAGTAGAACCCACCTCAGAAGGTGATTTTGAGAATTACACAAGAAAGCCAAGGTAAAGCTGCTTATCACAGGACCTGGGAACAAAATTCAATTTTGACACATCAGCTATTATTATTATTATTATTATTATTATTATTATTATTATTATTTAAGACTTTCTCTTTTTTTTCTTACTTTAAGTTCCAGGATACATGTGCAGAATGTGTAGGTTTGTTACATAGATATACATATGCCATGGTGGTTTGCTGCACCTATCAACCCGTCATCTAGGTTTTAAGCCCCACATGCATTAGGTATTTGTCCTAATGCTCTTCCTCCCCTTGCCCTCCACCCCTCAATAGGCCCTGGTGTGTGTTGTTCCCCTCCCTGTGTCCATGTGTTCTCATTGTTCAACTCCCACTTATGAGTGAGAACATGCAGTGTTTGGTTTTCTGTTCCTGTGTTAGTTTGCTGAGAGAAATGGCTTCCAGCTTCATCCATGTCCCTGCAAAGGACATGAATGAATAGTACTTTTTTTTGGCTGCATAGTATTCCATGGTGTATATGTGCCACATTTTCTTTATCCAGGGCATTTGGGTTGGTTCCAAGTCTTTGCTATTGTAAATAGTGCTGCAATAAACATATGTGTGCATGTGTCTTTATAGTAGAATGATTTATAATCCTTTGGGATTTTTTATGGCTGCATAGTATTCCATGGTGTATATGTGCCACATTTTCTTTATCCAGGGCATTTGGGTTGATTCCAAGTCTTTGCTATTGTAAATAGTGCTGCAACAAACATACATGTGCATGTGTCTTTATAGTAGAATGATTTATAATCCTTTGGGTATATACCCAGTAATGGGATTGCTGGGTCAAATGGTATTTCTGGTTCTAGATCCTTGAGGAATCACTACACTGTCTTCCACAATGGTTGAACTAATTTACACTCCCACCAACAGTGTAAAACCATTCCTATTTCTCCACAGTCTTGCCAGCATCTGTGTTTCCTGACTTTTTAATAATTGCCATTCTGACTGGCATGAGATACATCAGCTATTATTATTATTATCTACTATATGTGGAGTTCTCCTCAAGGGCTTCTTCCTGGGCTTTCCATACTACCATGCATTAGTGATTAGCTGAAAAGACAGTGCTGTTTCAGGATGGGACTGAGAAGCAAGTCAATTGGCCAGCCATGCTGAGATGGCCTATGGGGTAGAGGTTCCCTGGTGTTCTCTGGCTGGGAGCTACAAAGTCTTCTCTTGTAGCTGTACATTGGAAACCTCAGACAGACTTCAGCCCTTCTCAGACTTCCAGCTTCCAGGCTCCGACCCGGTTGGGGTACCTTGACTTCCTGAGAATCTTGCTTGATTGCTAATTTAGACAGTGCCCTCACTCGTGTCCCTGTGGCTCAAATGGCAGGGCCTGGGTGACATCTGACAGGTAAAGTGAACCCAGGGTAGTTTAAGAAGGGCCAGACGCCACCTGTAGTGACACTAGGACTTGATTAGTCAATTGCTCCTGAAATCAGTAAAAGATCTTAAAAAATAAACAGGTTTCCCAGTCTTTGGGAAAAAACGCACAGTGAATAAATCCTCTGAATGCAGTATTTGCTTTAGGAAAATCCCAGAGACTCATGAGGCTCACCAGTATTTGTACTCTCTTTTTCTTGCTGGGCTGTGGCTGGACTATATTTTCCAGCCATCATCGCTATTAGGTAAATAGGTGAGGAGGCACGTAACTGAGTTTAGGCCAATATAATATGAGTGGAAGAGTGGATGAGGCCTATTTCCAGCCCTGATCCATAAGAACCTACCATTTCTGATCATCTTTCTCTCCTCCAGTTTACCAGTGGGCTGGAGAGGATTCCAAAGAGATGGGGTCCTAGGATGCAAGGCGTCTGGGTCTTTGCATGACCATGTGTTCTTGTCTTGTGAAATGATGATCCTGTCTTGTAAGAAACAGAGCATAATGGTATGGCACCACTGAGATTTGGGGGTTGTCACTCTAGCAGCTAGCTTTATTTACCCTCATACAGTTTGATATGGTTTGGCTGTGTCCCCACCCAAATCTCATCTTGAATTGAAGCTCCCATAATTCCCATGTGTTGTGGGAGGGACCGGTGGGAGATAATTGAATCATGGGGGTTGTTTCACCCATACTGTTCTCATGGTAGTGAATAAGTCTCACGAGATCTGATGGTTTTATAAGGGGAAACCCCTTTGACTTGGTTCTCATTCTTTCTTGCCACTGCCATGTAAAAATTGTCTTTCACCTTCCACCATGATTGTGAGGCCTCCCCAGCCATGAGGAACTGTGAGTCCACTAAACCTCTTTTCTTTATAAATTACATAGTCTCAGATATGTCTTTATCAGGAGCATGAAAACAGACTAATACATGGTTTATTTAAGATTATACTTTGTTCACATGCTGCAAATGGATGTCCCAATTCTGGGTAGATAGTATAGGTGAATGTGATAACATCTTGTATTTCAATGTGTACTCTTTTTTCCTTTTGGTCAAGGCCATTGGTGATTGGTTGTTTTGTTGTAAGAAGGCTTCAAAAGTCATTCATTTTAAGTATGTTTCTCACCCATATCTGTTCTCTACTCTCATCCCTCACCCTTCCACATTTTGATGGCCTTACTGTCATCAAAGTGGCATTGGATTTATACTGTGTTGTTAAAGGATGAAGAATCTTAGATTTCTAAGCTGTGGGGAAATTAATAAAATATCAAAAATTGAAACCAAGGATGATGTAACCCTAAAGAATAGTTCTCTTTTGAATACATCTTTTCAGTTTCTTTCTAATACACAAACTTACATACATATACATCCAGTTATTGATAACAGTATTAGCTAGAATTTATTGAGTGATTGCTGCATGTTGGGCATTTTTAAATTTTAAATATTTTTAATTCTCAGAGTAGCTCTGTAAAATGGGCATTGTTATTCTCATTTTCAAATAGGGAAGCTGGGGTTCAGAGTCATAAATTTGTCTAAGATGACACAGCAGCAATGCACTCAAATCCATACCTGCTCTGACCCAGATCTTGCCTGTTGTCTTATATTACCCTATAGTGTGTTATCTTTATTCTGTGGATAGAAATTTTTGGAGCCTCTGGCTAGAGACCTTGACCCTGGGATTGGTGACCCTCCCTTTCCATGACTTGTCCAATAAAAAGGCACAAGACTCTCTAGACCAGCAGACTCTACATAGGCCTCTCTGAAGGGTCTCAAATCAGGCCCAGAGAGTTTTGTACCTGCCTGTCCCATCTATTGCATTGTCTACCTTCAGCATCCATGAGTTCCTGAGTGCATTTTTGTTAGGACCTTGGTCCCAAGCAGATTCAGATTCCTGTCTTTCAAGGGCACTGGAATGGCTAGGATGGGAAAATGACAGCCTCTTTGGGGCCAGTGATGGTCCAGTAGAGGGGCACAAGAGGAAAGATGATTAGAAGGTGAAATAGAGAGGATACATTGGTCACTGTGCAGGTAAGGCAGGTTGGGGGGAAAGGGGGAGTCATGGGTGTTGCCAGGTTTTTGCCTTGGGCCACTGGGTAGGCAGCATACACAGGAAAGGACCAGCCTTAAGGGCAAATATAAAGGAAGCTGGCATCCATGTGTGCTTCCCATATACCACCCTTTCTTGAGATGTTACACAACTTCCTGTAGGCTTTTCTGGACCACATTATCAGGGAAGAGTTTGCAGTGGCCCTCAGGACCCTTTACTGAATTTTAACCAATTGTAACATAAAAGCTAAAAGATGGATTGGTTCATGTTTTTCATCACACAATGTGTCTGTGTTTCATGAAGCTCATTTATGGCAACGTGTACCTTTGCTGGCTGCCATGAGTGTTTTTCTTCTGTGAATATTGTTTCTTTACATATTTATATTTATCACATTTAATCACACATACAAGGCATTCTCCAAAATAGTTTCTTAAAAGGCAACTTAGAGACATATTTGGAAATGAAATTGAGAGGCAATTTTTTTTTTTTTAGCTTTTGCTTTTTATGTAACGGGACTAATTTTTCTCGAGCCTTGATTGTCTCAGCCACTGGTTCCCATACACAACTGCTCATCAAGATCACCTGGGAAGCTTTTAATAGACACAGTTTCTTGCCATGACACCCTCTCCCAGGGGGTTCTGATTCACTGGGGATGTGGCCTCTGCAATTTAAGTTCGTCAGAAAATTCCGATGAGCAGGCAGGTTTGGGAATCACTCATCCGAGCCACAGTCTCCAGATTTATAACCCTAGCTTTGGATGCATCAGCATTTTATTTTCTTTGAAGAATACATGGGCATTTTAGGGTAGAAGTAAATGGTGTTTATTAACAAAAACTAATATTAAATTACTGCATACTTGCTATTGGGATAGGTTCTTTTTAAATAATTATCTTACTTAATGTTATCCTCACTGATAAGTTATAGAGCATCTTCATGTTCCAAAGCCAAGAAAATGGAAACTAAAAGAGGCTGAAGAAATCTTTGAATGACTAGTTCAGGTGATCAAGTGGAGGAATGTAGTTAGAACTGAAATATTTCTGACTCTAAAAGGAAGCCTGTCTCTGAGCCACTACCCTGGGTTGCCAGTTTGTGGGATTAGTGATGCTTCCAGAATTTCTCAGTTGCTTTTTGCCCTTTGGAGAAAAGATGCCTTCCTCTGTTATGAGTGGGAGGGCAGTAAGTCAAGGCAAACACATCCTACAATTGCTGAGCGCTCTAGTGAAGAAAAATGTTGTTATTTCCCTGCCAAAAGAACTAGAGAGAAGAAGATCCTTGTTAGGAAAGACAAAAGCAGAGAACAAAAGCAAAACACAGAATGATGCTTTCCTCCTAGACACTTGAACCCACTAAGATCTTTTATTCTTATCTTTTTATCAGAGTCAGGATTGATTTAAGTTTATTAATGATAAATAACATCTTTTATTGCACAGTTAATGTATCCAGTGAAACTATACCCATATGATGCTTCTGTTTGCATTGTCATAAATCAATGAGAGACTGTTAATAGTAGCACTGGCTTAATCACTCTGATGCCTCTTGTTGCTAATGGGGATTGTAAAAATAGAGGTGTGAAGCAATGTGTTTTCTGAAACTTGTCAGGCTTGAATGGAGCAGAAGCATGGGCCTGGAAAGCAAGACCCATAACAGCCTTTGGGATGAGGATGTGATGATAACAGCTTCCATCACTTTGCTTTTGCATGGCTGTTTATGAAGCATTTTCCTTTAACCTTCCAAGAGTCCTGGAAGGCAGGAGTTTTGTCCTCCACCCTACAGGTGAGGAGACCTAGGCAGACTCCTGGTCCAGAGCTTTCTCCTCACTCTGGGCCCAGACGGACCTGTGCCACTTACATTTGTTCTTTGGAGCCCACTGATGCTTCCCAAAGACTTCTGGAGCCTGCAGTTTTTCAAAGGGCCAGATGCAAAATGAGGTAGGCTGAGATTCCAGGGCAGCTGCAGGCTGCACAAACATACTTCAAGCATTGGTTAAAAGGAAACGGAGAAGCAGAATGGTCATTAAGCACCTCAGAGGGGAATTTGCCATAAATTCTCAGCCTTTTCAATAGCTTGGCTTTATTAGGGCATGAGCCAGTGATATTTTTCTTCATTTCCTAACTTAGTGCTCACACAAGGATTATTACTTTGTAATATTTAGTTTTCTTGGCATTGTAGCTGAATTAAATGAAGACCAAGTGAGAGCTGGAAGGAAAGAACTCCTCCCCTCTGATCTACCTTCTCAGCCCAGTTTCCTGTTTTTAATTAACACAGTGGCGAACGTAAGAACTGACCCACATGCTGTGGGCCTTCATAGAACCAGGACAGGCCTTGCAGAAATGAAGAAAAATATCATTTAAAGTGTTTCTTAAATTGGATTGCTCCTTTTTTTTTTTTTTTTTTCTAGCAGGCCTGTGTGCCAGGCACCCATGTGATTTTCTTGTTAGAAATAGGCTGAGTGGGGGAGGAGAGACATGCAGAATATTTTTTTTTCTTTTTGTGTGTGTGTGTGTGTTTTATTAACTCTGGAGTGCGTTAATTTCATCACACTCCCAATTCCAATTTATCTGCATCTCTGAGACTAACTGGCAGCTGGAGCTGTGAGTGCTGGGACCAGGTGGGGCTAGAGGCTCTGTAGAATTTAGACAGGAATTTTACATCAGAACTAGACACAGATTTAGTAAGAGTGTGGGGACAACCATTGGAGTTCTATGGAAATTGGCAAGCAGTTGATCCTGCAAATGGCTTGGCCCAGAGAAATCTCAGTACCCCAGGAAGAAGGATGACATCATTCTTGTGGACACTTCTGGTTCCCCTGGTGCCTAAGAGGCCAATAAAGAGCTGAGCACTGGTCCAGCAGCCTCTCTCTTTGAGGGTCCTGGGGTGCCGGGCACTTTCCTCCTGCAGCCTTGGCAGGACCTGCAACCTGCCTGCTTTTGTATTACCAGCCCTTGGAGAAAGAGACTCTGTCCTGTTTGCCATCAACCAGACCTGATCCCACTGAGCCAACAGAGAAAAAGAACATGCATCTGAAAGATCCTACCAGCTGGAGAAAGATGAGTCACAACCAACAGAACACAATCTCAGCAAAACAGAGCTGTTGGAGGAAATGAGTAAAAAAGCAATAAGAAAACCTAAAGAAATTTAAGTGCATTTCAAAAGGACTTTCTAAAGGAAAGAAAAGTCGTCACCAATTTAGTAGATGTAACTGAAGGAGTTAATGGTCACTGTTGAGGGCCACCCATGTTGGTGGCTTAGAGGATCAAAGCACAGAGCAAAATCCGATGGAAATCATGAGAAAAAAGCAGATAAAATCATGAGAAAAAATGAGAGAGAGACTGGGAGAATGGAACCAGGGGACAACTTGGAATGAATAGGATTTACAATAGGATACAAAGGAACAGTTAAAGAAGAGGCAATAATTAAATATATAAGAAAAATTTCTGAAAAGACTTGAGTCTATATATGGAAGGGTCTAGCCAAGTTCCAGGTCAGGTTGATGAAAAAAGTGAGACCCAACATACTCTACTAAAAATTCCTGAACTCTAAATACCACAAGAAAATCCTGTAAGTTTTTAGACAGGAAGAACAGATTACTTATAAGGGAATAAGAGGAAGATTAGCATCAGACTTCTCATCTGGAAGCTAGAAGATACTGGAGTGAAAACTATAGCAACTACACAACCTAAGAATCCAATGTCCAGCCAAGATATTCCCCCATCAAGGCCAAAAAAAAAAAAAAAAAAAAAAAACCCAAAAAAACAAAAACAAACAAATGAAAAAACCAAACAAACAAACTACCATGATTTGAAGACATGCAATCCTCTAGCGTATATTTCACTCCCATTCACTATCTCAGCAAAATACTTGAAAAAGACTCAAAACAAATAGCAAATGAACTAGACTGGGAAGAAAATGAAGTGGAGAGGAAACAGTATTGAGCAAAGAACCTTGCTCTCTGTAGATCCTGAACCAGTAAGCAGTCTGCATCCCTGGAGCTGGAAGTGTAGGAGCAGAGAGGAGACCAAGACTTGGAGAAAGAATTTCCAATGAAAATAGGCCGCAAAACTAAACAGGTTCTTAACTCAGATTTATCTAATAGTTAAAGAAAGATAGTTGCAATGTTAAATAAACTTTTCTATATCGTGAAAAAATGAAGAAGATGTTAATTCACTTTATAATAGAGTCCATCTTATTTTAATACTCAGCTCTAATAAAGTATAATTGAAAATTTAAAAACTATAAATCAATCTAACTTAAGAGTACTGATGCAAAAAATAAAATAAACAGCAGATAGAATCTAGTGGAGTTTTAAAAGAATACTGTACTGTGATCTAATAAGATTTATTTTAGAAATGCAAGAAAAGATGGATATAAATATCTGTATCAGTATAACTCTAACGAACAAATGGAAAGAGATTAAAAGAGCTAACTGAAACAGAAAAATTACAAAATTACATTAGTAGATTTTGGAAAGGCATTTTATAAAATTCTTATAAAAGACAGTTAAGTAATACAGGAATAGAAGTAAACAACCTAAATATAATAAAGATCAGTCATGATACCTACCAGCAAGTATTACCTTAAGTGACAAAACACTACATCTATTTCTGTCAAAATCAGGCACTGAAAAGGAATATTCTCATCATCATTATACAACATTGTGTTGGAGTGGTAGTGAATGAAATAAGTCAAGAAAAGAAGTATGCATTTTTTTTAACCTTTCAAAGTCCCCAAGACTCTACTTTTAGATATTAAAAAAGGCTACTCAAGTTAGTAAAATAATTTTGTAAGGTAGCTGGAATAAGATTCATATACAAATACTAAAACTTGTCTTTTTTAGTAAGTAAGAAGTCAGAAATGGAAAAAACTCATTTATAACTTTAAGTACTAAATGAATATATTAAGAAAGACACAGACTTAAATGAGGAAAGCTATACAACCTTATTGAGGGACACACAACAATATCTAAACATTTGGAAAGACTTTCTTTTTCCAAAGGAAAACATTTAGTACAAAAGTAATTTCTTCAAAAATTTATGTACAAACTTTAGGTAATTTCTGTCAACATCCCAACAGAGTTATTATCCTGGAAATTAAACAATCTTGCAGTGTATATGGAGGAAGGATTTTTTAAATTTTTTAATTTTCAGTATTTTTAATTGACACATAATTACACATATTTTTCAGGTAGAGTGTAATATTTCCATACATGTATGTATATAATGTGTGATGCTCAAATCAGGGTAATTAGTATATCCATCACCTCAAACATTTATCATTTGTTTGTGTTGGGAACATTCAAAATGTGCTCTTCTAGCTATGTGAAAATATATAATAAATTGTTTATTATTCACTCTATAGTGCTATAGAAATCTAGAACTTACTCTTCCTATCTAGCTGTAATTTTCTATCTGTTTGGAAGAGTGAGTTTTTTTTAGACTAACAAAGAGAAATATGCAAAACAAAATTGAAGGGGAAACTTCCCTTACCAGATATTATGATCCACTTTTAAGACAATGAGATAATATCAACATGATACTGGTGTTGGGAAAAACAAAGAGATTAGTGGAACAGAATAGATAATCCATAAATAAAGCTTGATGTGTGTGAGAATTTAATGTGTTCCAGCAGGAAAAGGCTGGATTTAATGATATGGTCTTGGGATTCCTGGTTCTCCATCTGTTTGAAAGCAAAACTGGATTCTTTTCATAAGCATACGATAATACAAATCTTGCAAAACAAATTGGGATTTAACTTGTATAATCTGATGGCAGGGGAGGTCATAACCAAAGAAAATATTTTACCAAAAAAAATGAAAAAAAAAAAAACCAAGTACATGATAGTCATAGAAAAAAAATCAGTGAAAAGCAGGATTAATAGCCATACATCTAATAATTTACAAACAACTTTTACAATTGTCATAAAGGGACAAACCACCCAGTGGAAAAATGGACAAATGGTATGCAGAGACTATTTGCAGAAGAAAAACTCCAGATGGCCAAAGCCTTATGAAAAGATATTAAAAGTCACTGGTGTTCAGGGAATCCAATTTTAAGTAACAGTGAGATATGAAAAAACATCAAAGGCCAAAATTTAAGATAGCATTAACTTTCATTGCTGGTGGGAATATGGAGAAGAGTCCTGCTTTCTTCTTTTATTTTTTCCTTTATTTGTTCTTAAAAAAAAACAAAACAAAACCGAGGATACGTGAGCAGAATGTGCAGGTTTGTTACACAGGTATACATGTGCCATGGTGGTTTGCTGTACCTATTGACCTGTCCTCTAAGTTCCCTATCCTCACCTCCCACCACCCAATGGGCCCTGGTGAGTGTTGTTCCCCTCCCTGTGTCCATGTGTTCTCAATGTTCACCTCCCACTTATGAGTGAGAACATGCAGTATTTGGTTTTCTGTTCCTGTGTTAGTTTGCTGAGGATTATGGCTTCCAGCTTCATCCATGTCCCTGCAAAGGACATGATCTCATTCCTTTTCATGGCTACGTACTATTCCATGGTGTATATGTACCACATTTTCTCTATCCAGTCTATCCTTCATAGGCATGTGGGTTGGTTCCATGTCTTTGGGGAGAAGAGTCCTCTTATACAATGCTGGTGGAAATATAAATTGTTAGTTTTTGTGAAAATCAAACTGTCAAACACCATTAAAATTAACACTGTACATTCCTTTCTGTTCAGTAATTCCACTGCTGTGACTTTGATATGGTCTGTATGTTTTGTCATGCCCCCACATTTATATGTTCAAACCTATTCATCAATGTGATGGTATTAGAAGGTGAGACCTTTTGGGAGGTGAATAGATCAAGGGGTAAAATCCTCATGAATGGGTTTAGTGCCTCATAAAAAAGGCCCCAGAAAGATGTCTTGCCCCTTCCATCATGTGAGGATACAATGAGAATGTGCCATCTATGAACCAGAAAGTGGGTCCTCCCCAGATACTGAATCTGCTGGTACCTTGATCTTGGACTTCCCAGTCTCTAGAACTGTGAGAAATAAATTTCTGTTTATCAGCCATCCAGTTTAAGGTATTTTGTTATAGTAGCCTGAGCTAAGTATGACAGACTTTATCCTGTAAGGACAAAAATACTAGTATGTGGAGATGCTGTGAAGGGTAATTTTATGTGTCAATGTGACTGGGCCAAAGGGTGCCCAGACATTTGGTCAAACATTATTCTGGGTGTGTCCGTGAGGATGTTTCTGGATGAGATTAACATTTGAATCAGTAGACTGAGTAAAGCAGGCTGCCCTCCACAGTGTGGGTGGGGCTCATCTAATCAACTGAAACCCTGACTAGAACAACAATGCTGACCCTTCCTCCAGTAAGAGGGACCTCCTTCTGCCTGACTTCCCTGAGCTGGGACATTGCTCTTTTCTTTTCTTCTGCCATGAACTGAAACATTGGCTCTTGTTGAGTCTTGAGCCTGCTGGCTTTTGGAC